>NC_000011.10:124748182-125051212 GCF_000001405.40 Homo sapiens | reverse complement strand
AAAAGGAAGACAGTTATACTGTCAACAAAATTATTTCAGGTTTAAGTTTTTTGAAGTAAATAACTTAAAAAAATTCAAACATACACAAAAATAGAGAATAGCATGATGAAACTCCACAAACCTGTCACCTAGATTCACTATTATCAAGCTTTGGCCACACTCACTTCATCTATACTGAATTATTTTAAAGTAAATCTCAAACATAATTTCATCCCTATATACTTCAGTAGCCATCTCTGTATATTTCTTGTATATAACCACAATGCTGTCGACTTACCTAACAAAATGAATCACTTAGATTCTATTCAAATTCCTCTCATTGCTTCAAAGTTATTTTTTCAGACTGTTTCTTCACATCAGGATCCAAACAAGGTCCATACATTATATTTAGTGGTTGCTAACTCTATAAGTTTGTCTAGAGCCATCTCCTCATTTTTAAAATTCAAGCTCTTAACTTGCTAAAGAAATTGGCTCAATTTTCCTACAAAATGACCCATATTCTGGATTTCTGCTTCTTCGTGGCATAATCTAACTTGTTTCCTTGTATTTCCTATAAGTGGAATCCTCACGGCTTTTCTCTTTACATATTATCATCATCTAAACCAGAAATTAGTTTGAGTGATTATGTTCTTAATTCCCTCAAAGATGGTTCATAAATAACTAGTACCATTCTAGATCAACAGGAGAGAAGTTAATTTATTATATACAATGAATTCCTTAGAACATTAGGGCTTTTCTCCCAATAACCAAGTGAGAAAGACTGACAGGTTTGATTACATTTAGTTTCGACCTTTTATTTGGCAAAAATACTTTACAGAAGGCACTGCATGCTTCATATTGCATTACATCAGATGACCATGTTTAATAAGTTCATCCATTAATTATTGCTGTAGGCATCTGAGCATGGGTAGAATCTATGACAAGAATTGAGTGGTAACTTCTAAAAGAAGTAAGCTCATCTTGGAGCCTGCATAAGATAACTCATGTGGTACAACACCATGTTGTCTTAATCAAAAGGAATCACTTTGGCTTCTCCTTGGCAGCATGTGACCTATGTTAGACAGCTTCCATACAGCCCACCTCAAATAGTGGTCAGTGATACAGAGAACAAGACCAGAGATGGACCCTTCATTTCCACCTTAAGAGAGCTATAAAAATCTGAACCAACATATTTAAAGTCTTTCACCCAACAGAATGGGTCCAGCAAGCCAGGTGGCTATTTGCTTTTGTCTTCCTCTATAACAGTTCCAATCTCCCAAACTTTTTTTCTAAGAAGCATGAAAAAATGTTTAAGATGGGGCACAAGTAAATTATGCTCACCACACTCAGAGAGAAACTGAAGGACATATTTTAATTCTAAAAACAGAATCTAAGTAAATAAACACAGAAAAATAATACCTGCTGCCTCCTTTATCAAATCTTAAATGTCTAGAAGATATAAAAGCAAGAGTTTCTAGCCTCTGTACCCAGTAGGTCATCAATAAAGTTGTTGACTGCCCATCATAAAAGTGTTAAATAGGTAAGGGTGAGGCCTGGACAATTAAGTAATATCCAGGAACAATGGAAGGGAGAGGACACAGAAGTTTACTAAGTCAAAGCAACTGGAGCAAGCTGTTTCACGTTGCATGCCTAGGAAAACACGTCATACATGCTTTCTGATGGTTATTATAGGAAAAGTACAGCATGTATATCCCCTGCTACTACCATAATCCTTGAATTGCCTCTATCACATACACATTTCCACCTCTTGCCATGGGTTCTGGAAATTAATAAAGTTCCCTTCTAGGTAAGAGCTAAAGCTAAGCTTTCATGGGGTTGTGCCTCTCTTGCTGGGCTCATGTCCATATGCTCCTGTAGCCCTCTGTTCTGCCCTTCTATTCTACTTTGACCTATAGAAATTGCATCTACTCAGACAACACAATCAATCCTGGAGTTACAGTAGAGGAGAATAAACTTGTTCCACCCTTATCTCACTGTCCACAAGTAAAACCTACCATTACTCCACACCTCGGCATGAACAGCGAATGAACTGAAAAATGAGAAACAGTGAGGTCAAAAGTACAAAACAAATAATAAATTCCTAGAATGTTAGAACTATAGGGTAGATGGAGGCCACTTAGTATAACCCTCTTATTTTACAAAAGAGGAAAGTGCTGCCCAGAGAAATCAAATTATTTGTTCCAAATCACAATGGCAATGAAAACCTGGAAAACAAACGAAAATGATTCCTAATAACCTTTTTAGTAAATAGCACATTAGGTAAAAGTACTAATCATGTAGAAATATTTGGAATGTTTTAAAGACAAATGTATTGACTCATTTAACAAATACTTATTGAGAGCCTATTACACACCAGGCATAGCCTTAAGAACTGAGGCTGCAGCATTAAACAAAGAGACAAGAATCTCTGTCCTCACAAAATATACAAATTAGTGGGGACATAGGGAAAATAAACATTAGCAAAATATATAGTATGTCATACAGCTATAAGTGTCATGAGGAAAAAGAAAGGAAAGGGGATATAGAGTACCTGTGTTTGGGGGCCAGGGGGAAGACTGCATTTAAAAATAGGATGGTCAAGGAAGGCCCTCTGATAAGCCATATTTGAGCAAAGATTTGAAGGAGGTAAGGAAGTGGCCAAACATTTTCTAAGGAAGACGTGTCTCCAGGCAAACAACGAATGAAAAAGCCCTGAAGTAAAAGTGTCCCTAGAATGTTCAAGGAAGAATAAAGTCAGTGTGGCTGAGTAGAGTGAGCGAGGAGAAGGGCACTTGGAGATAAAGCCTCAGAAGTAACAGGGATCAGATTGTGTAGGGCCTGTACAACATTGTAAGGGATCCAGCTTTCCCTGAGCAAAACGCATAGCCAAAGGAGGCTTCGACAGAGAAGTGGCATGAGCTTAATTATTTTCACTGCTTTGGCTGCTGTGCTAAGAGCAGTTTATAGGAGGAAGTATGGAAGCAAGAAAACCAACTTGGGAGCTATTGCAAGAACTCAGATGAGATATGATGACTTGGACCAGGGTTGTAGTGGGGAAGGCATTGAAAAATAATTGCGTTTTGAGTATACTTTCAAGGTGGATCCAATAAGGATTGAATATGGGTTGTTTAAGAAAAGAATGAAGGTTGACTTCACACTTTTTTTTGGACAGAAGAAACAGCGGATGGAGTTGTTGTTTACTGAGAAGGGGAAGACTATAGTAAGGAAAACATTTTTGTGTTGGTTAGTTTTATTGGTGAGTGTGCAATGATAGAGATCAGAAGGTTGGTTTTGGGATACATTAATATTAAGTATGGTAGCTGTACTGAGAAAATACATAAGGTGCAAACAGGAAGATTACTTGCGAAACTCTTACAATAATCCATGAGAGAGAGAACGGTGGGTGGGTCAGGCATATGGCAAAGGGAGTCATGAGAACTGCAGATCTATTATGAAGGTAGAACTGAAATGATTTGCTGATGGAGTGAGTGATGAAAGATGAGCAGCGGAGGTGGGAGTCAATGATTTCCATGAGATTTTTGGCCTCAATAACTAGAAAGATGCAACTGCTATTAACTGATATGAGGAAGACTGTGGGAGGAGCAAATCTGTGAAAAACTAAATGTCAAGTAGGCAGTCAGGGTTAGATGAGTCTGAAGGTTAGAGACAGCTGTGGACCAGATATATAAATTTGAGAGCTATCAGTATTTAGATGATATTTAAAACCATGAGATAAGAAGAGATCACCAAAAGAGCAAGCGAAAAGCAAGGCAGAAAAGAAGTCCAAGGACTGAGCCCCAGGATACTCCAATATTAAGGGATTGAAGATGGGGGAGAAACAGCAAAAAACAACAACAACAACAATAACAAAACCTAAGAAGCAATAGCCAGTTGTAGTTGGAAGAAAAATAAAAAGCTCTAGTGTTGGGGGAACCAGGTAATAAGGTACTTCAGAAAAAAAAAAAGATTGATCAATTGTTTAATTCTGTTGACAGATAAGTCGGTAAGACAGTAAGCAAGTAAGTAAGACAGTAAGATGGAGTCTGAGAATGACCATTAGATTTAGCAATGTGGAAGTTTTGGGTGACTTTAATAAGAGTACTTTTATTAGAGAGGTAAAGGCAAACAGTCTCACTAAAATGCATCTGAGAGAATGTGAGGAGAGGAATAGGAGCAGCAAATATGTACAACTCAAGGATTTTTGTTATAAAGGGAAGCAGAGAAGTTCAGTGGCAGCTGAAGGAAGATGTGGGATAGAGGTGTTTTTTTCCTCCTCTCTTCTTTTTTTTCTAGTTGGTTGGTTTTTAAGATGGGCAAAATTACAACATGTTTATAAACTGATAGCAATACTCTTGTATACAGGAGAAAAACTGATGATGCAGAAAAGAAGGGGAAGAAATGCTGAAGAAATGTCCTTGAGTAGGTGGGAAGGAATTGGATCTAGCCACATGTCAGGGTAGGCCTAAGATAGGAGAACAAACAGTTCATCCACATTAACAGGAATTAACAGATGCAAGTAGATGGGTAGGTATGATGGTGGAAACTTGTGAAGTTTCCTTTTGATTGCTTATTTTTTCAGTGGCACAGGAAGTACTGCCACCAACTGGTAGTGAAAGTAAGGAAAAACCTATAGGAAGTTTGAGGAAAGTTTGAGTAAGATGTAAACAGTCATCGAGGAAATGTTCATTCTTACTTAATCATTTTTCAATTGAAATGCCTGCCATTTACCCTGTTTGAAATTGAGGATGCAAATTTAATCCTGTCCCTCACACTCCTACCACCCAAATCAAAATCTACTCATTTCGGCTCAGTTCCTATCTTCACCTCTTCTTTCTTACAGGCCCCTACTAATCTAGAAAATCGGTAGAATATCGGGGAACCTGCCCCAATATTCACGTAGGTTCTTTTCTATTTTCCTTAAGCATCGGCCAGCTTGAGAAATAAAGGGACAGAGTACAAAAGACAGAAATTTTAAAGCTGGGCATCTGGGGGAGACATCACATGTTGGTAGGTTCCGTGATGCCCCATAAGCCACAAAAACCAGCAAGTTTTTATTAGGGATTTTCAAAAGGGGAGGGAGTGTGCAAATAGGTGTGGGTCACAGACATCAAGTACTTTACAAGGTAATAGAATATCACAAGGCAAGTGGAGGCAGGGGGAGATCACAGGACCACAGGACTGGGGCAAAATTAAAATTGCTAATGAAGTTTCAGGCACCACTGTCATTGATAACATCTTATCAGGAGACAGGGTTTTGAGATCAACCAGTCTGACCAAAATTTATTAGGCAGGAATTTCCTCTTCCTAATAAGCCTGGGAGCACTATGGGAGACTGGGGTCTATTTCACCCCTGCAGTTTCGACCATAAGAGATGGCCACACCCAGGGGGGCCAGTTCAGAGACCCACCCCCAGGTGCACATTCTCTTTCTCAGGGATGTTCCTTGCTGAGAAAAGGAATTCAGCAATATTTCTCCCATTTGCTTTTGAAAGAAGAGAAATATGGCTCTGTTCCGCCCAGCTCACCAGCGGTCAGAGTTTAAGGTTATCTCTCTTATTCCCTGAACAATTGCTGTTATCCTGTTCTTTTTTCAAGGTGCCCACATTTCATATTGCTCAAACACACATGCTGTACAATTTGTGCAGTTAATGCAATTATTATAGGGTCCTGAGGCGACAAACATCCTCCTCAGCTGATAGGATTAAGAGATTAAAGTAAACACAGGCATAGGAAATCACAAGGGTATTGACTGGGGAAGTGATAAGTGTCCATGAAATCTTTACAATTTATGTTTAGAGATTGCAGTAAAGACAGGCATAAGAAATTATAAAAGTATTAATTTGGGGAACTAATAAATGTCCATGAAATCTTCACAATCCGTGTTCTTCTGCCATGGCTTCAGCCGGTCCCTCCGTTTGGGGTCCCTGACTTCCCGCAACAGTGGAATATGTCTATACAACTCTGATTTCACAAACTTGTAAACTAAAAAACCAAACAAACAAACAAAAAAAAACACTTAAGATTCCAGGCTCTTTTCCAAAGTACACTGATCCAATCCAAACAGGATTCACCATACTACTATCACAAAGGGTCATGAGACTCAGTCTTCCTCGTTGGTAGCTGCTACTCAGCATTCTCTAACTCCACAAACATAAATCATTAGACATTGTCTACATATAACCAAATTATAATGTAAAAGCACACACATTCTCAGATGAAATTTATATTCATAGGCTAAAAGAAGACTTGAAAGTCTCCTAATCCAATGCAAGATCTAATCCCATCATAATTCTACTACTAATTTGATGTCAAACAGTCAATTCACCTGTTTCAGATTACCAAACCAAAAAAAAAATAGTAGAATCAAACGAGCAAAATAAAATTGTTTTATAAGACCAAAGAAAGAAAGAAACAAATAAAAACCAATACAACTTATCCTGGTAATGCAAAGTAATTTAACACCTGAAAACAATGTAACACAGCATATTAACAGAAAAAAAGGACAAAGAATACATGATAATAATAAATGCAGACACAGCATTTGACAAAATCCAACACCTTTCCATAACAAAAACACTCAACAAACTAGTAATAGAGAGAAACTTCCTCAACTTGAAAAAGGACACCCACAGTTAACATCCTATATAGTGGTGAAGGACTAAATGCTTCCCACTTAAAATCAGAAACAGGATAAGGATGTCCACTTTGCCATTTCTATGAAACATTGTACTGGATATTCCAGCCAGGGCAATTAGGCAAGGAAAAGAAATAAAAGGCTATTTATAGATGACAAGATCTTATATATACAAAATCCTAAGGTTTTCTCTAAAAAACTATTAATAAATGCAAAAAAGTCAACTGTATTTCTTTATACCTGTGATAAACAATCTGCAAGAAAACAATTCAATTTATAAGAGCATCAAAGAATAAAATACTTAGAAATAAACCTAACAAAATAAATGCAAATGTTATGCTTCGAAAACTATAAAACATTGTTGAAGGAAATGAAAGAAAATCTAAATGAATGGGCAGACATCCTATGTTCATAAGTTAGATGGCAATAGTCCCCAAATTCATCAATAGATTGAAGGCAATCCTTATCAGAATCTCAGCCAGCTTTTTGCAGGAAGGTGATCTTAAAATTCATACAAAAATGCAACCGACTCAGAAGAGCAAAACAATCTTGAAAAAGCACAAAGTTGGAAGCCTCACACTTCCAAACTTCAAAATTTACTACAAAGCTACAGTAATCAAGACAGATTGCACTGGCATAAGGTAAAACATATAAATCAATGGAACACAATTGAGAGTTCAGAAATAGAAGTTCATGTGTATTGTCAATCTTATGGGGCAAATAATAGTCTTTTTCAACAAACAGTGTTGGGATCCTTGTTATCCATATACAAAAGAATGACGTTGGAACACTACCTAACACCGTATGAAAAACTTACTCAAAATGGATCACAGACCTAAATATAAGAGCTAAAACTATACGACTTTTAGAGGACCACTTAGGAGTAAATATTTGTGGCCCTGAATTAGGTAATGGTTTCTTAGACAAGACAACAGAAGCACAAACCACAAAAGAAAAAGTAAATAAAATGGACTTTGTCAAAATTTAAAACTTTTGTGCTGCAAAGAAAATCATAGAGAAAGTAAAAAGACAATCCCCAGAATGGCACAAAATATTTGCAAATCATATATATGGTAAGAAACCTGGCCGGGCGCGGTGGCTCACGCCTGTAATCCCAGCACTTTGGGAGGCCGAGGCGGGCGGATCACGAGGTCAGGAGATCGAGACCATCCCGGCTAAAATGGTGAAACCCCGTCTCTACTAAAAATACAAAAAATTAGCCGGGCGTAGTGGCGGGCGCCTGTAGTCCCAGCTACTTGGGAGGCTGAGGCAGGAGAATGGCGTGAACCCGGGAGGCGGAGCTTGCAGTGAGCCGAGATCCCGCCACTGCACTCCAGCCTGGGCGACAGAGCGAGACTCCGTCTCAAAAAAAAAAAAAAAAAAAAAAAAGAAACCTATACGTAGAATACAATGATAACACTTATAACTCAATAATAAAAAGACAAATAACCCAACTACAAAGTAAACAAAGGATCTGAAAAGCCAGTTCTCCGAAAGAGATAAAGTATATGAAAAGATGCTCAACATTACAGCCATGAGGAAATGGAAATTAAAAATACGATGAAATATCATTTCACACCCACTGGGATGGCTATAAGCAAAGACACAGATAATGACAAGTGTTGGCGAACATGTGAAGAAATTTGAACCCTTATACACTGTTGGTGGAAATGTAAAATGGTGCAGCCACTTTTGAAAACAGTTTGCAGTTTCTCAAAAGGTTAAACAGAGCTGACAGAAGACCCAGTAATTCCACTCCCAGGTATATATCCAAAAGAAATGAAAACATACGTCTACAGAAAAACTTGCAAATAAATGGTCATAGCAGTGTTCATAATAGCCAAGAGGTAGAAACAATTCAAATGTCTGTCAACTGATATATGGATAAATAAAATGTGGTATATCCATAGAATAAAGTACTATTCAGCAATAAAAAGCAATGAAGTACTGATACATGCTACAAGATAGATGTTTGAAAACATGTTAAATGAAAAAATCTAATCACATATGATATATTCCATTTACATGAAAAGTCCACAACAGGCCAATCTATAGGACAGAAAGTAATTAGTGATTGCCTATGGTTGGAGGTGCATTTTGGGAGAGAAAATGGGGAGTGGCTACTAATGGGTATGGGGGATTCCTTTATTTTCTATTTTTAAAATTTTTAATTGTGGTAAAAACACATAACCTAAAATGTACCATTGTAACCATTTTTAAGTGTGCAGTTCAGTAGTGTTAAGTATACTTACATTGTTGTGAAACAGATCTCCAGAGCCATTTCATCCTGCAAAACTGCAACTCTATACTCATTAAACAAAGCTCTCCACATCCTCCTAATTCCAGCTGCTAGCAACCACTATTTTACTTTCTGTCTCTATTAATTTGACTACCTAAAGTACTGCATATGACAGTATTTGTCCTTTTGTGACTGCTTTTTTCACTTAGCATAATGTTGCAGTGTGTGACAGGATTTCCTTCCTTTTTAAGACTGAATATTTTATTGTATATACCACATATTATTTACTATTTATCCACTGATGAACATTTGAGTTGCTTCCACCTTGGCTATTATTAATAATGCCACTATAAACATGGGTGTGCAAGTATCTGTTTGAGATCCTACTTTCAATTCTTTTGGAGATATACCTTGAAATGAGATTGCTGGATCATGGGGGCTTCTTTTTAGAGTGAACATTTTATAGTGGTGATGGTTGCACAACCAGTGAATATACTAAAAACCACTGAATTATACACCTTAAATGTGTCAATTATATATAATATGTGAATGATATCTCAATAGAGCTGTTAAAAAATACAACACTTAAAGGCTGAATCAAGTTATAATTACTTCAAGGATTTTGGCTGAACTAGGTAATCTGGTTGCATAACTATTCAATCTTGTTCATGTAATTCTAATTATTTTCAAAGCCTTGGCTAGATGTTTAGGCTTTTTTTTTTTTTTTTTTTTTTTGAGCACAAACCTAAGTGCTTCTTCAGCACTGTACGTTAGAGAAAGTAGAAAAAAGAAACTGTTAGTATGTATCTCCAATTCATAATATTAAACCTTTTCATATTTTGTATCAGGAAAAACTGCAAGGAAATAACAAATTCATACCAACTATGGCAATTTTTATTTCATTTGCCCTGTAGCCATGTCATATACCAGGTTTTTAAAAAATAGGGAAATAAGGAATTTACTCACTTTGACTTCAGATTCACTTTTTCAAATGTCACTCACAATTATTTCACATAGAAGATATTCAAAAGACAAAGGATTTATTTACCCTTTTTGCAACAGAAAATTACACAATTAAAAATTCCTATGTCCAGTGTCACTGAATGGGGAAAGAGGCAATACATTTTAAAAAACAAGAGGAAAAAATGCTGAGGAAAAAAATGTGCAACAAATCTAAATTCTTCTAATCTTGAATTCTTATATACAACTAGAAAAGGTAATGGCAATATAGATGGTCTCTGATGCTCAGAAACACATTTCATCACTTTCTTTTCTGCTTCATCCAGACATTTTCAGTACTGTCAAGCTCAAAAACACAGTTTTAGAAAGATGATAAATAAGAGAATCTCAAAGACTTCACATGAGCTCTTCTGATCAGAGCAGAGCAAAGTAAGAGAAGCCTTACTTGTCTGATCATATTTTAAAATAATAGGCTCCGTATGGTTCACAAGACAGAAGAGAGAAGTAAGTCAGCTTTCAATCTTGGTTCCCAGACAGAGATTAAAACAATGATTACAATCTAATTATTATATGAGACAGTATTTCTTCCCAGATTATATATTTTATAACTTGAACAGCTTTTCTTAAATACTCTCTCAGGGATGATTTTAAGTAAAAGCCAAAATACTACCAGTTAATTTCAGATTCTTATTATAGATTTTTCAAAGTCCGCCTGTGTGCAGAAGCAAAATTATGAATTGCGACTCGAAGAGTTGAATTACCCCCAGGGACATCACAGGAATTGATGAATGAATGTAGTGCCCGAGTATATGCTGCAAAAAAAGGTTTGCACAGCAATGAATAAAGTCAAATTCTAAACAACTCTACCAGCCTCTATCTTATTAGTACTGCTTCTCTACCAAGAGTCTTACAAGTAACTATCTATTGAATAAATATTTATTCAGTACTTACTATATGACAAGCACTCTGTGAGGACAGAAAAAATAATAAAGAGTATGGACACAAAAATAATTAAGTTGCCATGTAATACTTCCAAACCAAAGGTATATACAAAATGTCATCATAGGCCAGGCACAGTGGCTCACACCTGTAATTCCAGCACTTTGGGAGGCTGAGGCAGGCGGATCACTTGAGGTCAGGAGTTCGAGATCAGCCTGGCCAACATGGCAAACCCCCGTATCTACTAAAAATACAAAAATTAGCTGGATGTGGTGGCACAAACCTGTAATCCCAGATATTCGGTAGGCTGAGGCGCTTGAACCCAGGAGGCAGAGGTTGCAGTGAGCCGAGATCGTGCCACTGCACTCTGGCCTGGGCGACAGAGTGAGGCTGTCTCGGAAAAAAAAAAACAAAAACAAAAAAACAAACAACAACAACAAATGTCATCATAGAATGAAGTTGGGAATGAATGCACAACTACCTAGGACAGGATGGCAAAGATTCCCAGAAGTGGTTAACACTTAAGACGAGTTATGAAGAAATAACAAGAGTAAAGGAAAGAACACAGAGAACTGAGTGTGAGGTGCAAAAGGAGTAAACAATATGGCACATACTGGGAATAGCAACTTTGATAAGGCTAGAGTAGGGCCCAGAGCCAGAGAGAAAATATACCAAACATGCCATGCATCTTATACTGCAGTGGGTAGCCCTAGAGGTTTTAGAATAGGGAAATGGCATAATTAGATTTGTGTTTTTTAAAATAAAGCTGATAAGAAACTTGTATTATACAGATGAAGCACTAGGAATATATATACTGGCAGTATTCCTAGTGTATACATGAGGGCTACATAATCTTTATACTATATAAATCAATATATTTAAGGATGGATAGGAAACAGAAATATTAATGACAATATGAAGGACTAAGTTTTCTCTAGCTGGGACTCCTGATAGAGTTTATACTGTTTCTTATTTTTCTCAGTGCCTCCTGGCAGAACTAGCAATCTAATGTGGATATATATGGTAATACGTCCATGTTACATACCATTAAAGTATTTGAGTAATAGGGAATTCAACTGGATAGAGTCCTAACTTACATAAAAGGCAAATTCTAATAGTCTTCAGTTAAAGGACCTGAAACTCAAGACCTCCTACAGTAGAATGAGCTGAAAATATTTCCCCAGCATAAATGGAGACAAGAAGATAACAGATCTCAAAGAGAAATATAACTCATTATAATTTTTTCACTGCCTCATATAGTTATTTTGTAAAGGGTTTATAACAGTCTCTGATACATAGTAAGCACTCAATAAATGGTAAATTACTATTACCACTACTCTTATTTATTTTTCTTGTTGCCATTAGGCCCTGACTATTCCTTCAAGAAACTTACCTCTGTGGTTTTTATAGAAAATACAGTTGTTGGCACAGGTATCAGGATGAGCATCCCAAAAATCAGGACCACAACAGCATAGTGGAGGTAAAGTAATATTATACAGCTGCATTTTCTCCTGGATTTGGGCTCGTAAAGCTTCTACATATCTGTACAAATAAAGTATAATCAGGCAAAGTGAACTATTAAAAAGAAAGTGAGTATGAATCCTGATTTTACAGCCAGATTTAACTGTTAAATCTATTCCGTATCTCTGGGCCTTGACATTTCCTCTTTGTACTGGGAAAAACGCAGGGCTACACCCAAGAAGTATTAGGCAATCAAAAAATTTGGTGAAGTTATGAACTCCTAAATGAGGAAAAGTATGAAAAGACACAGTCAATTCTCTTCTAAGGAAAATGAGAACAATGAGTTCTACCAAGTCTCTTCTAGAGCCAAAATATCATGAAGACCTTTTCAAATTACCTCAGGTATTCTTTTTCTCTCTGTTGTTTTTCTCTGGTTCCTTTTATTTCTTGAAGTTGTAACTGGGCTAATATCTCACTCAACTTCTCTCCTGAATATGGATCTTCATGAAAGTTCATTCTTAGGATCCTCTGCTCTGCAGCATAACATTCTTGCTCTCTCTTTTTCTTAATTCTGAAAATAAAATCATAACATGGTTAGGAATTTCATAAAATTATTATTTAAAATTAGCTTCTTTATCCAAATAACTCCCAGAAATTCCCAGAAACTAAGGAGTCAGGAAATCAGTTTAATATCCCAAGAATATCCTCAAAAATTTCTGCTGGCTGCTTTATCTCCTCCCAAAGAGAAATGAGCAATGGCTACTATTAAAAGAGTTCTTCCTGGCTAGGTGCGGTGGCTCATGCCTGTAATCCCAGCACTCTGAGAGGCCGAAGCAGATGGATCATATGAGGCCAGGAGTTTCAGATCAGCCTGGCCAACATGGTGAAAACCCATCTCTACTAAAAATACAAAAATTAGCCAGGCAGTGGTGGCACGGGCCTGTAATCCCAGCTACTCAGGAGGCTGAGGCCAGAGGATCACTTGAACTCAGGAGGCAGAGGTTGCAGTGAGCTGAAATTGCACCACTGCACTCCAGCCTGGGCAACAGAGCCAGACCCCATATCTCAAAAAAAAAAAAAACAGTTTTTCTGTAAGAATGTAGCAAAACAGTCTTTTCAGATTGAAACTACAAGTAAACAGGGATTCTGCTTCTGACCAAAACAGAGTAACAGGGACCGCATTTGCCCTCCAACCTTAAACCACCAAAAAAATTTAAAAAGTTTTAAAAAGTACACAAATCAAACAAATACAAGAAATGATGGTTTTCAAGACATTGGACACCAGGTAACAAACAACACTGCTCCTTGACAGATGGGAAACAAGTGAAGTAAACCCTATAACTGCTAGAGATTACTGCCTTGGAAGGTTCCAGGCAGTGGCACAGGGCAGGGAAATTGAAGTGAAGCCTGATGGGCTCTAAGAATTGAAGAGATGGAGTTAAGAGTGCAGAGAGACAAAGGCAGTTAGAGTTCACAGGACAAAGTACCAGAGAGAAGAAAGCTGCCCAGAGACAGCACCCCAGAAATGAACAGAGAGTCTCCTGGTACACAGCAGAGCACTGATTGGTGCATGTATGCAATGAAATAACCTGAGGCTAGGAAGAGAACAATCCAAAATAAAAGAGAACAGTGACTAGAGTCCACCTAGCTCCAGGAATAATTTGTCCTTATTTCCACCAATCAAACTTGAAAAACTTGTATTTCACAGAACATTAGGTAGAGTATTCAGAATGATCTTATCTGAGCAGTAGGGAATAAACACTAGTCCCAGACTGAGTACTGCACCAGACCCACCTAACAAGTTATAAAAGCAAGTCATCAAATGAACTTGACTGTATACCAAAACCAGGTTCAATAATGTAAAGACATCCAGCAACTAACATGGTAAAACTCATAACGTTGGGCATCTAACCAAAGATTACTAAGCACACAAAGAGGCAGAAAAAAAGCCCAGACTCCAGTGAACATCCACAAGCATCAAGACTACTCAGGAAATATGACCTCACCAAAAGAACTAAATAAGTCACCAGTGACTAATCCCAGAGAGACACAGATGTGTGACCTTTCAGACAGATAATTCAAAATGGCTGTTTTGAGGAAACTCAAAGAAATTCAAGAGAACACAGAGAGGAATTCAGAATCCTATCAGATAAATTTAATAAAGAGATTGAAATAATTTAAAAGAATCAAGTAGAAATTCTGGAGTTAAAAACTGCAACTGAAATACTAAAGAATGCATCACAGTCTGTTAATAGTGGAATTAATCAAGCAGAAGAAAGAATTAGTGAGCTTGAAGACAGGCTATTTGAAAATACACAGTTATAGGAGACAAAAGGAAGAAGAATAGAAGAGAATGAAAGTATGCCTATGATACCTAGAAAGTAACTTCAAAAGGGCAAATCTAAGAGTTTTGGGCCTTGAGGAGGAAATCGAAAGATGAGGGTAGAAAGTTTATTCAAAGGGATAATAACAGAAAACTTCCCAAACCTAGAGAAAGATATCAATATTCAAGTGCAAGAAGGTTACTGAGCAGATTTGACCCAAATAACATTAACTCAAGACATTCAATAATCAAACTCCCAAAGGTCAATAATAAAGAAAGGATTCTAAAAGTAGGAAAAGAAACAAATAACATATAGTGGAGCTTCAATATGCCTAGCAGCAGACTTCTCAGTGGAAGCCTTGCAGGCCAGGAAAGAGTGACATAATATATTGAAAGTGCCAAAGGAAAAAGAACTTTTATTGCAGAATAGTATGTCTGGTGAAAATATTATTCAAACATGAAGGAGAATTCAAGACTTTCCCAGACAAACAAAAGCTGAGAGATTTCATCAACACCAGACCTATCCTATGAGAAAGCTAAAGGGAGTTCTTTAATCTGAAAGAAAAGCACCTTAATAAAAAATAAGAAATTATCCGAAGGCACAAAACTCACTAGTAATAGTAAGTACACAAAAAGACAGAATATCAAAACACTGTAATTGTGGTGTGTAAGCTACTCATATCTTGAGTGGGAAGACTAAAAGATGAACTGATCAAAAATAATAATTACAACTTTTCAAGACATAGTACAATAAAATATAAGTAGAAACAATAAAAAGTTAAAAGTAGGGGCATGATGTTAAAGTGTAGAGTTTTTATTAGTTTTCTCTTTACTTGTTAGTTTGTTTATGTAATCACTGTTAAGTTGTCATCAGTTTAAAACAACAGGTTATAAGATATTATTTGCAAGCCTCATCGTAACTTCATATTTGGAAACATACAACAGATAACACAAAATATAAAAAGCAATAAATTAAAACATGTCATCAGAGAAAATCACCTTCACTAAAAGACAGGAAAGAAGAAGAAAGAAGACCATGAAACAACCAGAAAAAAAAGTAACAAAATGGCAGAAGTAAGTCCTTACTTAACAATGATAACATTGAATGTAAATAAACTAAACTCTCCAAACAAAAGATGTTGAGTGGCTGAATAGGTTACAAAATAAGATCCAACAATTCCTTGCCTGCAAGAAACATACTTCATCTACAAAGACACATATAGGCTGAAAATAAAGAGATGGAAAAAATATTCCATGCAAATAGAAACCAAAAAAGAGCAGGAGTAGCTATACTAATATCAGACAAAATAGATTTCAAGACAAAAACTATAAAAAAAGACAAAGAAGGTCATTGTGATGGTTAATACTGTCAACTTGATTGAATTGAAGGATGTAAAGTATTATTCCTGACTGTTTCTGTGAGGGTGTGGCCAAAAGAGATTAACATTTGAGCCAGTGGACTGGAAAAGGCAGACCCACCCTTAATCTGAGTGGGCACAATCTTATCAACTGCCAGCGTGGCCAGAATAAAAACCAGGCAGAAGAACGTGAATAGACTAGACTGGCTTAGCCTCCCAGCCTACATCTTTCTCCCATGCTGGATGCTTCCTGCCCTCCAACATCAGACTCCAAGTTCTTCAGCTTTGGGACTCAGACTGGCTTCCTTGCTCCTCAGCTTGCAAATGGCCTATTTTGGGACCTTGTGATTGTGTGAATTAATACTCCTTAATAAACTCCCATATATATATGAGAGTTTATATATATATAACTATGCATATATATAGTTCTGTCTTTCTAGAGAATCCTGAGTAATACAGATTTTGGTACCAACAAATATTAAGGATGGAGTTCTTTTGTTGGTTTTGGGGTTTCTGGAGTTGGCTGCTAAATATGATTAGACTCCAAAATGTTAAGGACTCTACTTCTAATAGTATGGAGAACACTATGGTCCCTGGCACGAACTGTTTAGAGAGTTATGCAAAATAAATGCATTTGACACTCCTGATTCACTGCTCATGAAAGGCAAGGAGTTTAGTGACCCTGTACATAATAACTTTGACCATATGTGGAGAACCAAGGAACATAATGAAGTTGGTTGGTTGCTCCTAAGTTCACTGGACAAAGTGATGAAAGAAAATGATGAACTCAGGGATGCTAACTCCTGGCTTCAGAAGCAGACACTGAGCCTCAAATCTTCTAAGATTGCCCTGAGTAAGAGTCTTATCTCCTGAAGAGAAAGAGATGAAGCTGTGGAAAACCAGACACAAGCTTTTATCACGCGAGTGGCTGGCCTGCAATGAAAGGTGCATGCACAGCCTTGCCAGGTGTCTACTGTTAAAATGAGGGCATTGATTGGAAAAGAATGGGACCTTGCAACTGGGAATGGGGATATGTGGGAGGACCCTGATGACACTGGGGACACTGAGCTTGTAAACTCTGATGAATTTTTTTTGCCGGAAGAAACAGCTTTCTCATCCCCAGTAGTGGCAACATCCCCTCCCCGACCCACATTCCTATCAACCTTTCCACCTTTGTCTGAGGGGATAAACCCTGTGCTGCCTGAGGCAACAGTGATGGCCTCCCCTGAGGCAGTTGCCAGGCAACATAAGTTGATTCTCCTCAGGAGCTATCCCCAACACCTCTGTTTGCTTCTAGACCTATAACAAGACTAAAGTCCTAGCAGGCTCCTAGAAGTGAGGTTCAGAGTGTGGCCATGAGGAGATGTGCTACACTCAAAAAGAACTGCTTGAGTTCTCTAATTTATATAAGCAGAAATCTTGAGAAGAGTCATGGGAATGGATATTAAGGTGTGGGATGATGATAGAAGGAACATAGAGTTTGATCAGGTGAATTTGTCGATTTGGGCCTACTAAATAGGGATTCTACATTTAATGTTGTAGCTCAGGGAGTTAAAAAAGATTCTAATAGTTTGTCTGCTTGGTTAGCTAAAATATAGCTTTTTAAAAGATGGCCCACTGTGAGCGAGCTGGAAATGCCTGATTTCCTCCCTTGGTTTAGAACGGGATCCAAAGGTATAGAGAGATTGGAATGGTGGAGTGGATTAGTCACTTTAGACCTTCTCATTCCAGCTGGGAGGGTCCAGAAGATATATCCTTAACCAATGCTTTCCAAAATAGATTTGTGAGGGCAACACCTACATCTTTGAAGAGCTCTGTAAGGATTGCTCTTCAAGATCTTGATGTATGCCAGATCTAACAATGGGAACCCCAGTCACTCAACCACAAAATTTAAATGCAATGGAAATAATTGGATCCCGAGATGGCAGGGCCAAGTGGCAGCACTCAACCATCAAAGGCAAGATGGGCACGGCTACCATAATGGACAGCAGAGGCAAAGCAACAATCAGAATCGTTTGACTTATGCAGAGCTCTGGCACTGGCTAATTAATCACGGTGTTTCTAGAAGTGAAATTGATAGGAATCCTACTGCATTCCTACTTAATTTATATAAGCAGAAAAATTCCAGGTCAAGTGGACAAAAGACTAATTTTAAATATAAAAACAGAGAATCATGGCCCCTCAATCAATATCCAGACTGGAGCCAGTTTATAGACTCAGAACCTCTTGAATGAAGGGGAAGTCTGCTCCCCTTGAGGAAGGACCCCACTATACTACCAACAATTTATGCTATAAATCTTTCTCCCATCCTTCCCCAAGGAGACCTCCGGACTTTACCAGGGTAACTGTGCACTGGGAAAAGGGAAACAATCAGACGTTTCGGGGACTACTGGACACTGACTCTGAGCTGACACTGAATCCAGGGGCCCAAAACATCATTGTGGTCCTCCAGTTAAAGAAGGGGCTTATGAAGGTGAGGTAATTAATGGAGTTTTAGCTCAGGTCTGACTTACAGTGGGTCCAGTGGGTCCCCAGACTCATCCTGTGGTCATTTCCCCAGTGCCAGAATGCATAATTGGCATAGACATACTCAGCAGCAGGCAGAACCCCCACATTGGCTGATTGGTAGGGTGAGGGCTATTACGGTGGGAAAGGCCAAATAGAAGCCATTAGAGCTGCCTCTACCTAGAAAAATAGTAAATCAAAAACAATATTGCATCCCTGGAGGAATTGCGGCAATTAGTGCCACCATAAGGACTCGAAAGATGCAGGGTTGGTGATTCCCACCACATCCTCATTCAACTCTCCCATTTGGCCTGTGCAGAAGACAGATGGATCTTAGAGAATGACAGTGGATTATCATAAGCTTAACCAAGTGGTGACTTCAACTGCAGCTGCTGTACCAGGTGTGGTTTCATTGCTTGAGCAAATTAACACATC
The DNA here is from genome assembly GCF_000001405.40 of Homo sapiens. NCBI lineage: Eukaryota > Metazoa > Chordata > Mammalia > Primates > Hominidae > Homo > Homo sapiens. Next base: position 125,032,380 of record NC_000011.10, on the reverse strand, counting down.
TTCTGGTACCTGGTATGTGGCCACTGACTAGGCAAATGCCTTTTTCTCCACTCCTGTGCATAAGGTCCAACAGAATCAATTTGCCTTCAGCTGGCAAGGCCAGCAATATACCTTTACTGTCCTACCTCAGGGGTATATCAACTCTCCGGCTTTGTGTCATAATCTTATTCAGAGAGACCTTGATCACTTTCCACTTCCGCAAGATATCACACTGGTCCACTACATTGATGACATTATGCTGATTAGATCCAGTGAGCGAGAAGTAGCAAACACACTGAATTTATTGGTGAGACATTTGCACGCCAGAGGATGGGAAAAAAAATCTGACTAAAATTCAGGGAACTTCTACCTCAGTAAAATGTCTAGGGGTCCAGTGGTGTGGGACCTGTCGAGATATTCCTTCTAAGGTAAAGGATTTGGCCTCTCCTACAACCACGAAAGAGACACAATGCCTAGTGGGCCTATTTGGATTTTGTTGTCGACACATTCCTCATTTAGGTGTGTTACCCCAGACTATTTATCGAGTGACCTGAAAGGCTGCCAGTTTTGAGTGGGGTCCAGAACAGGAGAAGGCTCTACAACAGGTCCAGGCTGCTGTGCGAGCTGCTCTGCCACTTGGGTCATATGACTCAGCAGACCCAATAGTGCTTGAGGTGTCAGTGGCAGATAAGGATGCTGTTTGGAGCCTTTGGCAGGCCCTCATAGGTGAATCACAACAAAGGCCTCTAGGATTTTGGAGCAAGGCCCTGCCATCTTCTGCAGATAACTACTCTCCTTTTGAGAGACAGCTCTTAGCCTGTTACTGGACTTTGGTGAAAACTGAAGGGTCATCAAGTTATCATGCAACCTGAACTGCCTATCATGAAGTGGGTGCTTTCTGACCCATCTAGCCATAAAGTGGGTACACAGCAGCATTCCATCATCAAATGGAAGGGTATATATGTGATCAGGCTTGGGCAGGTCCTGAAGGCACAAGTAAGTTATGTGAGGAAGTGGCTCAAATGCCCATGGTCTCCACTCCTGCTACCCTGCCTTCTCTCCCCCAGCCTGCACCAATGGCCTCATGGGGAGTTCCCTGTGATCAACTGGCAGAGGAAGAGAAGACTACGGCCTGGTTCACAGATGGTTCTGCACGATATGCAGGCATCACCCGAAAGTGGACAGCTGCAGCATTTCAGTCCCTTTCCAGGACATCCCTGATGGACAGACCTGAAGGGAAATCTTCCCAGTGGGCAGAACTTCGAGCAATGCACCTGGTTGTGCACTTTGCATGGAAGGAGAAATGGCCAGATGAGCGATTATATACTGACTTGTGGGCTGTAGCCAATGGTTTGACTGGATGGTCAGGGACTTGAAAGAAGCATGATTGAAAAACTGGTGACAAAGAAATCTGGGGAAGAGTTATGTGGACGGACCTCTCTGAGGGGTAAAAACCTGTGAAGATATTTGTATCCCATGTGAGTGCTCACCAACAGGTGAACTCAGCAGAGAAGGATTTTAATAATCAAGTGGATAGGATGACCCATTCTGTGGACACCACTCACCCTCTTTCCCCAGCCACCTATCATCACCCAATGGGCCCATGAACAAAGTAGCCATGGTGGCAGGGATGGAGGTTACGCATGGGCTCAGCAACATGGACTGCCACTCACCAAGGCTGACCTGGCTACAGCCACTGCTGAGTGCCCAATTTGCCAGCAGAAGAGACAAGCACTGAGCCCTCAATATGGCACCATTCCTCAGGGTGATCAGCCAGCTATCTACCTGGTGGCAGGCTGATTATACTGGACTTCTTCCATCATGTAAAGGGCAGAGGTTTGTCCTCACTGGAATACACACTTACTCTGGATATGGGTTTGCCTATCCTGCACACAATGCTTCTGCCAATGCTTCTGTACTCACAGAATGCCTTATCCACCGTCATGGTATTCTACACAGCATTACCTCTGACTTTACAGCTGAAGAAGTGCAGCAGTGGGCTCCTGCTCATGGAACTCACTGGTTTTATCAGTTCCCCCATCATCCTGAAGCAGCTGGATTGATAGAATGGTGGAATATCCTTTTGAAGTCACAATTACAACGCCAATTAGGTGACAATACTTTGCAGGGCTGGGGCAAAGTTCTCCAGAAGGCTGTGTACGCTCTGAATCAGCGTCCAATATGTGGTACTGTTTCTCCCATAGCCAGGATTCACAAGTCCAGGAATCAAGGGGTGGAAGTAGCACCACTCACCATCACCCATAGTGATCCACTAGCAAAATCTTTGCTTCCTGTTCCCACGATATTACATTCTGCTGGCCTAGAGGTCTTAGTTCCAGAGGAATGCTGCCACCAGGAGGCACAATAAACTGGAAGTTAAGATTGCTACCTGGACAATTTGGGCTCCTCCTACCTTTAAGTCAATAGGCTAAAAAAGGGAGATACAGTGTTGGCTGGGATGACCAACCCAGACTTTCAACATGAAATCAGTCTACTACTCCACAACAGAGGTAAGGAGGAGTATGCATGGAACACAGGAGGTCCATTACGGCATCTCTTAGTATTACCATGCCCTGTGATTAAGGTCAATGGGAAACTACAACAGCCCAATCCAGGCAGGACTACAAATGACCCAGCCCCTTCAGGAGTGAAGGTTTGGGTCACTCCACCAGGAAAAAAACCAAGACTCTCCGAGGTGCTTGCTGAAGGCAAAGAGAATACAAAATGGGTAGTAGAAGAATGTGGTCATCATACCAGCTACAATCACATGACCAGTGCAGAAACAAGGACTGTAACTGTCATGAGTATTTCCTCCTTCTTTTGTTAAAAACATGTTTGTGCATGTATACTCCTGTACTAAGAAAATATCTTCATTTTATTTCTTCTCTCCTTTATCATGTAACATAAGATTTATTGACTTCACATCAGCATTTAAGTATTGTTAACTTTAAGTAATAGTATTTTGGTTGGGGATTTGTGCGTTTCCGGTTGTATGAAGAATAGTTGTATTATGCTAGGCATAATTATGACCTTATTTATGTCTTTATTTGAAGATTACGTATGATCTCAGGAGATGTGTATGGGCTCAAGTTGACAAGTGGTAGACTTGTGATGGTTAATACGGAGTGTCAACTTGATTGGATAGAAGATACAAAGTATTGATCCTGGGTGTAACTGTGAGGGTGTTGCCAAAGGAGATTAACATTTGAGTCAGTGGGTTGGGAAGGGCAGACCCACTCTTACTCTGGGTTGGCACAATCTAATCAGTTGTCAGCAAGGCTAGAATATAAGCTGACAGAAAAATGTAAAAAGAAAGACCGGCCTAGCCTCCCAGACTATATCTTTCTCGTGTGCTGAATGCTTCCTGCCCTCAAACATCAGACTTCAGGTTCTTTCGTTTTGGGACTCAGAGTGGTTCTCCTTGCTCCTCAGCCTGCAGATGGCCTATTGTGGAACCTTGTGATCATGTGAGTGAATAGTTAATAAACTCCCCCTTATATATATTTATCTATTCCATTAGTTCTGTCCCTCTAGAGAACCCTGACTAACACAGTAGTCAAATTCATAGAATTAGAAAATGAAATGGGTCCTAGCCAGAGTGATCGGGCAAGAGAAAGAAATAACATCTAAACTTGAAAAGATGAAGTCAAACTGTCACTGTTTGCTGATGATATGATCATATACCTAGAAAACCCTAAAGACTCATCCAAAAAGCTCCTAGAACTGATAAATGAACTCAGTAAAGTTTCAGGACACAAAATCAATGTACACAAATGAAGAGTACTGCTATACACCAACAATGACCAAGCTGAGAATCAAATCATCAAATCAAGAACTCAGTCCCTTTCACAACAGTGGCAAAAACAAAAAACAAAACAAAACAAAACCACCACCACCAACCTTAGGAATATACTTAACCAAGGGGGTGAAAGATCTCTACAAGAAAAACTATAAAACACTGCTGAAAGAAATCATAGATGACACAAACAAATGGAAACACATCCCATCCTCATGGATAGGTAGAATCAACATTGTTAAAATGACGATACTGCCAAAAGCAACCTACAGATTCAACGCAATTCCCATCAAAATACCACCATCATTCTTCACAGAAATAGAAAAAACAATGCTAACATTCATATGAAAACAAAAAAAGAGCCCACATAGCCAAAGCAATACTAAGAAAAGAGAACAAACCTGGAGGCATCACATTATCCAACTTCAAACTATACTACAAAGCTATAGTTACCAAAGCAGCACAGTATGGGTACATACTTAGTGCCCGTAGTACATACATAGTACAGGCACATAGACCAATGGAACACAATAGAGAACCTAGAAATAAAGTCAAATACATATAGCCAACTGAAGTTCAACAAAGCATACAAAATCATAAGGTAGGGTAAGGACACCCTGTTCAGTAAATTGCGTTGGAATAACTGGCAAGCCATACATAGAAGAATAAAACTGGATCCTCATCTCTCACATTATACAAAAATCAACTCAAGATGGATCAAAGACTTAAACCTAAGACGTGAAACTATAAAAATTTTAAAAGATAACATCAAAAAAACTGTTCTAGACATTGGCTTAGGCAAAGAATTCATGGCTAAGAACCCAAAAGCAAATGCAACAAAAACAAAAAAAAAATAAATGGTACCTAATTAAACTAAAAAGATTCTACACGGCAAAAGAAATAATCAGCAGAGCAAACAGACAACCCACAGAGTGGGAGAAAATAATTGCAAACTGTGCATCCAACAAAGGACTAATATCCAGAATCTACAAATAAATCAGTATGAAAAAAAAAACAAATAATCCCATCAAAAAGCGGGCAAAGGGCATGAATTTGAAATTCTCAAAAGAAGATATTCAAACAGCCAACAAACATATGAAAAAATGCTCAACATCATTACTTATCAGGGAAATGCATATTAAAACCACAATGAGGTATCACCTTACTCCTGCAAGAATGGCCATAATTTAAAAATAAAAAAAATAATAGATGTTGGCATGGTTGTGGAGAAAAGGGAACACTTACACTGCTAGTGGGAATGTAAACTAGTGCAACCACTATGGAAAACAGCATGAAGATTCCTTAAAGAACTAAAAGTAGAAATGCAATTCCATCCAGCAATCCCACTACTGGGTACCTACTCAAAGGAAAAGAAGTCATTATATGAAAAAGACACAGGTACATGCGTATTTACAGAAGCACAATTCACAACTGCAAAAATATGGAACCAACATAAATGTCCATCAACCAATGAGTGGATAAAGAAAACGTGGTGTATATATACACCATGGAATACTACTCAGCCATAAAATGAAATAAAATAATGGCCTTTGCAGCAACTTGGATGGAGTTGGAGGCTATTATTCTAAGTGAAGTAACTCAGGAATGGAAAACCAAATATTGTATGTTTTCACTTATAAGTGGGAGCTAAGCTATGAGGATGCAAAGGTGTAAGAATAATAGAATGGACTTCTGGGGCTTTGGGGGAAGAGTGGGAAGGGGTGAGAAATAAAAGACTACCTATTGGGTACAGTGTACACTGCTTGGGTGACGGGTGCACCAAAATCTCGGAAATCATCACTAAAGAATTTATCCATGTAACCAAAAACCATCTGTTCCCCAACAGCTATTGAAATAAAATAAAATTTAAAGAATAAATAAATAAATACAAACAAACAACATAAAATGGTACCAGGGGCTGGAGGTGAGAAGAGTTGCTTAACAGTTAACAGAATTTCAGATTTGGACGAAGCAGGGCAAGATAGCCAAATAGAAGCCTCCACCAATCATCCTCCCCAAAGGAACATCAAATTTTAAAACTATCTACAAAAAGCACCTTCAAAAGGACCAAAAATCAGGTGAGCAATCACAGAACCTGGTTTTAACTTCATATTGCCAAAAGAGGCACTGAAGAGGGTAGGAAAGACAGTCTTGAATTGCCTACACTACCCCTTTCTCATTCCCCAACAGAAGCCACATGGCATGGAGGGAGAATCAAGGCACTTAGGGGAGGGGTAGTATAGCATTTGTGGGACTCTGTAATGGAACACAGTGCTGCTAACACCAGGCAGAACTCAGCCAGTGGCCAAAGAAGGTGCATTTAGACCAGCCCTAGCCAGAGGGGAATCGTCCATCCAGGTGGTTGGAACTTCAGTTTCAGCAAACCTCACCACCACAGGCGAAAGTGCTCTGGGGTCATAAATAAACTTGAAAGGCTGTCTAGGCCACAAAAACTATAATTCTTGGGCAAGTCCTATTGCTGTTCAGAGCTCAAAGCCAGCTAGTGAGATACCAGCTGGGGCAGCTAAGGGAGTGCAGGTGCCACCCCTCCCCCAACCACAGGGAGCATAGCTCACAGCTCCAAAAGAGAAGCCTATCTTTTGCTTGAGGAGAGGAGAGAAAAGGAATACTCAAACTATACCAAATATTAAAACAAAAATCAGTAAAATAAGAAACACAAAAATAGAAAAATTAATGAAATTATAAGCTAGTTCTTTGAGATGAATAAAACTAACTAATCTTAAGTCAGGCTGATAATGAATAAAGGATATAAATTATCAATACCAAAATTAAGAGGTGATACCATCAGAGACTCTACATATATCAAAAATATAATAGAATATTAAGAACTTTATGCCATTAATAAAGTTCTTAACATCAATAAATATGACATTAATAAATATGTCAATTAATTTGACAACTTAGATGAAATGACAAATTCTTTGAAAGACATAAATTATTAAAGGTAACTCAAGAAAAAAATTGATAACCTAAATGGCCCTATATTAGTGACACTGAAAATATAGTTTTTAAGAATCTTTCCACAATGAAAATCTAGAACCAGATGGATTCACTGCCAAATTCTACCAAACATTTAAGCACTAAACAATGCCAATTTAACATAAATTCATTCAATAAAACTGAAGAGGAGAGAACACATCCCAACTCATCCTATAAGGCCAGCATTACCCTTAAATGAAAACTTAACAAATATATTAGACAAATATCTTTTTAGATAAAGAAAATTGTTAGCCAGTATCTCTCAGAACATAGACATAAAAATTCTACACAAAAGTTTAGCAAATCTCATTACACAATGTATTAAAAGGATAATACATTATTACCAAATGGGTGTACCCAGGAACCCAGAGTTGGTTTAACATTCATTTCTTTCATATATATATATGAAAGAATATATATACTCACATATATTCATATATATACTCATATATATACTCACATATATTCATATATATTCATATATATACTCACATATATTCATATATATTCATATATATATTCATATATATTCATATATTCATATATATATTCATATATATTCATATGTATTCATATATATATTCATATATATATTCATATATATATGAATTTGACAGAATCCACCATCCATTCTTGATAAAAAAAATTCTCAAGAAACTAGGAAGAGAACACTTTCTCAGTCTGATAAAGGGCATGTATGAAAAACTTAAAGCTAACATCATACTTAATGGCAAAGAACTAAATGCTTTCTAAGATCAGGAATTATCCATTCTCATCACTTCTATTCAACATTGTACTGGAGATTCTTAGCCAGTGCAAGCTGGCAAGCAAAAGAAACAAAAGACATCCAGATTTAAAGAAAGAAGTACAACTGTGTTTATTTGAAGACAACATGATCACCAAGTAAAAAACCCACTGGAATCAGTGAGTCCGTAGCAAGGTTGCAGGGAACAGGATCCATATCCAAAAATCAACTGTGCATTTCCATACATTAGCAAGAATCAGAAACAGGAATTTAAAAAACAGCACCATTTATAATAGCACTGAAAATATAAAATACTTGGGGATAGATTTGACAAAAGACATGAGACCCATGCACTGAAAACTATAACATACTGCTGAGAAAAATTAAAGAAGGTCTATATAAATGTTAATGGGTCAGCAGATTCAATATTGCTAAGATTTCAATTCTAAATTTTCCCAAATTATTTCTAGATTGAACATAATCCCAATCAAAATCTAAAAATGCTATTTGTAGAAACTGAAACACTAATTTTTAAATTCACACAAAAATGCAAAGGGCCTAGAATAGTCAAGACAACTCTGAAAACAAAAATTGGAGGGTTAAGACTATCTGATTTCAAGCTTTACTATAGAACTGGACTAATCAGAACCTCATAGTATTAACATAAAGATAGACAAATATATCCACGGAAGAAGAGAAAGCTGGGAATACATGCATATATAGAGATGAATGTACGTATGTATATATAAACACACATATATATGAATGACTCATTTTTAATGTTGAGATACAATTTTCATATCATAAATTTCCCCACCACCATAATGTGATTTGAGAACATTTTTATTATGCCATAAAGAAACCTTATACTTATTAGCAGTCACTCCCACCCTCTCACCTCTAGCCCTAGCAACCACTAACTTTTCTATCTCTGTATCCTAGTTTAGACATTTTATATAAATGAGATCATGCAATATGTGGTATCTTTGGATTGGCTTTTCATTTGGCAGAAGAGTTTCAAAGTCTATCCACATTATAGCCATACTTCTTTCATTTTTATTGCCCGCATTCCTTTGTACAGATATGCCACACGTTATGTTTCCATTCATCAGCTATTGGACATTTGGGGTGCGAGTTTCCAAAGTGGCTGTACCATTTTACATTCCTCACCAGGAACATTTGGGGATTCTAATTTCTCCACATACTCACCAAAACTTGCTTTTATCTGTCGTTTTTTAAATTATAGCCAATCTAGTGAGTATGAGCTGGTATTTCATGGTTTTGATTTGCATTTCCCAGTAACTATGATTTGAGCATCTTTTCATGTGCTTATTAGCCACTTGTATATTTTCCTGAGAGAAATGTTAATTTAAATCCTTGTCCACTTTTAAATTGGATCAAGTGTCTTTTTACTATTGAGTTGTAAGAGTCATTTATATATTCTGGACATAAGTCCCTTATCAGATATATGATTTATAAATATTTTCTCCCATTCTGTAGCTGTCTTTTCACTTTCCTGATAGTTTTTAATTTTGATGAAGTCCAACTTATCAATCTTCTCTTTCGTTGTTTGTTGGACAACTGATTTGTGACAAACACAGAAAGGCAATGCAATGAAGAAAATATAGCCTCTTCAACAAATGGGTATCCTCGTACAAAAAAATAAGCCTCACACCATACGTGACAATTAACTCAAACTGGATCACAGAGTAAATGTAAAACTTAAAATTATAATCTTTCTAGAAGAAAATCTTTGTGACCTTGGGTTAGGCAAAGACTTGTTAAATAAGTCATCAAAAGCACACTCCATAAAAGAACAAACTGAAAAGCAGAAATTCATCAAAACTTATCAAATCCTTTAAATATGTACAGTTTATTGTATATCAAGTATACCTATTTAAAAATCCCTACTAACATGTAGAAAGGAAAGAAGCAGTTCAGTGAGAAAATCATCAAAAAAGTATGTAAAGAACTTTTGTTAAGAAATATGACTGACTCAAGACTAGAACTCATAACTGAGTTCTAGAATAGAATTGGCCTGATGAGGCCAATTGCTAAAAATTACTTTGAAACAAATGAGCTATTGTTTTCTGAACAGTAGTATGAGGCCAGTTCATACTCATACTTCTTCAATAAAGCATGTGCTGGTGAAAATTCTGGGCTTCTATCCATTTGTGGCAGGCTATTGACTCCAGGGGAATTATAGCCTTCCATTTTGTTAGATTAACACAGGTATAAGTTAAAAATCAGGAAGACATCCTACAAAGGCTGAAAGATCAGGCATTGGAAAAACACACAAGAGATGGTATTTGTGAAACCAAGTCTGTCCAGATTCTGACAGCTACTCACTGGCCATCTCTAGCAAAGTGACAAAGCCACTTTAAACAAAGATTTTCTTACAACTATTCTCCCATATTTACCAGTCTTTCTTGAGCTACAACTGTAAATCTAAATTGAGTACAGGACATAAACATCGTTTTTATGGTATGATTCAAACTCAAAACAACATAAAGTTGTAATAGGGGAGAAGTGAAAAACATTATTGCAGCTTGGGCAGAGGGAGATGCTTTTATACTAGTGAAGATAAAGATTTAAAGGCATATAAAGGAGTACACTAGGAATGTGAGGAAGGTAATATAGAAAAAGGCCAAAACAGGCATATACACACATCACACTTGACTTTAAAATATATGTCATCTTGCTCTCTTAAAAGATCATGTGTGAAATAAGTTAGAGAATGAAAGAAAACTATTAAAATACAAAAGTTAAAAGACGAGCCTAAGATCACAGGAGCTCTTGGCTAGGGATCTGCGTATATTGAGATCTTATTCCAATGAGAGCCAGTAAAGTAAGTGTCTTGAAGACATTCATATTTGTTAAGTTCGGTAACTCCCAACCTTGTAAAAAAAGTAAATGATAAAAGATTTTCCTGTGAATAATGAATCAAATTGAAGTTTTCAATGATGGAATTTAAACAGAGCGAAGTCAATGATGACAGAAAAGCTTAGTTACTGGTGTAATTCTCTATACGAATTATTCTCTAGACCAGTCAGCTAAGGGCTAAGGGAACACGTCAGCATTGTTTTTCAAGTGTCATAGGTCTTGGTAACAGAATGGTTACTAGAAAAGACGGAGTCAGCCCCGTCCCTCTTTTGGTAGCTATTCCTCTCCTCACAGATACTCCTCTCTTCACAAACATCTCAAGAGTGAGTAAATTTTCTGTCTCTATTTCCTCACTTCTTCATCTGCTCCAATATGGCCTTAAGATCCATCACTCCACCAAAACAACTAGTGACCTACAGGTCATTTAATCCATCCAGTACATGCTTTTTTATTAGGTGCAATACTGTCCCCAAGGAGGCAAAAAACCCTTAGATATTATAGTAATTTGTGGCTCTCCGAAAAATCACAGTACATAAACGGTTATATCTGTGTATTAAAATTATATTGGGGGGCAGTTAGAAAAAATGTCTAAATAGGTTCAATAGGGGAACAATAATGAAGAAAAGGTTGAGAAACACTGATGGAACATTTTTCAGTCCTAATTTTACTTGCCCTCTCAGACACATTTAATATTGCTAACCACTCCCTCCTTCCTGAAACTTTTCTGTTCCTCAGCTTCTGTGACACAATACTTTCCCTGAATTTCCTCGTATACTTCTTTAGACCATCCTTCTCTGTCTTCTTTGCAGGCCCATCTGCTCTACACTAGGTGTTCCTCAAAGCTCCATTTTAGGCCTTCTCCTTTTCTTACTCAATACCTTCCCCCCAGGCGATTTTATGTATGCCCTCTGCTTCAGTTACTATACACTACCATCTATAACTCACAAAGCTATAGCACCAACATAGATCAATCCCTGATATTCGAGCCTATTTATCTACCTGCCAATTTGACATCTCCACTTGATGTCTCACAGGTATTCTCCTAGGAAAAAAAAAATCCACAGCTTTGGTCAGATTCACAGGTTAAGAACAGCTGCCATATAGTAGTTTAAGAAGGGATCATAAAATAAAAAATGATAGTGCTAAATTTAAAAATTGATTAAAAAACAATTATTCTATAAACAAGTTTCTGCTCTTCTCCAATGTCTTCAAAGCCTCTATTGTAAATACATGTTTTAGTTGATACACAATAGAAACTAGACTAGGTCAGAAATCAATATGTCAATTTATCCGTTTCTCCTAGAGCAATGGTGTGAATACAATTACAGTGATTCTCTGGCTATGCCAAAAGGTATTCTGAAACTAGCATCAGGCTTTCAGTAAAAGAGAGGTTAAGAATATAAAAGACTGCAAACAGGTTTATAAACGTGCTGCATTGGGTGTTTGCACAACTAAAAAATGTCAATATTTGCATTTCAAAGAGAATTCTGAAAATAAGGTGACATCACAGGGAAACTGGATTTAAAATATATTTTCTTACAATTTCAACAACTTAAAAACTCTTGTTAGTCATCTTTCATATAATGCCAAAGCACTAATCCTTCACAAAGTTAAGAGACCTAGAACCAAAAGCAAGGACTGTTTCCAAAGCAATCACAGAAATCTGCCAACACCAAGACTTTCAGATAAAATGATTTCTGCTTCTAAGATTAAGAAACAAGCTTATTTACTTCAGGAGTGAAAGAGGTGCCCTGCTGGAAAAATAACTTCTCAAGGAGGTGGAAGAAATCTGCCTCTTTGATATAACAGAATTAAGATCTAATTTAGAAGTCTAACTTTTTTCCTGCTGTTCCTGTTTTTTCTGTTCAACCTTTCTCTTGTCTCCCAATTCCATGATTCTGCCAGTATTCTTCCTTGTGACTTCAAATGGAATAAATTCTAATGTTTCATAGCAGAGTAGGGTGACTATAGTTAGCAACAATGTATTGTATCTTTCAAAATAGCTAGAAGAGAGGACTTGAACTGTGCCCCCCCCCACATAGAAATGACAAATACCGATTTGATTACGTATCCTATGTAACAAAATTTCACACGTACCCCACTAATATGTACAAATATAATGTATCAAAAAAGAGAGCAATCACTAATAAGAATAACTTATCATTTCCTACTGGTACTCTCTACTTGGATTTCCTTTTAGACTTCAAGCCCAGTATGCTCCAAACTAAACTTATTCTCGTCACCTCTACCACCTTCCTGGCAAATCTGTTTTATAGTACAACATGTACCCAGTGACCTAAGCCATAAATCTGGGAGTTATCCTTGAATTCTTCTCTAACAAAATCCTATCAAGTCTCTTAACCACTCTTAAAACTACCTCCTCCTCTTTGCCTCCCTGGCCTTGTCTTATGTGGCAGGCCATGTTATAAACTTCAAAGACGTTAGGTGATAAAGACAAATAAATCTGGGGTTGAATCCCAGTTCTGCCACTTGCTAAATGTACCCTTAATCCTAGGCAAATTACCTAACCTTTCTAGGGCTCATTTTCTCATCTGTAAAATGAAATGAGTAATCAAATCTACCTTAAAAGGTTATTGAAACAAGTAAATAACTTAGTGTCTCTAAAGCACTCAACACTACGCCTAGCACATTCTAAGCACTCAGTGAATGCTAACTACTGCTACCTTGCAGGACTACTTTATCCATTAAGAGGAGATAATCTATGCGAAGTGCTTGACACACAGTTAGGACTTAATATATAACGATCTTTTAAAAAATTAATTTCACCTCTCTTCTCTCTATATATTATTTCAACAACCTCCTAACAGTCATTTCATCTTATCCCCATGATGCCACTGAGCTCCCTGTTTTCAACATGAAGTCAAATTTTTTTCTCATGACATACTAAGGTCTTTACAATCATGTCTTTCCTTATTTCTTAAGGCTCACCTATTGCTATTCCTTTAGCTCCAATCACATCAAATTCAGAGGTGTCACATTCTTTCATGAAGCACTGCTTTTGCAGTGCTATTCCTTTTGCCTGGAATTCCTGTCCAGCCTTTCCCCTCTCCAATTCCCACTTTGTCTTATACTATCCCCACAAATCCTTCAAAACTCAGTTCAGGAAGTTCTCCCTTTCCTTCTGCCACCCCATATCCCCAACTTTGGCTTTAAAACAGTCTCTGTGCTACCACATATTCTTGTACTTTTTTCCTTCTCATGATAAGCAGCAGCTAATCTTTACTGAGTACATACTATATTTGTGATTCTGTACTAAGCACATTTACACGTTACCTCATTTAATCCTTGCAGGAACTTTATGAGGTATATATCATTATTATCCTTATTGTATATAGAGGAAACTGAGGATTACAGAAGTAACTCTCAAAGTCACACAGCCGGTAGGTAGCAGAGCTGGGACTTGGAAACATATCTCCCCATGTTCTTAACCACGTGCTGTATTATCTTGTAATACTAAATATACGGTATTATAATGATCTATTTCCAGTCATGCTTTACCCAATTATGGAGATATATTCTTTAAAAAAATTCATCTTTGTCATGAAAACATCATAGAGTGTCCTTCCACAAACCTAGATGGTATAGCCTATACACAACCAGGCTATATGGTATAGCCTCATTGTTCCTTGGCTACAAGCCTGTACAGTACATTACTGGACTGGATCCTGTAGGCAACTGTAACACAATGGTAAGTGTTTGTGTATCTAAACATAGAAAAAGTACAGCAAAAATACAGTATAAAAGATAAAAACATTATACTTAAATAAGGCACTTACCATGAATGGAGCATGCAGGACTGGAAGATGCTTTGGGTGAGTCACTGAGCGAGTAGTAAGTAAATGTGAAGGTCTAGGTCATTATGATATACTACTGTAGACTTTATAAACACTGTACACTTAGATTAAAGTTACAAAAATTAATTTTCTTTCTTCAATAATAAATTAACCTCAGCTTACTGTAACTTTTTAACTTTATAAACTGAATTTTTTTACTTGACTCTTTTATAATAACTCTTAGCTTAAAACACAAGCATGTTGTACAGCTGTAAAAAAATATTTTCTTTCTTTGTATCCTTGTCCTATATGCTTTTTCCATTAAATTTTTTTAAACTTTTTAAACTATTTTGTTAAAAACTAAGACATAAATACATGTTAGCCTAGGCCTACACAGGGTCAGGATCATCAATATTATTGTCTTCTGCCACCACATCCTATCCCACTGGACAGTTTTCAGAGGCAATAACACTCATGGAGTTGTATTCTCCTATGATAATGCCTTCTTCTGGAATACCTCCTGAAGGACCTGGCTGAGGCTGTTTTACAGTTAACTTTTCTTTTAGAATAGTATAGTAAATATATAAACCAGTAACATAGGTGTTCATTATCGTCATCAGCCATTATGCATTGTACATAACTGTATGTGCTATACTTTTACACAACTGGAAGCACAGTAGGTTTACACAAGCATCACCACAAACACATGAGGAATGCATTACAATGCTACATCACTAGGTGATAGGAATTTTTCAGCTCCACTATAATCTTATGGGACCAACAGTGTATGTGCTGTCCATCACTAACCAAAACATCTTTATGTGGTGCATGACCGTATTTATCTGCTTCCCCACTGGTTAGTCAAACTTATCTAGCTAGATCCTTGAAGACAGGGATCATGTTTTTTCATTTCTTGCATACCCTATGTCTAGCATCATCTCTACCAATTAACAGATGCTCAATAAATAGCTGCTAAATCAATGAATGAAACCATATCATTTTATTCTTATAACAACTGAGTGAGGTAAAGTAGTTATCAATTACTGTTTATAAAACAGATGTATGATTATTTTAGAATGCTGCTAAGGTGGTTTTGTCTTCAAGTTAAATCATGTGACTTCCATGCAAAGAAGGCATAAATGATTTAGTTTCTTCAGTAAGTAAAAGGCAAAATTAATTTTTAATTATTTGCCAACTATCAATACAAGATTAAGTCTTCTGATACCATCTGTAAAGCAATCAGTCCTTCATATTTTTTCTGAGGTCAAGAGTATAAACACAAGAAGGAAAAGATTATCCAGTAGGAAATGGCAATAAAACAAAAAGCCTTTAGCAGAAAAGCTTTCAAAGAAGGTCAGTAGTATTGCTAAAGAAGTTTCCCACTGACTATGCCATGTGGTAGGCATGTCATGAGAAGATTTAGGTTAGACATAAAACACCCACAGCAGGGGTATGTTGCCTTCAGTCAAATGAACTGAATGAAATTCTCATTTTGACTTTTACCTGCTAGCCTGTAAAATGCTTACATATGAGCAATACAGAACTGAAAAGACCTTTTCATGCAGATCAGATCACAATTACAGCTAAAAGATTAGGCTATCATAAGACAAATCTGGCCTAGGTGAGACAGTGAACTTCCTGAGCTGAGTGTCAACATGCTTAGATGCTGAAATTGTTATACTAGAGCTCTAAAGAACATTAAAAACAGAAAAGGTCTTTGAAATATTTAAAGAGAATTCTGCTTAAAAGTCACACTAGACAACTTGATAAAGATTTTTTTTTTCCAAGCATCCCAACCCCAGTCCACATACTTTTTTATTGCAACAGTTTTTGTCAGGTTGCTTTTAGAACAACAGTATTATATTTCAAGGGAGAAAAAAGCATGTGAGGAAAAAAACATACACAAAGGGAATATTAAACACCTCACAGGAAATCTATTTTCACTAGTGGGATGCCACATAAATATTTCAGGAGTCCTTGTACCTTCTTACGCACAATAAACAGGATATTCAGCAGCAAGGGGCCCTCAACCATGCAGATACTGCTTAGTCTTACAATGTCAAACAAACTAGTAATAAAATATTTGAGAAATTAAGAAATACAGGAAAGATAGGAAAAAATGATTTATCATCCAAAGACAATTCTTTAACATCTTGGAATATTTTATTTCAGTATGTTATTCATTGTATGATTGCTGTTGCTGCAAAAAGCTTTGTTTCCATTTGGTCCATAGCTTGGGAGAAGTTCAGGGGTGGTTAAGAAGCTGCCCGGGGGCTAGAGGCAGGGGCTTAAGCAGAAGCTGCAAGTATAGGGGCCTGCAGCAGTGCCCCTCAAAGATCATTGTGCCAATATTTCACTTGAGGCTTTTTTCATTTATGCTCACAAGAAAAATTAGTCTGTAATGCTGCTTTCTTGTAATGTCCCCATCAGGCTGGTATTAAAGTTATGCTTTATTTGAGAAATATTCCACTTTCCATTCTCTGGAAGAATTTATGTAAAACTTTATGTTATTTTTTCCCTTATACATTTAAAAAGAATTCCCCAGTGAAGATATATGAGCTGGAATCTGAACCTGGATTTTTCTTTCAGGATTTTTAATAACTGGTTTTATTTCTTTCAGTGATACGGGATTACTCAAGTATTCAATTTCTTCTTGTGTCCATTTTAGTTGTTTTATCCCCATAGGAGTTTATTTTATTAAAATTGTCAAATTTTTAAAATGTAAAGTTGTTTATAATGTTCTCTTACTGTGATTTAATGTCTGTAGGCTCTGTAGTAATGGTTCCCTTTCCATTCCTAATATTGGTGAATTGTGTTTTTTCTTTTTACTGATTAGTAAAAGTGATATATCCTTGGCAAAACAAAATTTTTAAAAGAACCAACTTTTGTCTTTGATTTCCTCTGTTATACATTTGTTTTATATTTCACCGATTTTGCACTTATTCCTATGGCTTTTTTTCTGATGTAATTTGTAGTTTTTCCCAAGCTTAAGATGGAAGGTTAAAACATTGATTTGTAGCCTTTTTAATTTTATATTAATTGTAATCAAGGCTCTGACATTCCCTTTAAGGACTGCTTCAGTGACACCTAAAAAGTTTTAATATGATTTATCTTCATTATTATTCTCTCAAAAGTATTTCCTAATTGCCATTATAATTTTTTCTGTGATCCATGATCCTTTAGAAATATACTGCTTATTGATTTCTAGTGTAATATCACTAAAGTTACAGAACATATTCTGAAAAATAACCAAAAGTAAGATGAACTGTGGAAAATGTTCCACGGGCACTTGAAAGGAATATATTCTGTCACGATTCAGTGTTTTTATAAATGTTTCCACTTTTCTTAAATTTCTAGGCATAAATTGGTTGGGTCATATAGTAGGTCTATGTTTAACTGTATAAGATATTAAACAGTTTTCCAAAGTGGTTGTGCTGTTTTCTACATATGATACTAATACATGAGTTACAGCTGTTCTACATCCTTGCCACTATCTGGTACTGTTAAGTTTGTTGTCTTTCCCTCCTTAAGCTACTCTAGTGAGTCTGAAGTGGTACCTCATTGTGCATAGAGTGAGTTCTTATTTTAAGATTATATTTTTCTATTGGATTCTATTTTATAGATTCCATTTCTTTGGTGAAATTCTCAATATTTTCATCCATTTTCTCCATCTCTTCCTCTAGTTACCTGAGCACATTAATCAATTATTTTAAAGTCTACTAATACTAGTATCTTGTGTCATCTGAGTCTGCTTCTGTTGTCTTTTCTTTCTCTTGGCTTTTGGACATCTACTTCTAAGTATGTACTTAGAAACTTTTGATTGAATACTGAATATTGTTTTAATTTTTTAGAGGCTCTAAATTATGTTATCCATAACCAGAGAAAGTTCACACTTTTCTCAGCTAGGCAGAAAGTACACAGTTCATCATCTTAATCTGGTCCAGACATCAGCAGAATCAAGGCTGCTTTGTAATTTAGGTAAGGTTTATTCTACTGCTAGTTAGACGATGTTCTTAGTGTATGCTCTCCCTAACTCAACTGAAAGCCTGATATGTATATTGGGCCCTTTCTCCCCTCCCCCAACCCAGTGGGTCCTGAACTCTACATCTCCTCATCATCACAGACTAATAGATTCTTAGTCTCTTTTCCACTCATTTTCCATTTAGCCTTCATGTTTTCTTAGACTTTGGCAAATGTCTTGAGGAGAACACTGATCAAATGTTTGAGACCCTTGAGTCTCCAATTTTGTTACTGCAGCTCCTTCAGACCACCAAAAGCTCTGCTTGTTTCTGTCACCCAGCAGTAGCCCTGTACCTTATCCAATGTCATGCTGAAACATATTTTGAAAACCCCTTAAGAAATACTTAGTTCCTATTGTTCCCAGAACTTTAGTTATTTTCACATGCATATAAATCAGACCTCCCTTAATATTTCACATGCTCCTGAAGCTGATGGTCACAAACTGAACTCACTAGCTTCCTGAAAAATCTGTTCTTTGAACATTCCCTATATACGTTAATGGTACTAACCATTCATTCAATTATCTAAGAAGAAAGTTAGAAAATACCCTTGACCAAACCCATCAAGACTAAGAATTTGGTCATCAAAATCTATGGATTCTACTTCTTAAATATTATTAAATATGTCACTCTCTGTTCCCAGTGCCCTCATCGTCCTCCACAACTACTATAATAACTTCTTAACTGGACTCTGCCTTAGTTTTCTTTTTTAGATTATTCTATATGCAGCTGCCAGACTGGTCTTTATAAGATTATAGTAAGATTATAGGACTTTTGCCTTAAAATCTTTCAACAACTTCGTTATAGATTCTCTGCCACTTCACTTCACTTGGGGTTTAGCCACCCCAAATTTTTATTTTATTTCTCAGACACACCTTATGCTTCATACTAAGCTCCTTGACCATCTGGCAAACTTCAATTCATCCTTTAAGATGTAGCTTGAGTATTAACTCATCTATAAAGCATTTCTTGACCTCCCTAGACTATCCCTGCCTCACTTTAAGCATTATAATTATTTTTTGTCTCTTTTTCTCCTGTTGTCTGTCCTCTCTTGGTGCTCATCCTATCATGGTAGTAACAGGTACTTTTTATTGAGATCTTATTAAATGTCAGATACAATGTTAAGTACTTTACATACATTTCTCCACTTAATGCTATCAACAAACTAGAAGATCAATATTATAATCTCCATTATATAATTAAGGATACTGAGGCTCAGAGGTGAAGTTACTTGCTTAAGTTTACAAAGTTCATAAGGGATACATTCACACTTAAGTCCATTTGTAAATATGTACTATCCTGTCATATATTCTAGTTTTATATTCTCAGCATATAGAACAGTCCCTGGCATGTAGTAAGTTTTCAATAAATGTTTGCTTTGTTGTTGAAAAGTACTAAACTAGATAATATATGAAAGCCCTTGTGAATTATAAAAATTCTGCATGAATACTACTATTATTTCCTCCCACCTTGATTCTGTTTATATATGTTTTCCTAACTCACCATCCTTATCCCCTTCCCTGCAAAACATATATTTATCCACCCAAACCCAACTAAAGTGTAATATTTTCTCTAACTCTCCAGATAAAATCGTTAATCCCTTCTTCTGTGCTCACATGGACTCTGTACCTATCTTGGCAACTGCACTAATTATATTACTTATTTGAATATGTTTGTTTCTCATCCTCCCTCCCCAACTTAGATTATGAGTTCTTCAAGAAAAGGAATGAATTTTATTTATCTTTGTATCATCTGAGCCTAGGACAGTGCCTATGATATGGAAGATAAAAAATAAATGTTTTCTGAATAAATGCAGAATCACTCTTAGACCTGGATAAGAGGGGAGCCCTTATCATGAGACCCACATTTTTAATAGTCCCACTTTGGCCTGTCTCTGACCATATCTCTTCCCATAGTCCTCAGAGACTAAGCAACTAGGCGAAGGCACCTGAAGCCTATGACTGCCCATCTATACTCTGCTCCAGGTACCCAGGCCCCTGGAATTCTTTACTCAAACTTTCCAAGGCTGTTTTTAGGGTATACACAGTTCTGTTCCCCACCTTTGTCTTCCTCAGAGCAGGCTGCACCTCTCATGCGCATCTAGGCTCAATGGAACATTAAGGGGTGACCACTTACAGGGCATGTACCTAGAACTTAGATATCTGGGCTGAGTTGAACCATAGCATGTATCTGAAATTCTTCCAGTACAAAATAGAGGTATGAATAAGAATAGAAAGGGGGTGGACTGGAGGCTGACTCTCCACTCATGTTCCTGCATGTAACTCAGAGGAGTTCAAGAATTGCAAATTTGAGTCCGACCTTCTAGTCACTATGAAATCATATTTGTCAAGGTAGGACAATAGAATATATGTCATTTTACAGTTTTTTAGCTCAGCTTATGACATTAAAATACTTAGATGTAAGGTACATAAACTTGTATTTGTATGTGAGCCCAATCCTGCAAATATTAGAGGCAGGCTTAAATCAGTTATCCCACGAATAAACTACAAATAAATGAAAATACATGTGAAAGCACTTAAAATAATCCAATAAATATTGCCTTTGACATGGCTACTACACCAGCAGTCATTGTTTTTTTAAATGAATTCTTCTAAATAAAGAATACTTCGGCCGGGCATGGTGGCTCAACCCTGTAATCCCAGCACATTGGGAGGCTGAGGCGGGTGGATCACGAGGTCAGGAGTTCGAGATCAGCCTGGCCAAGATGGTGAAACCCTGTCTCTACTAAAAATACAAAAATTAGCCGGGCTTGGTGGCATACGCCTGTGGTCCCAGCTACTTGGGAAGCTGAGGCAGGAGAATCGCTTGAACTCGGGAGGTGGAGGTTGCAGTGAGTCGAGATCGTGCCATTGCACTCCAGCCTGGGCGACAAGAGTGAAACTCCATCTTAAAAAATAATAATAATAATAATAATAATAATAATACTTCTATTACAGAAACAGTTGCCCATTAAGATGAAGGAAAACTTGTTAGTAATACAAGAGAAGAAATGGATTACTAATTAAAAGGTTTATTTTTTTTTCATTAAGATGAAATAGCATTGAAAAGGAACTAGGAAACTTTTAGGTCCAATGACTACCCATTAGGGAAAGGACTCCTTATTCAATAAATGGTGCTGGGATAACTGGTTAGGCAAATGCAGAAGAATGAAACTGGACCCCTACCTTTACTATACACAAACATTAACTCAAGATGGATTAAAGATTTAAATGTAAGACCTCAAACTATGAAAATCCTAGAAGAAAACCCAGGAAGTACCACTCTGGACATCAGCTTTGGCAAAAAATTTATGACTAAATCCTCAAAAGCAATTGCAACAAAAGCAAAAATTGATAAATGGGACTCAAACTAAAGAGCTTCCTCACAGCAAGAGAAACTATCAAGTGCATAAACAGACAACCTACAGAATGGTAGAAGATATTTACAAACTATGCACCTGACAAAGGTCTGATATCCAGTATCTATAAGGAATTTAAACAATTTGGCCAGGCGTGGTAGCTCACTCCTGTAATTCCCCCAAATTAGGAGGCCAAGGCAAGTGGATCACCTGAGGTCAGGAGTTCGAGACCAGCCTGGCCCACATGGTGAAACCCTGTCTCTACTAAAAATACAAAAATTAGCTGGGCATGGTGGTACATGCCTGTAGTCCCAGCTACTCAGGAGATAGGCACGAGAATCACTTGAATCTGGGAGGCAGACATTGCAGTGAGCTGAGAATGTGCCACTGGACAGAGTGAGACTCCATCTTAAAAAAAAAAAAAAACACCAGGCAAAGCAAAAAACAACCCCATTAAAAAGTGGGCAAAAGACATGAATAAATACTTCTCAAAAGAAGACATACAAGTGGCCAATAAACATGAAAATATGTTCCACATCACTAATCATCAGAGAAATGCAAATCAAAACCACAATGAGATACTATCTAACACGAGTCAAAACAGATATTAGTAAAAAGTCAAAAAATAACAAATAATTGCAAGGCTGCAGAGAAAAGGGAATGCTTATTCATTGTTGGTGGAAATGTAAATTAGTTCAGCCACTGTGGAAAGCGGTTTGTTAGTTCAGCCACTGTGGAAAGCGGTTTGGAGATTTTTCAAAGAACTTAGAACTACCATTTGACCTAGCAATCCCATAATTTGGTACAACGAATCCTTCTACCAAAAAGGCACACGCATTCATATGTTCATCGCACCACTATTCAAAACAGCAAAGACACAGAATCAACCTAGGTGCCCATCAGTGGCGAACTGGATAAAGAAAATGTGGTATGTATACACCATAGAAGACTATGCAACCATATAAAAGAATGAAATCATGTCCTTTACAGCAACATGGATGTAGCTGGAAGCCATTATCCTAAGCGAATTAACACAGAAACAGAAAACCAAATACTGCATGCTCTCACTTATAAGTGGGAGCTAAACTTTAGGTACACGTAGACACAAAAATGAAAACAATAAACACTGAAGACTACTAGAGGGAGGGATAGGGGAGGAGAAAAGGCTGAAAATTACCTATTGGGTACTATACTTACTATCTGAGTGACAGGATCATTTATACCACAACCTTCAGCATCACGCAATATACCCTTGTAACAAACTTGCACCTGTACCCCCTGAATCTAAAATAGAAGTTGAAATTATAAAAAACAAAACCAAAAAGACCCCAAAGACTATTCATTATGCTATTTGAACACATTTCTAGCACTTTACAGTAACCTATAACAATTTTGTTATAGTATTATACAGAGTGTTTCAAAATAAAAGTGTTATTGCTTTATATTTTATAGCACTTCACAAATTTCAAACTATTACACATATTAGCACTTTGTTTAGTGCATTATGCATAGTATGTCAATAACATCTGATGAAGTAAATCCTCATATTAGATTTCATTATAACTTTTTTTTTTTTTTTGAGACGGAGTTTCGCTCTTATTGCCCAGGCTGGAGTGCAATGGCACGATCTCGGCTCACTGCAACCTCCGCCCCCCGTGTTCAAGTGATTCCCCTGCCTCAGCCTCCCGAGTAGCTGGGATTACAAGGATTACAAGCATGAGCCACCATGCCCAGCTAGTTTTGTATTTTTAGTAGAGACGGGGTTACTCCACGTTGGTCAGGCTGGTCTCGAACTCCTGACCTCAGGTGATCTGCCCGCCTCAGCCTCCCAAAGTGCTAGGATTACAGGCGTGAGCCACCGCGCCCAGCTCATTATAACTTTTTATGCATTGTTTAGAAGTTAGTAGGCACAATGAAGTTTGTCAAGACAACTGGGGTTGAGCTCTAAGGGGCACAGTAAAAACCCATAGCCTGTAGTCCCAGCTACTCAAGAGGCTGAGGCAGGAGAATCTCTTGAACCAGGGAGGCGGAGGTTGCAGTGAGCCGAGATCACGCCACTGCACTCCAGCCTAGCAACGGAGCGAGACTCTGTATCAAAAAAAAAGAAAAAGAAATGCAACTGATGGAGAAGAACTTCTTCAACCTGAAAAAGCGCATCTACAAAAAATGTACAGCTAACATCATACTTGATGGTAAGAAACTGTAAGTTTACCTGCTAGGATAAGAAACAAGCCAAAGATGTACCCTCTCATTAACATCATACTGAAAGTCCTTGCTAATGAAATAAGGCAACGAAAGGAAATAAAAGGCATACAGACTGGGAAAGAAGAAATAAAACTAACTTTGTTCACTGGTGACATGATCATATAATAACAAAAATGTCACTGAACAAGCTACTGGAACTAAGTGATTACAGCAGGGTTGAAGGATACAAGTTTAATATACAAAAGTCAATCACTTTCCGATATACCAGCAATGAACGGGTGGAGTTTAAAATTAAATGCACAATACCATTTATATGTATTTCCAAAATGAAAGATTTAGGTATAAGTCTAACAAAAAATATATAAGATCTATATGAGCAAAAACAACAAAACACTGAAGAAAGAAATCAAAGGACAACTAAATAAAATGGAGAGATCATCTATGGTCATGGATAGAAAGACTCAATATTGTCAAGATGTCAGTTCTCCCCAACTTGATATATACATTAACTGCAATCTCAGTAAAAATCTCAACAAGTTATTTCGTGGATATTGACAAACTTATTTAAAGTTTATGTAGAGAGGTAAAGCCAACACAACATTAAAAAAGAAAAACAAAGTTGAAAGACTGAAATTACCCGACTTCAAGACTTATTATAAAGCTACATGCCACACCCACTGTTGCCAGCACCCAGGTATAGAACCAAACGACCTGAGGACAGGCCTGCCTCACCCACTGCCGCCACTTCAGGCACTCATGCTTGTCATCCGGGTGCCTGGGGATCAACTGAACTTACCCACAATGAGATATCATCTCACCACAGTTAAAATGGCAATTATCAAAACAACAAAAAGTAACAAAAGCTGGTGAGGATGTAGAGAAAAGGGAACTCTTATACACTGTTGGTGGGAATGTAAATTAATACAGAAATTATGGAAAACGGTATGGAGATTTCTAAAAAAAAAACCTAAAAACAGAACTTCCAGATGATCCAGCAACTCCACTATTGGGTATTTATTCAAAGGAAAAGAAATCAGTGTATCAAAGGTATACCTGTATCCCCATGTTTACTGTGGCACCATTCACAATTGTCAAGATATTGAATCAACCTAAGTGTCTTCAACAGAGGGACACAAAGAAAATGTGGTATATACACACAGTGGAATACTATTCGGCCATAAAAAGAATGAAATCCTGTCATTTGCTGCAACACAGATGGAACTGGAAGTCATTATGTTAAATCAAATAAGCCAGGCACAGAAAGACAAACATCGCATGTTCTCACTCACATGTGGGAGCTAAAAAAGCTGATCCCATAGAGGTAGAAAGTAGAATGATAGTTAACCAGAGGGTGGGAAGGGAGGAGAGGATGAAGAATGGGTTAATGGGTATAAACATACAGTTAGACAGATAGAATAAATTCTACTTATTGGTAGCACAGTAGGGTGACTCTAGTTAACAATAATTTATTGTATATTTCAAAACAGCTAGAAGATTTGAAATGTTCCCAATCCAAAGAAATCATAATGTTTGAGATGACAGGTATCCAAATTACTCTGATTTGATCATTACACATCATACATTTGATCATATACATTGCATGTTATCAAAATATTACATGTATCCCATAAATATGTACAATTATTATGTATCAATAAAAATATGTAAGTAAAGCTACAATAATCAAAACAGTGTGGTATGGCAAAAGAATAGACAAATAGATCAATGGAACAGAACAGAGAACCAAGTCCAAAAAACAGAACCACATAAATGCAGTCAACTGATTTTTAACAAAAGAGCAAAGGCAATATGATTAATAAAAGATGGTCTTTTCAACAAATGGTGCTGGAACAACTGGACATCCACATGCAAAAAAAAAATGACTCTAAACACAGATCTTACACCTCTCACAAAAATTAACAAAGTGGATCATAGAGAAAAATGTAAAATGCAAAACTACAAAACTCCTAGAAGGTAACACAGGAGAAAATCTAAGTGACTTTGGGTATGGCAGTGACTTTTTTTTATATATAACACCAAAGGCACAATCCATGAAAGAAAGAACTGATTAGGCAGACTTCATTTTGCTCTGCAAAAGATACTGTCAACAGATGAGAAGACATGCTACAGACTGGGGAAAAAATGTTTACAAAAGACTGATAAAGAACTGTTATTCAAAATATACAAAGAACTCTTAAAATTCAACAAGAAGAAGCAAAATGAACAGACACATCACCAAAGAAGATACACAGATGACAAATAAGCATGTGAAAAGGTGCTCCATATTATATGTCATTAGGGAAGTGAAAATTAAAACAATGAGATACTACTACACACCTACTAGAATGGCCAAAATCCAAAATACTGACACCACCAAATGTTGGCAAGGATGTCAAGCAACAGGAACCCTCACTCCTTGCTGGTGGGAATGCAAAATGGTATAGCCACTTTGGAAGACCATTTGGTAGTGTCTTATAAAGCTAAATATATTTTTACCACATGATCCAGCAATCATATGCCTTGTTATTTACTCAAATAAGCTAAAAATGTATGCCCCCACAAAAACTTGTACATAGATTTTAAAGTAGCTTTATTCATAATTGCTAAATATTGGCAGCAAATAATATGTTCTTCAGTAGGTGAATGAATAACTAAACTGTGATACATTCAGATAATGGGATATTATTCAGTGCTAAAAATAAATGAGCTATCAAGCCATAAAAAAGCATTAGAGGAAACGTACATGCATATTTCTAAGTATAAAAAGCCAATCTAAAAAGGTTGCATACATACTGTATGATTCCAACTATATGACGTTCTGGAAAAGGCAAAACCATGGAGACAGTAGAGAGTTCAGTGGTTACCACAGGATAGGGTGTAAAGAGGGAGGAATAGGCAGAGCACAGAGGATTTTAGGGAAGTGAAAGCACTTTGTATAATACCATAATGGTAGACACATGACATTATGTATTTGTCAAAACCCATAGAATGCCTAACACCAAAGGTGAACCCTAATGTAAACTATGGACTTTGGGTAATAATAATGTGTCAATGTAGGTTCATCAATTCTAATACATTGTACCACTATGGTGCAGGATAGTGACAGTAGGAGAGGCTACGCATTTGTGGGGCAGAGGGTATACTCTCTGTACTTTCTGCTCAATTTTGCTGTGAGCCTAAAATTGCCCTAAAAAAATCAAGTCTAATAGAAAATCGAACCAAAAAACCAAACCATAGCTGTTCACCATCTTCCAATACTTCACCCAGATCAAAAATAGCTGTTTTCAATATGGATCAGAGGGCAAAACCATTACCTTTTTCTAAAGTTCATCTTCCAAAAACATCTTAATTGGCAATTTAAGGCTCACAGAGCAGATCGAATAACTTACTTTTCAATTTTCTTCTTTTGTTCTTTTTGCCTTTGTTGTTCTTTAACTTGTTCTCTCTCAATATCCATGAAAAGTCGTCTATGTCTCAGGTACTGCTTTTGACGCTAAAGGTAAGAAGTTAAAATTACTAAGATTCTGCTTTCAGAGGAATTTCCAAGGAAGAAAAATATTCTTATACCATAGACAAAAACAAATGCAAGCAAACAGAAACAGATGATATAGAAGTTACATGATTAAGTCTTTAATTTCCTTCTGTCTATGGTCACTCAGGATGTCACATACACAAGAATTTTATATTTTCAAGCACATGGCTATTATATGTTAATAGGCAAACCAGAGAAAGTATTTACTCTGTTACTCTGAAATATTTACTCTGTGTTCCCAAGTAGTAAGTACCATAAAAGCAGAGCCACAGAAAGAATGTAGAAGATATTTCATAACAGAACCAATAGTTACTTTAACTTTTCAAAATTAAAACAGTATCACAAAAGCATACTCTAAGCCTAGCCTAACATGGCACGGAGGAGGGTAGAAGGGCTGAGGTATACTAAAGCCTCAGACTCATAAATGAAACAAGTAGAATAAAAGCAAGTGCTACTAGACTGTGTGTGATCTGTTCATTCCTCTGGATTTATATATACTCTTTTAAATACACAAGCTATTCGATGAGCAAAAAGCATGTCTATGTATATACCAAAGTAGTGCAGGGCTTTTTGGTAAAAATTACTGAAGTTCTAAATAGTAGCTCTTAATACTGAGGATGCATCAGAATCACCAGTGGTATTTTTAAAAAACAAAAATGCCCTAAACCTCCGTTTTCAGATACTGATTTGGTATATCTGGTTTAGATCTAGGCATATTTGTATTTTGAAAAAAGCTCCCCATCTGATTCTGGTGCATGGCCAGGGTTAAGAACTATCGGTTTAAACTAACTTTAGATTGAAAAGAGAAAAAAAAAAGAAAGCCATAAAGTAATTATCTTCCTTTAAATAAGTTATAGTGGCAAATATACATTAGCTGGAGAAATTTATTAGTATCAAATAATTGATTTCACATCAATGTACCCTAACTCATAGGAGCTTGGAAAATAAATTCAACACATTATAATGAGTCAAGCAACTTTTATTTGATTTATGAAATTTGTGGTATTAGCTCTTTTATGTGTTAGGACACAACAAATTGTTTCCAATTTCTCATATATTAATACTATCATAGTAGAAATATTGGGATCCAAAAGCAGTATCATTACATACCTCTTTCTTATCTTCTTCTTTATCCACGTCAGACTGAAATGCCAGTGGAGCTTGGAATTCAGTGCTCAATCCTGATTGATACCTATCATAAGCCTGTTAAGAAGGTCCAGTCACACAAAGTGACAAAATTACCAAAAACTACCCCATGAACAATTTTGATATTTTTATCTGTTCTTTTCTTTTGCAAACTTGGGCTCAATTGGATAAAGAAGGGGAAAAAACATGAATATAAAGAATAAAATCAAAAAAGAATGAAAGGAAGCCGTTTCAGAAGGAAGTAACCAAACATAAAATAATAAATCGAAGAAAAGGGTTCAGGTCAAAAACATGAATAAACAAAAAATTAAAATGTTCAGAATGAAAATTCTTTTAAAGTGGTCACTTGAAATCACTGTCATGAGTGCGCTTGGAATAGAATCTAGGATAAATAGCCAGATTCCTTAATATTTCAATTCTATATATGATCACTTTGAATTTATACAACCCTCTTAGTAGGCATGAGTCCAGAGAAAATATTATATCAATCAACTGGAATGGCATGGAAGAAACAGGCTAATTTCCACCCATGTTTACTGGGAAAGCCTTATAACATAACTTGGTATATCTACTTGGACATTACATGGGTCAAATAATGATCTCCAACTTTTAGAAATAAAAAGTTTAAAATTATTTCATCTCTTAAGTTTAAGAGTTATTTATCTTTCAACAAGGTTGCAGGATACATGATCAATATACAAAAATCAATTGTATTTCTATATTTGTAAAGAACAATCTAGAAAGTAAATTAAGAAAAAATTTACATTTACAGTATCTTCAAAAAGAAGAAAACACTTAGAAATTTAACAGAGGAAGTGTGAATTTTATACTCTGAAACATACAAAACATTGTTTTAAAAAAATGAAAGATGATATATATAATGGAAAGACATCCCATGTTTATGGACTGGAAGACCCAATATCGTTAAGATGGCAGCATTCCCCAAATCGATCAACAAATTTAATAATCCTCCATCAAAATGTCAGTTGATTCTTGGCAGAAATTGATAAGATGATCCTAAAATTCTTGTGAATATGCAAGGGACCCAGAATAGCTAAGACAGTCTTGAAAAAGAACAAAGTTAGGGGACTCACTCTTCCTAACATCAAAACTTACTACAAAGATATAATAATCAAGACAAATTGTACTAATACAAGGATAGATATGCTATAGATCAATGGAATAAAAGTGAGAGTTCAGAAATAAACTCTTACATTTATAATGAGTTGATTTTCAATAAGAGTGCCAAGACAATTCAATTGAAAAATAAACGGCTTTTTAACAAATGATTCTGGGACACAGGTTATCCACATGCAAAAGAATGAAGTTGGACCGCTCCCTAACACTACACACAAAAATTTACTCAAAATGCATCATAGGCCTAAATATAAGAGCTAATACTATAAGACTTAGAGGAACGCATAGGAGTCAATCTTTGTGATTTTGGCTTAGGTAATGGGTTCTTAGATATGACAATAAAAGCACAAACCATGAAAGAAGAAGTAGACAAATCGGATTTTATCAAAATTAAAAACTTTTGTGCTGCAGAGGAAACCATCAAGAAAGTGAAAGGCAACCCACAGAACAGAAAAACATTTGCAAATCATATGTATCTGATAAGGGACTTGTATGTGGAACATATTATGAATTCTCATACTCAATAATCATAACGCAAATAACCCAATTACAAAATGGGCAAAGCATCTAACAGTTCTCCAAACAAGATATACAAATGGTCAGTAAGCACATGAAAAGGTGTTCAACATCATTAGCTATCAGGAAAATACAAATCAAAAGTACAGTGAGATGCTACTTCACACCCACTTGGATGGCAATAATTAAAAATACAGATAATAACAAGTGTTGGTGAGGATATGGAGAAATTTGAGTCCTCATATACCGCTGGTGGGAATGAAAAATGGTGCAGCTACTTTGGAAAAATCAGTTTGGCAGGTCCTCAAAAGGTTAAGCACAGTTATCATACGTTCCACCAATTCCACTATGAGGTATAATATGACCAAGAGAAGTGAAAAATATGCCCACAAAAAAAAAACTTGTACACAAATGTTCACAGCAGTACTATTCTTAACAGCCAAGAAGAAATAAGCCAAACTTCCATCAATAGATGAATTGATAAATAAAATGTGCTATATGCACAAAATGGAATATTTTTCAGCAATGAATAGGAACAAAGTACTGCTATATGCTACATCAATGGATTTTGAAAACACATGCTAAGTGAAAGAAGCCAGTCACGAAAGGCCACATCTTTCATGGTCTCCTTTACATAGACTACCCAGAATAGGCAAATCTGTAAAGACAGAAAATAGCTTAGTGGTTGCATAGGACTGGAGGTGGGGCTAAAGGGAAAAGTGGCGTGGTACAGGACTTTTGGGGGGTGATGAAAATGTTCTCAGATTGATTGTGGTTAATGCCACAAACACAACCTGTGATTTTTGCACAACCCTGTGAATACTAAAAATACTGTATACTTTAATAGGTCAATTGTATATGTGAATTATAGTCATTCATTATTTGCATATTCCACATTTGCAAATTTGCCTATTCACTAAAATTTATGTGTAATCCCAATACTTATGGTGCTTTTGCAGGCCTTTGCAGACATGCACAGAGCTGTGAAAAATTTGAGTCATCCAATATGCATGTTGCCAACTGAGGCTGACCAAGGTGATACTCTGCCTTTTTGTTTCAGCTCTCATACTGTAAACAAGTGTTCTTTTTGCAGTCTATTTGGTGCCAAGTTTTTGCATTTTTGTGTTCTATGTTGGTGATTTCACTGTTAAAATGGTCCCCATGCATAGCTGAAGTACTATCTATTATTACTAAGCACAAAAAGGCAGTGGTGTACCTTATGGAAAAAATATGCATGTTAGATAAGCTTCATTCCAGCATGAGTTACAGTGCTGTTGGCTGTGAGTTCATGTTAACGGATCAATCATATATATTAAATAAGGTGTTTTAAAGAGAAATATATATAAAATAAGGTTATGTATTGATTAGTTGACAAAAATGGTATGACCAGAGGCTTGCAGGAATCTACCCCTGGTATCTCCCCTAGGAGCAAAAATTCAGTATTTCCTGATTCAGTGTTTGTAACAACTTTATATAACACAACCACTATGAATGACAAGAATAAACTGTATATATCAATAAAGCTATTATTATTTTAGAAGTTATTTATTTGTTTTGTGACTCTAAAAGTCTGAAAATCTATACAGCAAAATGTTAATGTGAAATATCTCTAAAATTTGTGGTTATCTTTTTCATTTGTGTTTATCTTCTCTACAATAAAAATGAAATTACTTTCTGTTTTCAATAAAGAAAACTGGACTCCCAGTACTAATGACGAAGCACACTATGGGCTCTCTCTCTTGCTCTCATTGATTGTAACTAAGACTTCTGAGAAATGTAGCTCCTGGGATCTACCCCCTATGGAGAGCATAGGGGGTAACCTAGAGAGAAGTGAGCTAGAAAGTGGACCCCTTAATTCTGTGTGTGAACTGGCATATATCTCAGAATCCCCCTTGAATTGTGCATGTATGGGACAGACCTATAGGAGTATAATGAAAGCTTTGAAAACTAAAGTAACATTGAAGCCATGGTGCATAGGAGAGATCACTTACAGTTGGAATTTAACCAGGCTGACTGCCTGCTACAACAAACAAACAAATAAAAGATACAATATTCTTTAGAGGATTTTAACAGAAACCAGAGTCTCAAAATACAATATTAGAAATATTAGCCTGGCATGGTGGCTCATGCCTGTAATCCCAGCACTTTGGGAGGCCAAGGCGGGTGGATTACTTGAGGTCAGGAGTTCAAGACCGGCCTGGCCAACATGGTGAAACCCCGTTTCCACTAAAAATAAAAAAAATTAGCCAGGCGTGGTGGTGGGCGCCTGTAATCCCAGCTACTAGGGAGGCTGAGACACGAGAATCACTTGAACTCAGGAAGCAGAGGTTGCAGTGAGCCAAGATCACACCACTGCACTCCAGCCTGGGTGACAGAGCAAGACTCCATCTCAAAAAAAAAAAAAAAAAAAAAAAAAGTCTAGGATACAACTTAAAATTAGTTGACATAGAAGAAAGCAGGAAGATGTGACCAATTCTGAGGGGTAAAGATAATAAACAGATCCCAACTCCAGGGTGACCCGGATGTTGAATTAACAGACAAAACTTTTAAAGCAGTGATTAATACTTTATCTATGAGGTAAAGGCAAACCCAATTGAAGTGAATGAAAATACAAAAGTTCTCACCACAAAAATAAAAACTATTAAAAAAATGCAGATCCAAATTTTAGAGACAGAAAAACACAATATGTGAAATCAAAATTTCACTGGATAGACTCAATAGAAGAATGAAAAAAAAGTCAGTGAACTTGAATCTATTGGATCAATATAAATGATCCACTGTGAAGAACAAAGAGAAAAAATAAGACTGAAAAAAAAAATGAACAGCATGTAAATGATGCATCTGTGGGACAATATCAAAAGGTCTAAAATTTGTGTAACTGGAGTTGCAGAAGGAAAGGAGAAAATAATTAGTACATAAAAAAATTTGGAGACATAATGGCAAAAAACTTCCCAAATTTGGTCAAAGATATAGATTTACAGATTGAAAATGTTCATCATACCTGAGATGGGATAAACTAAAAAACATTATGCCCAGACACATCATAATTAAACTGCTGGAAACCAAAAAATAACAAGAGTTTTGAAAGTAGCCAGAAAAAACAGACACATTACATATAGAAGAACAATGACTCAAATAATTACAAATTTGCTATCGAAGACTGGAAACCAGAAGACAGTGGAAAAATGTTTCTAATGTGCAAGCAACAAAAAGAGTCAATAAGTAGAGACTCTCGGCCGGGCGCAGTGGTTCACGCCTGTAATCCCAGCACTTTGAGAGGCTGAGGCGGGCAGATCATGAGGTCAGGAGTTTGAGACCAGCCTAACTAACATGGCGAAACCCCTTCTCTACTAAAAATACAAACA
This sequence comes from Homo sapiens, assembly GCF_000001405.40. Taxonomy (NCBI): domain Eukaryota; kingdom Metazoa; phylum Chordata; class Mammalia; order Primates; family Hominidae; genus Homo; species Homo sapiens. Next base: position 124,998,905 of record NC_000011.10, on the reverse strand, counting down.
TTATCCAGGCATAGTGGTATGCACCTGTAATCCCAGGTACTCAGGAGGCTGAGGCAGGAGAATCGCTTGAACCTGGGGAAGCAGAGGTTGCAGTGAGCTGAGATCACACCACTGCACTCCTGCCTAGGCGACAGAGTGAGACTCTGTCTCCAAAAAAAAAAAAAAAAAGTAGAGACTCTCTCAAGTTTTTCATAAAAACATGTATGATTATTGGAGGCAAAAAAAAATGGAGTTTTCAGTGTAGATAGATGGAACACCTATGACAATTATAACATAAAGGAGAAAGGGGAAAAGGACCTATCTGATTATAAAGCTTCTACATTTACTTAATGTGGTAAACTATTAACTCAAAGTAGACTGTGAAAGGTTTGGTATGTATATTGTAATCCTCACAGCAACTATTATAAGATAATATGAAGAGATAGAGACAAAAAGGTAATAGGTCAGTTAGAATGAAATTAAGTAATATTTAAATAAAGAGACTTCTGCTTGAAGCCACAATGCAATAATAGAACGGAATTTACCTTCCTGCCTGAAGACTGAGAAAACAAAAAACAAACAAAAATCTATACAACAATGGTTTTTAAACACTGACTATAAGGAAGCACAGGATAATTATTTCTCATAGACAGTAAACAAATGTGGTCAGCACTACAACTGTCCCAGCTTACTGCCTGAATAATTTCTAGTCCACAACATGGAGAGAGGGATTCCAGACAGACCCTGGCAGCCTCTCTGGGGGGCAACAAGAAGAAACCACACTGCACCTTTAGCACTTTGCTTGCAAATCTCAGCTAAATTTCCAAGTTCATTGCTTAGAAGTTATGCCTTCCATACAACTGTAGGACACAATTTGGCTAAGCTTCCTACCACTAAATAACAAGGATTACCTTTCCCCCAGTTTCCATGTTCCTCATTTCCTTGAGCTTCACTGGCAGTTTGTTTGTTTATTTATTTATTTATGAGACAGAGTTTTGCTCTTGTCACCCAGGCTGGAGTGTAGTGGTGCGATCTCGGCTCACTGCAACCTCTGCCTCCTGAGTTCAAGTGATTCTTGTGCCTCAGCCACCCCTGTAGCTGCGATTACAGGTGCATGCCACCATGCCTGTCTAATTTTTATATTTTTAGTAGAAACAGGGTTTCACCTTGTTGGCAAGTCTGGTCTCAAACTCCTGGTCTCAAGTGATCCGTTCACCTCAGCCTCCCAAAGTGCTGGGATTATAGGCATGAGCCACCATGCCCAGTTGGCAGTATCTTTAATGTAGACATTTCCACCAATATTTTGCTTATAACAACGAAGATATTCTCTAAAATGATGGCCAGGAGCAGTGGCTCACACCTGCAATCCTAACACTTTGGGAGGCTGAGGCAGGAGGATCACTTGAGGCCGGGAGCTCAAGACCAGAGTAGGCATCACAGCAAGACCCTGTCTCTACAAAAATATAAACATTAGCCAAGCATGGGTAGCACAACCTCTAGTCCTAGCTACTTAGGAGGCTGAGGCAGGAGGATCACTTGAGCCACTCATTTGAGGCTTCAGTGAGCTATGATTGTACCACTGCAATCCAGCCTGGGCAACTGAGTGACAGTCTGTTTCAAAATATAACAATAATTTAAAAAATGATACAGGCTTTCTCTGTCATGGGCCTCAAAATTCTTCACCTCTATCCATTACCCATTTTTTTAGCCATTTCCACATTTTTTCGATATTTGTTGTAGCAGCACCCCATTCCCAGTATCAACTAGCTACAAACAGGAAACAACCCAGATGTCCATCAATAGGAGATTGAATAAACAAACTGTGATATATTCAAATAACGGAATGCTATACAGCAACGCAAAGAATACATTATTGATGCAGCAATATGAATGAATCTCAGAAACATTATGCTGAGCAAAAGGAACCTTACACAACAGGATTCATACTGTACAGGAAGGTCTACAACAGAGAAAACTGATTGTGGAACAGTCAATGGATAAATGGGTAATCAAAATGTAGTATATACATTCAGTGGAATGCTATTCAGCCTTAAAAAGGAAGTAACTCCTATAATATGCCATAGCATTATGCTAAGTGAAATAAGGCAGGCACAAAAGGGCAAATACTGTATGATTTCACTCATATGAGGTACCGAGAGTAATCAAATTCATGAATACAGAAAGTAGAATGGTGGTTGCCAGGGACATGGGGAGAAGAGACTGAGAAATTACTGTTTAACGGGTATATGGTCTCAGTTTTACAAGATGGAAAAAACTCTGGAGATGGATGGTGGTGATGGTTGCACAACAATGTGAGTGTACTTAACACCACTGAACTGTATACCTAAAAAGGATTAAAATGGGAAATTTTACGGTATGTATATTTTATCACAATTTTTAATGTGTCTATATTTACATGTGTATAAATGCTTATAAAGAGGACTCAAAGGATGCATACAACTCTTGACAGTGATTAACTCTGAAGAGGAGAGAATTAGCTGGTGGGGCTTGAAGAGAAAACTTTTCCTCTGAGATAGTAGGAATAAGTAATAATAGCAACAAAAAGAAAGTAAATGGTTAAGGCAGTTATTGTGTGATAGCTTTTATTTTCCGTATGAAAGTTGAGAATATGGGGGTGCAGCAGGAAGTTTAAGGAGAGTTTAAGATTTAGAATAGTCAGGGTAGGGCACTGGGCAGCCCTGGGAACCCTAAGTATGAATGTGATATAAATCTATACTATTAAAGTGTTTTGTTCAAAAAGGCTGGATTATTTGGCAGCGTAAAAGGTGAAAAGATGGCCAGGTACAGTGGCTCACACCTGTAATCCCAGCACCTTTGGGAGGCTCAGGTGGGAGGGTCACCTGAGGTCAGGAGTTTGAGACCAGCATGGCAAACATGACGAAACCCCATCTCTACTAAAAATACAAAAATTAGCCAGGCTTGGTAGCACATGCCTGTAGTCCCAGCTACTCAGGAGGCTGAGGCACAAGAATCACTTGAACCCGGGAGGCGGAGTTGCAGTGAGCTGAGATTGCGCAACTGCACTCCAGCCTAGGTGACAGAGTAAGACTCTGTCTCAAAAAAAAAAAAGGAGAAAAGGCTATTCCAGGGTTGAAAATTTCCAGGGATAGTAACAGCAGAAGGACAAGAAGAGATTCAGATCACCAAAGCTGTAACCTGAATTGAATAGTCCAGAGTAAGTACCCCTCTTGTGTGCTTTGTGAATGCCCCATGCGTCCTCTATCACTAATTATGCTGCTGCATAATTATGTTTATGTATCAGTCTCTCTTCTTTAGATTGTCTGAAATTTGAGTGTCGTGTCTTGCTCACAACTGTATCTTTGATATTTAGGACTTAAACAATGGCTAACACCTAAAACGTGCTCAATAGATGTTTGACTGATCAACTAACACATTCAAAACCTATCTACCAAGTGACTACTAGGTACTAGCCACTGTGCCAAGTGCTGTTCATACAATGGTAAACAAAACAGGTATGGTACCTCTCTCAAGAAGCTTATGGGCTAGTGGGAAATCTCCAGACAATAAGAAAACAAGCAAATTAATAATTAACTACAAATTGTTTTGTACTGAAAAGGCAACAAACAGAATGCAAGGATAGAGAAAAACAGAAAAAAGGAGATCTATTTTTGATAAGGTGGTAAGGATAGCCTTTTCCAAGGAGGTGACATTTAAGCTGAAACCCGAAGGATAAGAAGGGACCGACTTTATGAAGAAAAAAGGGAAGACTACCCAGACAAGAGGAAACAACATATGCAAAAGACCTGAGGTAGGAAAGAGCCTGGCAGGGCTCAGGATGTATAAATGACAATGTAGACTAAAACACAGCAGCATACCCTTAGGCCAACCTTACAGACCCAAACTAAAAATCACCAAGAGTTGCAGTTCAGTCCTGAAAACCGCAGCCCAAACTCTATTTTCTGCTTCTTTGCCTCCTTTGAATTTTGCCCTCTTAAAGAGGCCAAGAGAAAATTTCTCTTCAGTCTCTCACACAGCCTAACACTGCTGGTTGCCGTAAGCCTTCATTTTTAAAAACATAAAATCAGAAAATAAAAATTATGCACAGAGGGGTAAAATTCCAGTGATAATAAACTAAACTTCAGTTAAGCCACGGAAAAATCTTAGTAGGCCAGGATGTTGTAACATTTTCTTGAAAAACTACAGATCTTAACTCAATGCCCCCAAACCTTAGGCAACAGAAACCTAACAAGCTCCAGCCCAAACCTGATTAGTTTATTTCTTGGTGAGCCTGCCTTATGCTCTACCAGCTTACTGATGGAGATCTAGTACTGGCCATGGGGTGGAAGATCCTCATAACCCCTGCCCTCAGAAACTGCTCATTTCTTCCCCTCTCACACTGTAAAAGACAATGGCCATCAGAAATATACCTTTTATAAAAATACATCTAAAATATAGTTTTTCAAATGGACAATAAATGCTCCCCAAAATACCCTAGGTTTCAATGGGAGACCTAAAATAATCTTAGGATTAGGATAATAATATCAGGATACATTTTGCGCTGTATGAAATAAAACAGGAATGTGCTTCTTGATCAGCCTGACCACTCCCAGTTTAGTAGGTACCTATAATCTTGTCCAAATTCCACTGCTCATACCCTGTGATGTGCTCTACCTGTCGTCTGCTGGAAGTATCTCTCTGGTGCATGGGTGAAAGGTGCTAATGGCCACCCAGAAGCAAATCCTGTGGCCGTCTTTCAGCTGACCAAACAGATAGCTGCTGCCTAATGTATAAGTTCTAAAAGATACAAAAACACTTACCAAATTGTGTGAGCAGGGGTATCACAGTAGTGATAATACTGTAAGCTTCAGTGATAGCCCTGAAGTAATCTAAATGAGTCAGAATAGTCTGATATATTATGGCATAAAAGCAGACATTATACTTCTTGTCACCATTCTGGATCTTAACTCTACCTGCGAAGCAATCTTCAATTTCATCTATAATCCAAGGATAATAATAGTATCTATCTTCTATGGTTATTATGAAAATCAAATAAGATACTTCATATAAAATTCTAAAACCATTTTGGCTGTGGTAAGTGTTCAATGAATGTAAGCTGTTATTCATAATAATATTAATAACACTATTGCTAATCTTAAAAACAGATAACGTGATCATCATGATCTTTTTTGGTAACGAAACTATGACAAGCCCAGCTCAAACTCTAATTTGCTTTCTGTTGCTTACTCTTTAATACACCCTGCTCTACCTGCTCTCTGGCAGAGCCTGGATCTTGGATTTCATGTAAAATATATCCATGGCGCTATGGAAGTAACTCCTTCCTCCATCTCTCATCTCTCATATCACGTGAGGCCTACTCATAGTTCCTGTGCTAAAAGACAACATAAACACTGAACATAAGTTATCCAAGCGGGATCATCATTCCTGTGGCAATGGTAAAAGCTTCAGTCAAGAAGACTGAGGTAGTTTCAATAGGTCAGAATGGTGTGATACATCACAGAACAAAAGAACGTTATATTCTTTGCCCGTTATTACTAACCTTAACACTAAATTCCTGAAGCAGTTACATTGCCCTGTCAATCTTCAGCCAAAAAAAAAGCAATTTACACTCTGTTACTTACTCACTATATTCTGCTCTACTTCTCTAGAAGAGACTAGATCTTGAATATTGTGTGAAACATACCAAGGGCACTCCAGGAGTATTTCCTCTTGCAATCTCCCATTTCTCAAAAGATGAGGGTAGTTTGATATGCTTGTTCTAAAGGAACAACAAAATACAAAACTGATTGTCTAAGCAGAAATGACGGGCTAGTGACAGTATTATAGACTTCAGTGACAATCCCAGAGTAATGACACTAGGTGAGGATAATAGAACACAGTTAAAGCTGTGTGTGTGTTCAACATAAAAATTTCCAAACTTGCATCAAAGTAGAAAAAAAAAAAGTATAATGAATCTCAAGATTCAACAATTACCCAGATTCAACAATTAGCAACATTTTGCTTTATTATCTATCTCTTCTCCAATGTTTTTCCTGGAGTATTTTAAAGCAAATTCCAGATTATTCTGGCACATTTTGAAATAACCAAAAACATTATACTCTTAGCTTAATTCTGGAGGCCTTAATTCTATGTATTCCACAAACAAGCTAGCTTGACAGGCTTCAGCCTCAATGTTAATATGATTTAGGCTTGTTCCCCTTTTAGAAGGTATACAGTCCTCCTACTGTATTCGGTTCTACCTGTTCTCTAGGGGAGTCTTGGTCCTGGATTTTAGGTACAACATATTGATGATAGTCCAGAGGCAATTCTTCTCTCACTCTTTCTTCTCTCATAAAAGATGCAGGTTGCTTGAGAAACATATTTTAAAGGAAAAACAACAACAGAAAAAAAATTGTGTAATGCTAATCATAATATCATAAGCTTCAGTGAAAACTCCAGAGAAATGAAACCAGGTAAAAATATTCTGATACGTTTTGATATGAGGGAGATGTTACACTTTTAGCTCAACTATGTAGACCTTAATTCTTAATCCCATCATTGACAGAATAGTCTGACAAACTCATCAAATCCTAAGTATCTTCTAGTTCCTACATTGTACATGTAGGGGCATTATGCTTGCAGCAATACTGTTGGCTTTGGTAAGAGTTGAAGAATAATCTTGTTAAATTAAAATAGTCAACTGATTCTGGAATAAGATATGAACGTGATACATCAGCCTCAGAAATCACTGAACTGATTTTGACTCATATAGTTCCCTAGACCAGGGTCTTTTGTACCACTGAAGTACAAAGTAGAAGAGAAAAAAACAAAAAGGAGAGAGACCAGGAGGAACTGAATTGTTTAGTGTTTAACACTCTATGCTCCTGAAGCAGTTCCTCTGTTCTAATAGGACTTAGGATCATCTTCCCACTAATGTGGGAAGGAATAAAAAATACTGTATTCTGGCCGGGGACAGTGGCTTACGCCTGTAAACCCAGCACTTTGGGAGGAAGAGGCGGGCAGATCACCTGAGGTCAGGAGTTCGAGACCCGCCTGGCCAACATGTTGAAACCCCATCTCTACTAAAAAAACAAAAATTAGCCAGGCGTGCTGGCATGCGCCTGTAATCCCAGCTACTCGGGAGGCTGAGGCAGGAGAATCGTTTGAACCCAGGAGGCAGAGGTTGCAATGAGTCGAGATTGTGCCACTGCACTCCAGCCTGGGCGACAGAGAAAGACTCCATCAGAAAAAAGCCACTATATTCTTAGGTTAGCTCCAAAATCCCTCATTCTAAATTACCAGTTGTTGGGATTTATAAAACCTGGGTACTTCCTTCCTGTTTATATCTTTTTCTTCTACTCTACCTGATTTTTGATGTCATCCTGGTCCTGGGATTTGGGAGGCAAACACTGATAGTCTGCCAGAGAAAAGTCTTCTCTCCCTTTCTCATCTGTCATATCAGAGTATGGCTCCTTAAAGTGTACTTTCTAAAAGATAAAATAATAAAAAACTATAAATTGTCTAGCAAGACTAATATGATGGCAATAATATTCTAGGCTTCATTGAAGGCCAAAGGGTAGTTTTTTTCAGGATAATATAAAACATTATGGAATAAAAGAGACACTCATACTTTTTGTCAGTTCTGAAGTTTAGCTGAGAACAACCTTTGAAAGCTTCAAACTACACTCTAAACAATTCAGTTCCTGTTGGTCTCTGTCATTTTTCTTTTCTACCTTGCCTCTGATGGAGGCCTGATGATGCCTGCATAGAAGATCCTGATGGACATCCAGAGGAAGTGCCTCTCTCCCTCTCCTACCTATCAAAATGGATGTTGGCTGCTTCAGACTTGCTTTCTATGAAAGAACAAACACAACATATCAATTGCTCCGTTAAGAATGACAGGTTAAGACTTTAGGTTTTAGTGAGAATTCTGGAGTTAACCAAGATCAGAATATAATTGAGCACCTTATGGAAAAACCAAAAACTACACTCCATTCCACAAAAGTCCAACCACAACCCTAAGTAATCTAATTCCTGTTGGTCTTTCTTCTTCCTTTTAGTCTAACTCATCTCTGGTGGAGGGATGGCCTTGGAACCTGTGTGAAAGATACTGCTGAGTACTTATGGACCACTCCTTTTTCCATCTTTCAGCTGTCTAAGCAGATAATGGCTGCCAGAAATATTTCTCCCAATGAAGAAGATTAAAAATAAAAAATTAAATTGTTCACAAAATCTGGGTAGAGTGTTGATTTAAAAAATTGAATAAAAAGAAAAGAAACAGCAAATTGTTTATTTGGAGTAATATGCTGCTGGTAATACTTTAACATTTAGTAAGAGCACTGGAGTTTTGAGAAATCAATCAAGAAACTATTTTTTCCAAGTATGGATCTCCAAATCAGGTACAATATACAGCATACCTATTTTTATTATGCTTTGCAGATGTTGTGTTTTTTACAAACTGAAGGTTTGTGGCAATCATACGTCAAGCCAATACACTGGTGTCACTTTTCCAACAGCATGTGCTCGTGTAATGTCTCTGTGTCACATTTTGGAAATTTTCACAATAGTTCAGACTTTTCCATTACTATTATATCTGGTATAGAGATCTATGATCAGTGATCTCTGATGTTACTATCCTAATTGTTTTGGGGCACCATAACCACGCTCATCTAAGACAGCAAACCTAACTGATAAATGTTGTGTGTGTTCTCACTGTTCTACCACCTGGCCACCCCCCTACCTCTCCTTAGGCCTCCCTATTCACTGAGACACAACAATATTGAAATTAGGCCAATTAATAACCCTACAATGGTCTCTAAGTGTTCAAGTGAAAGAAAGAACCACATGTCTCCCACTTTAAAGCAACAGCTAGAAATTATTAAGCTTAGTGAAACAGGCCTGTTGAAAGCCAAGACAGTCCGAAGGCTAGGCCTCTTGTACCAAACAGCCCTGTGTGAATGCAAAGGAAAAGTTCTTGAAGGAAATTAAAATCTACTCCAGTGAATACATGATAAGAAAGCAAAATAGCCTTATTGCTGATATGCAAAATGTTTTAGCAGTATGGACAGATCAAACCAGCCACAACAGCTCCTTAAGCCAAAGCCTGATCCAGAGCAAGGCCCTAACTCTCTTCAATATTATGAAGGCTGAGAGAAGTGAAAAAACTACAGAAGAAAAGTTGGAAGTTAGCAGAGGTTGGTTCATGAGGTTTAAGGAAATAAGGTGTCTCTATAACATCAAAGGGCAAGGTGAAGCGGTAAGTGCTGATGAGAGGCTACAGCAAGTTATCTAGAAGATCTAGCTAAGATCACTGATGAAGGTGGCTACACTGGACAACAGATTTTCAGTTTGGACAAAACAGCCTTATATTGGAAGAAGATGACTAGGAGTTTCACAGCTAGAGAGAAAAAGTCAATGTCTGGCTTCAAAGTTTCAAAGGACAGGCTGACTCTCTTGTTAGTGGCTAATGCAGCTGGTGACTTTAAGTTGAAGCCAATGCACATTTACCATTCCAAAAGTCCTAGGACCCGTAAGAATGGCACTAAATCTACTTTTCTTGTGCTTTGTGAAGGGAATAACAAAGCCAAGATGACAGCACATCTGTTTACAGCATGTTTTACAGAATATTTTACACTTACTGTTGAGACCAACTGTTCCAAAAAAAATAAAGATGCCTTTTAAACTGCTCATTGACAATGCACCTAGTCACCCAAGAGCTCTGATGAAGATATACAAGGAGATTAATGTTGTTTTTTCATGGCTGCTAACACAACATCCATTCTGTAGTTTGTGGATCAAGAAATAATTTTGACTTTCAAGTCTTGTTATTTATAAAATACATTTCTGTCACGGACAGCAATTCCTCTGATAGATATGGGCAAAGTAAGTTGATACCCTCTGGAAAGGGTCCACCATCTTGATGCCATTAAGAACATTCATGAATCATGGGAGGAGGTCAAAATATCAACCTTAACAGGAGTTTGGAAGAAGTTGATTCGAACCCTCATGGACTTTGAGGCATTCAAGACTTCAGTGAAGGAAGTAATTGTAATGTGGTAGAAACAGCAAGAGAACTAGAATTAGAAGTGGAGCCTGAAGATGTGAGTGAATTGCTGCAATCTCATGTTCAAACTTAAATGGATAAGGAGTTACTTCTTATGATGAGCAAAGAAAGTGTTTTCTTGAGATGGAATCTACTGTGAACATTGTTAAAATGACAACAAAGGGTTTAGAATATTACACGGACTTAGCTGATAAAGCAGTGGCAGGGTTTGAGGGAATTGATTCCAATTCTGAAAGAAGTTCTACTGTAGATCAAATGCTATCAAACATTATCACATGCTACAGAGAAATGTTTCGTGAAAGGAAGAGTCAAATGATGTGGCAAACTTCATCATCTTAAGTAACTTCCACAGCCACCCCAAACATCAGTAATCACCACCCTGATTAGTCAGCAGATAACAACATTGAGCCAAGACCCTCCACCAGCAAAAAGATTATGGCTTGCCGAAGACTCAGATAATCGTAAGCATTTTTTAGCAATAAAGTATTTTTAAATTAAGGTATGTACTTTTTTTAGGCATTATGCTATTGCACACTAATAAACTACAGTACAATATAAACATAACTTTTATATGTACTGGGAAGCCAAGAAATTTGTGTGACTTACTTTATTCCAATATTTGCTTTATTGCAATGGCCTGGAACTGAACCCACAGTATCTCCAAGGTATACTTGCAGTCCTTACAAATCCCTCCTCAAACCCTAAGTAGCTTATTTCTTCTTTTTGTATCTCCTTTCTGCTCTATTTTACCTGATATTTTGGTAGAAAATCTTGGTCCTGACATTTGGGTAGAATATTCTGGTCGTTGGAGAGAACATGCAGGTCTCTGGGTAGAAAATCCCGGTCCTGACATATGGGTAGAATATTTTGGTCTTTAGGAAGATAACCTTGGTCTCTGGGTAGAAAATCCTGGTCCTGACATATGGGTAGAATATTTTGGTCTTTGGGAAGAACACCTTGGTCTCTGGGTAGAAAATCCTGGTCCTGACATTTGGGTAGAATATTCCAGTCTTTGGGGAGAACATGCTGGTCTCTAGATAAAAAGTCCTGGTCTTTAGGTAGAAAATCCTGGCCTTGATATTTAGGTAGAATATTCTGGTCTTTGGGGAGAACATGCTGGTCTCTAGACAAAAAATTCTGGTCCTTAGGTAGAAAATTCTGGTCCTGATATTTTGGCAGAATATCTTGGTCTTTGGGGAGAACATGCTGGTCTCTAGATAAAAAATTCTGGTCCTTAGGTAGAAAATTCTGGTCCTGATATTTTGGCAGAATATCTTGGTCTTTGTGGAGAACATGCTGGTCTCTGGGTAGGAAGTCCTGGTCCTGATATTTGAGTAGAATACTCTGGTCTTTAGGGAGAACACAGTGGTCTTTGAGTAAAACATCCTGGTTTTTCGTTAGAAGAGCCTGATTTGTGGGTAGAAAATCCTGGGTTTTCAACACAATACTCCCTTCTTCTAGCTCAATACTCTGGGCTTTCAGCATAATACCCTGAGTTTCTGTCTTAATAGGCTGGCCTTCTGGCTCAATGGCCTGGCCTTCTGGCTCAGTAACCTGAACCTTCATTTCAACAGCCTGGGTATCTGGCTTAACACTCTGGATTCCTGTCAAATCACCCTGGGTTTCCAGCAAATCACCTTGGGCTTCTAGAAAATAATCCTGGGCTTCTGGCAGAATATCCTGAAGGCCCTCAAAATGTAACTGCTTTTGTTCTTCCTCTTCCATCAGAACAAATAATGGATTTTTGAATTTTACTTTCTAAAAGTGAACATAAACACCAAATACAGAATGTGAGTTAGTAGCAATACTCTAGATTTTCCAAAATAATCGAAATATCAAAATGATATGGCAGTGAAGCAAATTACTAGAACAAAATGTGAAATTATAATCTTTGTCCAACTTAACAAAAGCTAAATCTACAATCCTAAATCAGTACAACATTACTGGCAATACCTAGTCCAAATCACAATTAATTTAATTTCTCTTATTGCTTTACCTGAACTCTGCTGAAAGGTTTGTTCTTATCTTCAGAATGGATAGCCTGCTGGTCCTGCTGGCCTCTCCCAAACAAATCTTCTTTCCCTTTCTCATCAGTTACAAGAGATGAAGATTCCTCATAGTCAGGTTCCTCATAGTCAAGTTCCTAAAGAAAAAAACAATGAAAACGCGCACGCGCGCGCGCGCACACACACAAACACACACACACACACACACACAGCACCATGTAGCTATTATAGGAAGAAACAATGTGATTGCAATAAAATTCTAGGCTTCAGGTCACTGCTATTATAATTTTAGTAGGTCAGCATAGTCAAATGTTATACAATGTTTACAGTGCAGGACTGTATAATGAAAACTAAAAAGATAATTGAAAGAAATGACAGATGATCAAAATAAATGGAAAGACATAACATGTTCATGGATCAAGAGAAAAGATTGGTAAGATGGTAATATTTCTCAAATTTACAACACTCCCTATCAAAATGCCACTTGGCTTTTCTTTGGCAGAAATTAACAAGTTAATCATAAAATTCAGATGGAAATGCAAGGAACCCATAGTAGCAAAACACTTTCTTGAAAAAGAAGAACAAAGATGAAGATCTCATTCCTCCCAATTTCAAAAGTTACCACAAAGTTATAGGAATCAAGACATTGTAATACTGACACATACAGAACAATGGAACAGAACTCAAAGTTCAGAAATAAACCCTCACATTTATAGTCAATTGATTTTTGACAAGAGTACCAAGAAAATTCAATGAGGAAAGAATAGTGTTTTCAACAGGTGATGCTGAGACAACTAGACACCTATATTCAAAAGAATGAAGATGAACCACTTATTTACAGCATACATAAAAATTAACTCGAAATGGATCACAGACCTAAAATTAAGAGCTAAAAACTATAAAATCTTAAAAGAACACATAGGAATAAATCTTCATGATCTCAAGATAAACAATTATTATTAGATAATTCATCAAAAGCACAAGCAACATAAGAAAAAAAGAAGTGACTAATTTAAAAATCTTATGCCATAAACAATACTATTAATCAAGTAAGATAACAGTCTACAGAATGGGAGAAAATACTTGCAAATCAACTATCTGATAAGGAACTTGTATCCAGAATATATACATATTATATATATACATTTTATGTATAAATTTATATATATATAAACACTTAACAATTTGATAATAAAAAGACAACCCAATTAAAAAATGGGTAAAGCACATGCATGACATTTTATCCACAAGAGTTACACAACTGGGCAACAAGCACATGAAAAGATACTGAAGATCATTAGTCATCAGGAAAATATACTACAAATCAAAAGGACAGTGAGATACCAATTCACATCTACTAGGATAGCTATAACAGAAGAGAAGGACAATAATAAGTGTTGGAGGATACAGAGAAATTGGAACCCTCACATATTGCTGGTGGAAAACTGTTTAGCAGTTCTTTGAAATGTTAAACATAGAATTACTATATGATCCAGCAGGTTCACTCCTAGAAATGAATGTCCTAAAAGAAATGAATGTCCACACAAAAATGTGTACACAACTGCTCATACACAATCGTTCATAATTCATAAACACCAAGAAGTGAAAAGAACGCCAAAGTCTACTAACTGATAAATGGATAAACCAAATGTGGTACATCTATACAATAAATTATTCAGCAATAAAAAGAATGAAGTACTGATACATCCACTACAATGTGGATGAACTTTAAAACATTATGCAAAGAGAAAAAACAGTCACAAAAGACGATATATCATATAATTCCTTTCATATGAAATGTCCAGTATAGGTAAACCTATACAGACAAAAGGTAGATTAGTAGCTGCCTAGGATTGAGGTTAAGGGCAAGGAGAGAATGAGATAGAGGGTTTCTCTTAGGAGTGAAGAAAATGCTCTAGAGCAAATCCCAAAAACAAGATAGCTGGCTAGAAGCAGCCAGGAGGAACATCTACTACCGAGAGACTGGAACATTAGGTACACTCTTAGCAGATCTCTGGAGGGAAGGCATTAAGAGTGGACAGAGGGAAGACACAGATGCTGGGCCAAAGGAGGAGGAAGGTGGGAACCTTGAAGAGGGCTACCGTGCACCAGGACTTGTTCCTGGCCCCCAGTGGCTCCTGGGGAAGGGATGAATTGAACAAGTGAGAAGAGACCTGCTCACTCCACAGACCTCTGGAATCCTGGCAGCAGGAGACCCCATAACCCCACTGACACTTGCGCTGGCAGGGAGAGCTGCTTAGAGAGGTGGTGGGCAGAATTCCAGCCGGTGCAAAGCCTAGAGGGTTTGGTAAAGGAGTATCTGTAGTGGGGCATGGTCAGGCTGTCCATCCCCCAAGGCCCACCTTGCTCCCCTAGGAGACATTAGCCACAGGGGAACTGTCGGACGTGAACAGTGCAGGGCGATCTTGCCCGTGAGACAGGGCCAGTTTTACATGAGTGCACCCCTGTCTACCAGCCTCTCCCAGGGCCCCAGCCCTGCTTGCAGTGCAACCTCAGATGCCCACCGGGGTGCCTCCCAGAGGCCCACATAATAGCTCCTGTGCTGGCAGACCATGCCTGACCATCACAGCAGACCACACCAACCAGCATGAGCCTGCCTATGCCCTTCCCCCACTGCGTCCTCCCTCATGCCACTTTTCCAGCATGCACTCATCCATAGCAACACCTACATCATTTTACTCACATGTGTGTGTGCAGGCAGACCTCACCTCTGCTTCCCCACCAGTGTGCATGCATCCCACCATGCCACTGCTGCCAATGTGAGCGCACCCTGCCTGCAATGGTGTGTCACTACTGCCAATGCAAAGGCACTCAAGGAGACGAGCAGCCCTACCCCCTGCCCTGCACGGCCACTGCTGCACATGAACGCCTACCTGGAGGGAACCAGCCCCATGCCTGTGAGTGCCCCATGACATGCTGACACTGCCACCAGAGTGAACATGCACACTGATGCCAGTAGGCCCCACTCCCGCCGCTCCATCCTCTGGTGCAGCACTGCAACCACCACCACTGCAAATGCCCACAAGGAGGCCAGCACCCCTGCACCTGCCGGCACCCCACCACGGCGTGTACCCTGCCACGCTGCCACTGCTGCTGGCACATAAAAACAAGCATGAATCCCATTGCCACCACCCAAAAAAGCGTTTTGGCTGGCACCATCCATCAGTGTGTTGTGACCAGCAGCCTGGGAACACCTTAGCTCCTCCAGTGTGGCAGGTTCCTAACCTTAAGAGGCCAGAGAACAAAGCCAGGGCCAATACCAGCCCCCCAGATTTGGAGCACACAGTCCAAGAGTCATGAGCTGAGTTCTGGCCCCTAAAATCTTCCAGAAATGAAGCCAGTCAACTGACTCCCCCTTATACCAGAATCAAACCCCCAAGGACATCAAAGAGGATTAAAAAAAAAAATCCAAAGGATAGCAACTTCAAAGACTGAAGGAACAACACAGCCCACAAACATAAGAACCAGTGCAAGAACTCTGACAACTCAAAAAGCCAGAATGTCTTCTTACCTCAAATGACTGCACTAGTTCCCCAACAATAATTCTTAACTAGTCTGAAATGGTTGAGATAACAGGAATAGAAATCAGAACATGGATAGGAACAAAAATATCGACATTCAGGAGAAAGTTAAAACCCAGTCCAAGGAATCTAAGTATTACAATAAAACGATACAGAAGCTGATAGACAAAATGGCCATTATAAGAAGCAAACTGATCTGATAGAGCTGAAAAACACACTACAAGAATTTCATAATGCAGTAGTATTAATAACAGAATTAACCAAGCTGAGGAAAGAACCTCAGAGCTCAAAGACTGGCTCTCCAAAATAACTCAGTCAGACAAAAATAAAGAAAAAAGAATAAAGAAGAATAAACAAAACCTCCAAAAAATATGGAAGTATATAAAAAGACCAAATCTATGACTCATTGGCATCCCTGAGAGGGAAAGAAACCAAGCAACTTGCAAAATGTATTTCATATTTTCATATCATCCATGAAAATTTGTCCAACCTGGCTAGAGAGGCCAACATTCAAATTCAGGAAATGCAGAGAACCCCTGCAAAATACTACAAAAGAAGAAGACCATCCCCCAACCACACAGTTCTTAGATTCTCCAAGGTCAAAATAAAAGAAAAAATGTTAAAGGCAGCCAGGGAGAAGAGATAGGTCATCTACAAAGGGAATCCCATCAGGTTAACAGCAAACCTGGTGGCAGAAACCCTAAAAGCTGGAAGAGATTGGGGGCCTATATTAAGCATTCTTAAAGAAGAGAATTTACAACCAAGAATTTCACATCCAGCCACACTAAGCTTCATAAGTGAAGAAGAAATAAGATATTTTTCAGACAAGCAAATGCTAAGGGAATTCATTACCATCAGACCTGCCTTACAAGAGGTGCTGCAGAGAGTGCTAAATATGGAAAGGAAAGACTATTACTGGCCACTACAAAAACACACTTAAGTACATAGACCAGTGATACTATAAAGCAACCACATAAACAAGTCTGTATAACCAGCTAACAACATGATGACAGGATCAAATCTGCACACACCAAATACTAACCTTGAATGTAAATGTACTAAATGCCCCATTAAAAGGCACAGAGTGGCAAGTTGGGTAAAGAAGCAAAACCCAATGGTATGCTGTCTACAAGAGACTCATCTCATATGAAATGACACCAATAGGCTCAAAGTAAAGGGATGGAGAAAAATCTACCAAGCAAATGGAAACCATAAAAAAGCAGGGGTTGCTATTCTAGTTTCAGACAAAACAGACTCTGAACAAATAACAATTTAAAAAAAGACAAAGAAGGGTATTACATAATAGTAAAAAGCTCAATTGAACAAGAAGACCTAACTATCCTAGATATATATGCACCCAATACAAGTGCAACCAGATTCATAAAGCAAGTTCTTAGAAACCTATGAAGAGACTCAGGCCAGCTGCGATGGCTCATGCCTGTAATCCCAGCACCGTGGGAAGCTGAGGTGGGCGGATCACTTGAGATCAGGAGTTCAAAACCAGCCTGGCCAACATGAAGAAACCCCATCTCTACCAAAGAATACAAAAATTAGCCACACATGATGTTGTGCATCTGTAGTCCCAGCTACTCAGGTGGCTGAGTTGGGAGCATCACTTGAATCCAGGAGGCAGAGGCTGCAGTGAGCTGAGATCATGCCACTGCACTCCTGCCTGGACGACAGAGTGAGACCCCACAAGACTGAGATAACCACACAATAATAGTGGGAGATTTCAACGGCCCCCTGACAATATTAAAGAGATCACTGAGTTGAAGGCCAGACTGGCCAATATGGTAAAACCCTGTCTCTGCTAAAAATACAAAAATTAGCCAGGTGTGGTAGTGGGTGCCTGCAGTCCCAGCTACTCAGGAGGCTGAGGCAGGAGAATCACTTGAACCCAGGAGGCAGAGGTTTCAGTGAGCCAAGATCATGCCACTACACTCCAGCCTGGGTGACAAAGCAAGACTCCATCTCCAAAAGAAAAAGAGATCATAAGGCAGAAAACTGACAAAGATATTCAGGATCTG
Organism: Homo sapiens; assembly: GCF_000001405.40. NCBI lineage: Eukaryota > Metazoa > Chordata > Mammalia > Primates > Hominidae > Homo > Homo sapiens. Next base: position 124,981,309 of record NC_000011.10, on the reverse strand, counting down.
AGCTCAACACTTGACTAAATGGACCTTATAGATATCTACAAAACTCTCCACCCCAAAGTTAACAGAATATACATTCTTCTCATCTGCACATGGCACACACTCTAAAATCAACCACACAATCAGCCATAAAACAATCCTCAGCAAATTCAAAAAAACACAAAAAAACAAAAATCAAACCAACCATGCTTTCGGATCACAATGCAATAAAAATAGAAATCAGTGCTAAGAAAATCACTCAAAACCATACATTTACATGGAAATTAAACAACCTGCTCCTGAATGGCTTCCAGGTAAATAATGAAATTAAGGCAGAAATCAAGAAATTATTTGAAACTAATGAGAAAAAAGATACAACATACCAGAATCTGTGGGACACAGCCAAAGCAGTGTTAAGAGGGAAGTTTATAGTTTTAAACACCCACATCAAAAAGTTAGAAAGGTCTCAAATTAACAACCTAACATCAAACTAGAAGAACTAGAGAAACAAGAACAAACCAGCCCCAAAGCTAGCAGAAGACATGAACTAACCAAAATCAGGGCTGAACTGATAAAAACTGAGAAACAGAAAACACACAAGAAATCAATTAATCCAGGAACTGGTCTTTTGAAAGAATTAATAAGACAGAGCACTAGCTAGATTAATTAAAAAGAGAGAATATCCAAATAAACACAATCAGAAATGACAAAGGGGACATTACCACTGGCCTCACAGAAACACAAAAAAACCCTTGGAGACTATGATGAACACCTCTATGCACACAAGCTAGAAAATCTGGAAGAAATGGATAAATATCTGGAAACATACAACCTCCCAAGATTGAACCAGGAAAACACTGAATCCCTGAATAGACCAATAACACGTTCTTAAAATGAATTAGTAATAAAAAGCCTATCAACCAGAAAAAGCCTAGGACCAGACAAATTCATAGCTGAATTCTACCAGATGTTATAAAGAAGAACTGGTATCATTTCTACTGAAACTATTCCAAAAGATTGAGGAGGAGGAAGTCCTCCCTAACTTATTCTACAAGGCCAGCATCATCCTGATACCAAAACCTGGCAGAGACACAACAAAAAAACAAAACTTCAGGCCAATATTCTTGATAAACATAGATGCAAAAATCCTCAACAAAATACTAGCAAACCAAATCCAGCAGTGCATCAAAAAGCTAATCCACCATAATAAAGCTATCCCTGGGATGCAAGGTTGGTTCAACATACACAAATCATTAATTGTGATTCACCACATAAACAGAACTAAAAACAAAAACCACATGATGATCTCAAGAGATGCAGAAAAGGCTTTCAATAAAATTCAACATCCTTTCATGTTAAAAACCCTCAACAAACGAGGCATTTGTTTGAAGGAATATACTTCAAAATAAAAATAGCCATCTATAACAAAAAACCCAGAGCCAACATCATACTGAATAGGCAAAACTGGAAGCATTCCCCTTGAAAACCAGAACAAGACAAAGATGTCCTCTCTCATCATTCCTATTCAACATGGTACTAGAAGTGCTAGCCAGAGCAATCAGGCAAGAGAAAGAAAAAAAATGACATCCAAGTAGGAAGAGAGGAAGTCAAACTATCCCTATTTGCAGAAGATATGATTCTATACCTAGAAATCCCCATAGTCTCTGCCCAAAGCTCCATGATCTGATAAACAACTTCAGCAAAGTTTCAGGATACAAAATCAGTAGCATTCCTATACACCAACAATACCCAAGCTAAGAGCCAAATCAAGTATGCAATCCTATTCACAATAGCCACAAAAGAATAAAATACCTAGGAATACAGCTAACTAAGGAGGTGAAAGGCCTCTACAATAAGAATTAAAAAACAATGCTCAAAGAAATCAGAGATGACACAAACAAATGGAAAAACATTTCATGCTCATGGATAAAAAGAATCAATATAGTTAAAATGGCCATACTGCCCAAGGCAGTGTACAGATTCAATGCTATTCCTATCAAACTACCAATGACATTCTTCATAGAAACTATTTGAAAATTCATATGAAAACAAAAAAGAGCCTGAATAGCCAAGGCAATTCTAAGAAAAAGAGCAAAGCTGGAGGAATCACATTACCCTACTTCAAACTACACTACAAGGCTACAGTAACCAAAACATGGTATCAGTACAAAAACAGATACATGGACCAATGGAACAGATAGAGAGCCCAGAAATAATGCTGCACACCTACAACAATCTGATCATCAGCAAAACTGACAAAAACAAGCAATGGGGAAAGGACTCCCAATTCAGTGGTACTGGGATATATTTGGCTAGCTATATGCAGAAGATTGAAACTGGACTCATTCCTTATGCCATATATAAAAATCAACTCAAGATGAATTAAAGACTTAAATGTAAAACCTAAAAGCATAAAAAACACTAGAAGATAACATAGGAAATATCAATCTGGACATAGAAACAGGCAAAGATTTCATGATGAAGATGCCAAAAGCAACTGCAACAAAAAAAAAAATGACAAATGGGATCTAATCAAACTGAAGAGCTTCTGCACAGCAAAAGCAACCATCAACAGAGTAAACACACAACCTACAGAATGGGAAAAAATATGCATCAAAGAAAGGTCTGATATCCAGAATACAAGGAATTAAACAAATTTACAAGCAAAAAACTCCATAAAAGAGGGCAAAGGATATTAACAGACACTTCAAAAGAAGACATACACATGGCCAAGGACCACTCATTAGAGAAATGCAAATCAAAACCACAAGATACCATCTCACACCAGTCAGAAAAAGCCAAAAGATTACAGATGCTGACACGGCTGTGGACAAAAAGGAATGCTTATACACCACTAAGGGGAATGTAAATTAGTTCGGCCATTGTGGAAAGCAGTTTGGTGATTTTTCAAAGAACTTAAAACAGAATTACCATTCAACCCAGCAATCCCATTATCTGGTATATACCCAGAGGAATATAAATTGCTCTGCCTTAAAGATACATGCACACATATTTTCATCACAGCACTATTAACAATAGCAAAGACACAGAATCAACCTAAATGCCCATCAACAGCAGACTGGATAAAGAAAATGTGGTACACATACACCATGGAATACTATGCAGCCATAAAAATGAATGAGATCATGTCCTTTGCATCAACATGTATGAAACTAGAGGCCATTATCCTAAGCAAACTGCAAACTAATTCATGAACAGAACACCAAATACCACATGTTCTAACTTACAAGCGGGAGCTAAACATTCAGTACATATGAACACAAAGAAGGAAACAACAGACACCAGGGCCTACTTGAGGGTGGAGGGTGAAAGGAGGGTGAGGATGGGAAAACTACCTATTAGGTAAAGTCACGTGACGAAGTAATCTGTACACCAAACCCCTGTAACATGCAATTTACCCATATGACAAATCTACACATGTATCCTTGAACCTAAAATAAAAGTTATTTTAAAAAATTAATTAAAAAATTAAAAATAAAATGCTCTAAATTAGATTGTGGTAACAGTTGCACAACCCTGTGCAAACTGTGAGTACTAAAAACCAATGAATTGTACACTTTAAATGGGTGAATTGTATGGTATATGAATTATATCTCAATAAAGTCCGTTAAAAAAAATACTGGATATCTTAACCCTTTATCCCATCCTTAGTTAGCTGTGGATACTTCTAATAAGCCAATGTCTTTCCCCTCTACTTTTTATATTTCCCTACCTGATTTTCCATATAATTCTGGTAAGGTACAGCAGCTAAAAGACCTTGATGGACCTTAATGGGCAACTCTCCTCTTATTCCTGTATTTATCCCAGTGGATGCTGGTTTCCTGGAAAGCACTTCCTGGAAAAAAAATTACTACAAATATAAATAGGTCTAGAGGAAGCAACATATTCATGAGACTAAGTTGAGTTTCTGTGAAAGATCTAAAATTATCTTAGTAGGTTTTGGTAGTCTAATACACAGTAAAGGGAAAAAACATGAGTTCTACTTCATATGTACAAACAAAGCGCTCACATATAAAACCATATGGAATAAAACAGGAGAATATATTAACTTTATAAATGACAACTTGCACCTATTCTAGCCAGTAACAATTTCAGAAGACTCATGATTTTAGTCTTGGCAACCTGCCAGAGTACAAGCAAGTATGTGTTCCACTTGTATCTCCAAATCCGGATCAATAACAACCAGACAGATTCTAATGTCACTAAAGACTAATAATGAAATAAAACCAGGGTTCAACTCAATCATAGATTGTTCTTTCTGATTTGCAAATTCCCACTTCACACAACTAAGAAGGTAGAAAATTGTTGAGATTTGAGGGAAAGCTTGATACAAGTAATAAGAAAAATTTCACCAATTTCTTAGATCATTCCCAATTGTATTGAGTAGATTTGTTTTTCATATTTTTACCTGAAAAACATATATGCTTTCTTTGGAAGCAAGTAGGTAGCCTGAATTCATCATTATCACCATAACAATAATGAATTACACTTAAATGGCACCTCTGACGTAAAAAACTGGTTTATACAAAGATGTTATCTCAGACTTAATCCTCCCGTCTATTGGATAATTATTTCAATCAGAACTGTGAATAGTACACTTTCTGGAAAAACACCAGTTGAAAGGTCTGAGCATGTTCCAAGCAATATAAATATCCATCTCTAAGATCTGATAACTGTGTTTTTTTTTCTGATTTAGTAGAAAGTGTCTAATCACCTCATCTAACAGTACCCTGGAGTCAGTCTAATGGCCCAAACTATAGTACTACCAAACCACGATAGGTATGAAAACTGTCAAGAAACCAACATCTGAAAATAATTTAGGTACAAAAGAAACTCTGAGGAGCCACAAGGCAATGCTAGAAAAAGACAACCATATAAACGCACGTGGGATGTGTTGCCATACATGGACACATATCCACGCCCACTTGTTTTTTAAATTTAACTATAAATTTCTTAGTTGTAATTAAAGAGAAAAACATTACAGTTTAGTATTCAACCAATTGCCAACATATATGAGACAAACATTTTTAATGGTTGGGTCAAGATATGGAAAAAAATACAAAATTATATATCTATATATTTATATATTATATATATTATATGCATATTCCAGGAAAATATAAGAGTATACTAATTAGGAAGTAAAACTGGGAAAGAACTAAATGAGGCAGTTGATGATGGCAAAAAAATAACATATTTATTGGCAAAAAAACATAATTTATTAAAAAATAAATTAATGGTCTATTTTACTAGATGCTGCCTATAAAACATTAATGCCAAAATTAAGTACACACAGGAAAACACATAAATTTAGGATCCAAATTTGTGAATTCTGAGGTAGGCACCAAAACAATGTCATTTTATAAGTATAGACTTACATATCCTCCTAAGCCTAGCTCCACACTCACTTAAGTTTTGAATCAAAAGAATTTTTCTTTTTAAAAATTAATAGTTTCAATTTTTTCCTGATTAGAAAGTGACATACTTTATGACAATTTTTAAAAATAAAAAACAGAAGAAAATCACCTGTAATACTACTACCCAGAAATAATCAGTATTAGCCTCTTGTGCCATTTGTACCTAGGCTTTTGTCTATGCACATGGAACTCTTTCCATCTTTTTATTTTGCTGTATTTCTCTTCATAGCACTTATCACTTGAAATTATATTCTATATTTATTTGCTTGTTTATTATATGCTTCCCAACTAGCACAGAAGCTCCTTGAGGGATCTTTGTCTGTCTTTTCACCACTATAAGTCCTGTTTCTAGAACAATGCTGGCAATCACAGACATTCCATAAGTATTTGTTGAATACATATACATATATTTTAATTAAGATCATATCATACTTAATTTCATATCCAACTTTTTTCTTAACTTTATATCACAGACACTTTCCCTTATCTTCAGATATTCTTTGAAAATATTTTTTAGAATGGCTGCATATGGATATGTCACAATTTACTCAAGCATCCCCTACTATTGGGTATTTAAGGCTATTTCCAATTATTTTACAGTTCTAAATTATGCTGAGATATAAGTAAATCTTTATCTGTATTTTTTACCTGTATTTTTTTAAATCATGTATTAGAAATTAATTTACCTCTCTGGTAAGAAAGCTTTTCCTTCCATCATCTGGAAACACTGATCCCTTTTTTTTAATCACGGTTTTAAAGGATGCTAGCCGGTGACGTGCCTGTTTCATAGTTTCACTAAGCTGCCAGGGAAAGGGGGAAGAAAGCAAACAAAAGCAGGATAAGTTTTAATTCCAAATGCACTAAGTGTTCCAACAGGAAAACAGGTCCCTATTATTAAAAAATGCCAGATCTAAGACAACAGGATTACTTGCAAAGGAGACTTTGATGTGCTGATAGTGTGGTACAACATTATTGTCATTATTCTAGAGATTGTACTTTGTAACTTGGTTTAAGGGCGGTTACTCAAACTGTTTTTTAAGAAATAATGTATACTTTATATAAAGCATGTACACAAAAATATGAAAACCTAAAGTCTGAATTAATACACTTGGAGATCACTGACCAGACACATTCCTTACCTTCTATCCACCTTTGTCAATAAGGAGTTATTTCTTCAAGTGCTCCATATATGCTTAATTGCTTTCATCACTGCTTGCTAGGACTCTATTCCTAGTTTCCTTAAAGCCCTTTTATCCCCAATTTACATGACTCCTTTCACCACCCTCAACATTTGAAGACCATAGCTACTTAAAGTCTTTTCTTGAATCTCCCTTCCTCTTCCTCCAAGAAGCCTTCCTAAATTAACTTAGAACACAAATTCAAACATTTCAAAAGAACCAATTTGTTTCAACTACTTTAAGTAACACCTAATAAATGACTACTAATATTAAATGTTGATTTCGTGTTCATTCCTTATCTCCAGAAATTTCAGTATGCGGCTATTTTGATTTCTTTTTCAGAGAAGCACAGCCTATTTTATATCTCACAAATTTGCAAAGAATATCTCATTAGGGAAACAAATAAAACATATATCATTTTTAAGATAAGCACTGTAGGCCAGCCGTGGTGGCTCACACCTGTAATCCCAGCACTTTGGGAGGCCAAGGCAGGCGGATCACCTGAGGTCAGGAGTTCGAGACCGAGACTAGCCTGACCAATGTGGTGAAACCCCATCTCTACTAAAAATAAAAAAATTAGCCGGGCATGGTGGTGCACACCTGTAATCCCAGCTACTCAGGAGGCTGAGGCGGGAGAACTGCTTGAACCCAGGAGGCAGAGGCTGCAGTGAGACGAGATAGCGCCACTGCACTCCAGCCTGGGCAACAGAGACTCCATCTTAAAAAAATAAATAAATTAAAATTAAAATTGAAAAATAAAGATAAGCACTGTATCACGTGGAGGAAAAGTATATCCTGTACTAGTCAGTAAAATTATGGCAAAGCCAAGATCGCTACTAATCCACTCATTGGAAGTTTAATAATATCAATTATCCCTTGAAGAGAAATGATGGTTATGACTTCTCTACAGAAAATACAAAAAAAATTTGCTGTAGTGGCACACGCCTGTAGTCTGTTACTCAAGAGGCTGAGGTAGGAGAGGTGGAAGGATTGCTTGAGCCTGGAGTTCAAGGCTGCAGTGAGCCAAGATTGCGCCACCGCACCCTAACCTGGACGACAGAGCAAGACTCTGTCTTAAAAAAAAATAAAATAAATTTTATGGCTTTATTAATAATTACCTAAGGATGAAAACACTCTACTCTACCAGCCCAGATTTTTTTACAGCACATCACCTCTATTTAAGCTTGTTTTCAGAGGTCTATAACTCTGTCCAGAGAAATCAGATTGAAACATACTACTCTTTGTTTTGCCAAGCGGAAGACTTCTAGATTTGGTCAGCTGCGGAGTGGCCAAAGGGAATCAAGATAGAGCTGTTCACAATGCAAAAAGAGATATGTGTAGTTGAAATTATAAAAAAAAAAAAATAGCCCCATGACTATGCCTCCTTTTATTCATTGACACTTAAGGTAGGTGTTATTACCCTGCACCATGTGACCAAGGATTCAAAAATCCCCATTGTAACAAATTTGAAATAGGGATTCAGAATTTTCATTTCCCATCAAGTCCAAACCTCTATTAGAGTCACATTGATTATAGGCCCTTAAGCAGGATATTTCAACTGCTCCAAAAGCTAGAATATACATTATTTTTCTTCTGTTTCTCTGTAGTTACCATAACCCTTCACCAAGCCTCAATCTTGGAAAGGCTTTTTCAATGACATGCTTTGAGGACTGTCATTGGGTGAATAATGGCCACCCAAAGATACCAGGTGTTAATCCCTAGAACCTGTAAATATTACTTTATAAGAAAAAAGGGCCTTTGCAAATGTGATTAAGTTAAGGATCTTGAGATCTTAAGGACATTGAGAAGATAATCCTGGATTATCCATACGGGTCCTAAATGCCATCAAAAGTGTCCTTACGAGAGAGGTAGAGGAAGATTCAACATACAGAAAAGGAGGTGATGTGAAAATGGCATGCAGAAATTGATGTGATGCAGCCACAAGAAAAGGAATGCCAGCAGACACCAAAAGCTGGAAATGTCAAGAAACAAACTTTCCCCTAGAACCTGAGGATGGAGCACAGCCCTGAGGACACCTTCGTTTTGGTTTAGTGAAGTGGATTCTGGACTTCTGGCCTCCAGAACTGAGAGATAATAAATTTCTGTAATTTTTTAAGTTATTAACTTTGAGGTAATGTGTTACAGCAGCCACCAGAAACTAATACAAAGACTAAAGTTAATGTTAACAAGCAATTTAACAAAAACATAGAACCCAGGGGGATATTATAAATTAAATTATGCAATAATTCAAATAAACAAGTAGATAAGCACATTTCTCTGCAAGATGATGTTGGTCATTACATATATATGTAATTGTGTGAATGTCTGTGGTATATATATACATTTGTATGTATACTTACATATATGTTTAAATGTACATATGCATATGTGCATGTGTTGTATGTGTGTAAATACTCAAAACATAAAATTTGACCAAAAGTCTTTTCTATCTAGAACCTTAGGCACACTATTGATTCTTTTGTAGTTAACTGTTATTAACAGACTACGATTAAATCTCTAAGGCTTAGATTCCCTGATGAAGATGAATTACTCATAATTAGATAAATAATTAGATAAATAGAAAACCTAGCAAATGAAAAATCAATATAACTCCAGATAAAACAAAAAGCCATACATAGACGGAAACATAATCATAGTTTACTCATAGATCAGCTGTGACTAATGTTTATATAGTCATAACAACATAAATGTTTAATATAGATCTAAGCAAAATTACAATATAACTATAAAGAGAGGACGGGAGTGGAAAGAGTGCATGTGTAGTGGTGGCAGGGGAGAGAAAGAGGAATAAATCCTCATCCTTCCTAGTGGTAAATCAATAAAAAATGCCTAAATTTTTTTTAATTAAGAAGGAGTATTACTAGCATGTTGCTCAGAAATATGAATATTAACACCAAAAGACAAAACTAAAAGAATGCAAATAGTTGCTTCTGAGGAAGATGAGGAAATGTGCAAAGTACTTATCTTTTTTAATAACAATGCATGCAACTATTTACTTTACTTGTTCAAACTATGTACATATATACTTTCAATAAAACTCAGTGTAAAAAATGAGAAAAAAAATCCCAGACAATATCCCTCAAAAAGCTTCCTCTCATGAACAACATAAACATATAAATGCATTTTTGGTTCTCATATTGCATATATAAATACATATGTACATATATCAGACCTCAGGAATATCCTACAGAACATGGGCCTAAATTTTAGCTTGGAGCAGTTTGTTATTACCGACCTTCTGAAGCCTACTTCTGTCAACTCATCAAAGTCATTCTCCATCCAGCTTTGTTCTGTTGCTGGCGAGGAGCTGTGACCCTTTGGAGAAGAGATGCCCTGGTTTTTAGAATTTTCAGCTTTTCTGCTCTGGTTTCTCCACATCTTTGTGGTTTTATCTACCTTTGGTCTTTGATGATGGTGACCTACAGATGGGGTTTTGGTGTGGATGTCCTTTTTGTTGATGTCGATGCTATTCCTTTCTGTTTGTTAGTTTTCCTAACTAACAAACCATTGCCAACAAAACTTTGCTTGCACTGACCCCTAGAGACTATATCCCAGGTATACCAGACAACCAATCACAGTGCCTTCTAAGGAATACTGCCAGGCCTACAAGCCCTATTAAAGGGGCGGCCTTAGGCAACTTCCTCCCTAGCCTTAGCTGACTGGAGCAAGGGTTGTGTAGTAATATGTCAAATAAAAATAGGCCTTGATGCAATGTCTTCTGCACACCAAAAAAAATGTCTATTTTGCACACAGAAACATAACTTTAACAATTAGCAAAAGCACTTCTTTGTAACAAAACGAAAATTGTAATATATAAATTTTGAGATTTAAATCTTAAAATCTAAAGCAAACTATGATTAGATAGTAAAATTTAAAGCATCAAGCAAATATGAAGGATAAAATTTGAGAAATATAGATATCTAACTAGGACACTGTTCATATTTTCTTCAGTTCTTTTTAACTTGTTTGTGTAATTTTTTAGCCAATCAAGAATAAGATAGAATTTACATGTAACTGTATAAACAAAACAATTAGTAATACTATGTAGGTCATGGGAAAAGAGTATAGATGAGATCTAATATTTATAGAATTTTACCTACTTTATTATCATGGAGGACTAATACCAATGTAAAGTGTATTGTTAAGGCCATAAAAATCTAATCAAAGTTGAATTCTATTCAAGTATAATGTAGTTTATTTGCAAATGATATCATACTGATTTTTAAATGTGTTAGACTTTTCAGTGGCCAGAAAATACCATACATTAAAAGTTGAACTCACATGAGCCACTTTTTATAGCCCATGAATCCCAGTGCAATGCAGCGAGTTGCATTATCTTTCTTTTGTCACAATTGCTATCAATCTATAAGATGGCCAGTAATGTAGACCTAATGCAAAAAGGCAAGCTGGGCCAATAAATATTCCTTACCTCAGATAATAAACTAGGAAATATCCAGAGAAAAGTTAGAGAGAGGACTTGAACATAAAAGGTCCTAAACTGGAAAAAAGAGGCTAACGGGTCCTCAAGTATACCAAAGTTATGAAGCTGTGATGAGGAGATGACAATACCAGTTAATGGTAGAGAAATGAGAAAATAAGAGGGAAGCATACATGTAGAAACAAGGTGACCAACTATACTAGTTTACCTAGAACTGTCTCAGTTTTAGCACTGAAAAGTCCCATGTCCTGGAAACCCCTCGATCTTAGACCAATAGGGAAGGTTGGTCACCCTATGAGAAGAACTGAATCAATCAAGCTACTGATTAAATATTAGTGTGAAGATCAAATATCTCATGCTCTTGGGGTCACTGGAGCTCACATCCAGAAAAACTCACATCCAGAAAAACTCTCCAGTTGCATTCCTCAAAGGAGTTTGGATTTGTGTGAGATTCTGATTCTTCCCTTATTAACCCATGTGTATTCTTCAAATAAACTTTCCCCTTGTTTGGGTTAGCCTGAGTTCTTGCAGGCAAAAGTGTCTGACTGAAATACTAGTTTTTTCAATGGTAGATTACAAGAATTTAGCAGGCTATTTCACATTACTTAAAGCTTTACTACAAAAAGTAATTATTTCCATGGTTTTAAAAAGCTGGAAAACTAGCACTGTAAAGAGAGAATAAAAATAGAAATAAGATAGTAAAAGATTCAGTGAGAAACAAAAAGCTGGAATAAACCATGCTAGAAAACAGTAGCAAACTGAATAGGGACAGATCAATAAAAAGTTATTATATGGTAAGACTAAAACAATGATCAGTTGTTCTTCAATTCCTCACCAAAATGCCGCTTTCAAGGGACATCACAGAAACTGAATCCCTAAAGATAAATATCAGTCCTAATGAAAACAAAATACTGGTTCTATATATTATAAGACACTTGAAATTTCTTCCAGTCTACAATTCTAGCTCCTACCTTTAGGCAACTAATCTTAACTGACCTTTGAACAAGTAGGTAATACCAAGTATTATCAAGCAGAGGGTGAGGTAAGGGGTGCGGATTAAGAGCACTAGTGGCCAAATCATATTTAAAATACAGTATTGTGTTGTTTTTGAGGTCCTATTTCAGAAGAATATTGAAAAACAAAATAGTATTCAGAAGAAATCAATAAGGCATTAGGAATATAGAAACCCAAAAAAGAAAAATGATAACTATAATCAAATACTTGAAGTGCTCTCAGATGCTATCTTATTTTTTATTACCTGAGAGGGCAAAATTAAGACCAATGGATAAAAGTTATAGGGAGGAAGATTTTTGACTCAACATGTTGAAAAAATAGTTGCAATAATTTCAAGTCTTCTAAAAATAAAATGATCAGTCTGAAAAAGTAATGAGTTGTCCAATAGTGGAGGTGTTGTGGCAGGAATTAGATGGCCACATATGGAGATAATATAAAAAGAATTGGGGGGTCCATTCCAAGATGGCTGAATAGGAACAGCTCCGGTCTGCAGCTCCCAGCGTGATCGACGCAGAAGACAGGTAGATTTCTGCATTTCCAACTGAGCTACCTGTCATCTCCTTGGGACTGGCTGGACAGTGGGTGCAGCCTACGGAGGGTGAACCGAAGCAGGGTGGGGCATCGCCTCACCCAGGAAGTGCAAGCAGTCGGGGGATTTCCCTTTCCTAGCCAAGGGAAGCCATGACAGATGGTACCTGGAAAATCGGGACACTCCCGCCCTAATACTGCGCTTTTCCAACAGTCTTAGCAAATGGCACACCAAGAGATTATACCCCGCACCTGGCTTGGCAGGTCCCACACCCACAGAGCCTTGCTCACTGCTAGCGCAGCAGTCCGAGATTAAACTGCGAGGCAGCAGCCTGGCTGGAGGAGGGGCGTCCGCCATTCCTGAGGCTTCAGTAGGTAAACAAAGTGTCTAGGAAGCTCGAACTGGGTGGAGCCCACTGCAGCTCAACGAGGCCTGTCTGCCTCTGTAGACTCCACCTCCAGGGTCAGGGCATAGCTGAACAAAAGGCAGCAGAAACTTCTGCAGACTTAAACGTCCCTGTCTGACAGCTCTGAAGAGAGCAGTGGTTCTCCCAGCATGAAGTTTGAGCTCTGAGAACGGACATACTGCCTCCTCAAGTGGGTTCCTGACCCTCCTGTAGCCTAACTGGGAGACACCTCCCAGTAGGGACCGACTGACACCTCACACAGCCAGGTGCCCTCTGAGACGAAGCTTCCAGAGGAAGGATCAGGCAGCAATATTTGCTGTTCTGCAATATTTGCTGTTCTGCAGCCTCCACTGGTGATACCCAGGCAAACAGGATCTGGAGTGGACCTCCAGCAAACTCCAACAGACCTGCAGCTGAGGGACCTGACTGTTAGAAGGAAAACTAACAAACAGAAAGGAATAGCATCAACATCAACAAAAAGGACATCCACACCAAAACTCCATCTGTAGGTCACCATCATCAAAGACCAAAGGTAAATAAAACCACAAAGATGGGGAGAAACCAGAGCAGAAAAGCTGAAAATTCTAAAAACCAGAGCACTTCTTCTCCTCCAAAGGATCACAGCTCCTCGCCAGCAACGGAACAAAGCTGGATGGAGAATGACTTTGACTAGTTGGCAGAAGTAGGCTTCAGAAGGTCAATAATGACAAACTTCTCCGAGCTAAAGGAGGATGTTTGAACCCATCGCAAGGAAGCTAAAACCCTTGAAAAAAGATTAGACGAATGGCTAACTAGAATAAACAGTGTAGAGAAGATCTTAAATGACCTGATGGAGCTGAAAACCATGCACGAGAACTACGTGACGAATGCACAAGCTTCAGTAGCCAATTTGATCAAGTGGAAGAAAGGGTATCAGTGACTGAAGATCAAATTAATGAAATGAAGTGAGAAGTTTAGAGAAAAAAGAATAAAAAGAAATGAACAAAGCCTCCAAGAAATATGGGACTATGTGAAAAGACCAAATCTATGTTTGATTGGTGTACCTGAAAGTGACAGCGAGAATGGAACCAAGTTGGAAAACAGTCGTCAAGATATTATCCAGGAGAACTTCCCCAACCTAGCAAGGCAGGTCAACCTTTAAATTCAGGAAATACAGAAAACACCACAAAGATACTCCTCGAGAAGAGCAACCCCAAAACACATAATTGTCAGATTCACCAAGGTTGAAATGAAGGAAAAAATGTTAAGGTCAGCCAGAGAAGGTCGGGTTACCCACAAAGGGAAGCCCATCAGACTAACAGCGGATCTCTCGGCAGAAACTCTACAAGCCAGAAGAGAGTGGGGGCCAATATTCAACATTCTTATAGAAAAGAATTTTCAACCCGGAATTTCATATCCAGCCAAACTAAGCTTCAAAAGTGAAGAAATAAAATCCTTTACAGAGAAGCAAATGCTGAGAGATTTTCTCCCCACCAGGCCTGCCTTACAAGAGCTCCTGAAGGAAGCACTAAACATGGAAAGGAACAACCAGTACCAGCCACTGCAAAAACATGCCAAATTGTAAAGACCATCGATGCTAGGAAGAAACTGCATCAACTAATGGGAAAAATAACCAGCTAACATTATAATGACAGGACCAAATTCACACATAACAATATTAACCTTAAATGTAAATGGGCTAAATGCCCCAATTAAAAGACACAGACTGGCAAATTGAATAAAGAGTCAAGACCATCAGTGTGCTATATTCAGGAGACCCATCACACGTGCAGAGGCACATATAGCCTCAAAATAAAGGGATGGAGGAAGATCTACCAAGCAAATGGAAAACAAACAAAAAAAAAAAGCAGGGGTTGCAATCCTAGTCTCTGATAAAACAGACTTTAAACCAATAAAGATCAAGAGACAAGGCCATTACATAACGGTAAAAGGATCAATTCAACAAGAAGAGCTAACTATCCTAAATGTATATACACCCAATACAGGAGCACCCAGATTCATAAAGCAATTCCTTAGAGACCTACAAAGAGACTTAGACTCCCACACAATAATAATGGGAGACTTTAACACCCCACTGTCAATATTAGACAGATCAACGAGAGAGAAGGTTAACAAGGATATACAGGACTTGAACTCAGCTCTGCAACAAGTGGACCTAATAGACACCTACAGAACTCTCCACCCCAAATCAACAGAATATACATTCTTCTCAGCACCACATCGCACTTATTCCAAAATTGACCATATAGTTGGAAGTAAAGCACTCCTCAGCAAATGTAAAAGAACAGAAATCACAACAGACTGTCTCTCAGATGACAGTGCAATCAAATTAGAACTCAGGATTAAGAAACTCACTCAAAACCACACAACTACATGGAAACTGGACAACCTGCTCCTGAATGACTACTGGGTAAATAACAAAATGAAGGCAGAAATAAAGATATTCTTTGAAACCAATGAGAACAGAGACACAACATACCAGAATCTCTCGGACACATTTAAAGCAGTGTGTAGAGGGAAATTTATAGCACTAAATGCCCACAAGAAAAAGCAGGAAAGATCTAAAATCGTCACCCTAACATCACAATTAAAAGAACTAGAGAAGCAAGAGAAAACAAATTCAAAAGCTAGCAGAAGGCAAGAAATAACTAAGATCAGAGTAGAACTGAAGGAGATAGAGACACAAAAACCCTTCAAAGAATCAATGAATCCAGGAGCTGGTTTTTTGAAAAGATCAACAAAATTGATAGACCGCTAGCAAGATTAATAAAGAAGAAAAGAGAGAAGAATCAAATAGACACAATAAAAAATGATAAAGGGGATATCACCACCAATCCCACAGAAATGCAAACTACCATCAGAGAATACTACAAACACCTCTACGTAAATAAACTAGAAAATCTAGAAGAAATGGATAAATTCCTCCACACATACACCCTCCCAAGACTAAACCAGGAAGAAGTTGAATCCTTGCACAGACCAATAACAGGCTCTGAAATTGAGGCAATAATTAATAGCCTACCAACCAAAAAAAGTCCAAGACCAGATGGATTCACAGCCAAATTCTACCAAAGGTACAAAGAGGAGCTGGTACCATTCCTTCTGAAACTATTCCAATCAATAGAAAAAGAGGGAATCCTCCCTAACTCATTTTATGAGGCCAGCATCATCCTGATACCAAAGCCTGGCAGAGACACAACAAAAAAAGAGAATTTTAGACCAATATCCCTGATGAACATCGATGCAAAAATCTTCAATAAAATACTGGCAAACTGAATCCAGCAGCACATCAAAAAGCTTATCCACCAAGATCAAGTTGGCTTCATCCCTGGGATGCAAGGCTGGTTCAACAAATGCAAATCAATAAACGTACGCCATCACATAAACAGAACCAAAGACAAAAACCACATGATTATCTCAATAGATGCAGAAAAGGCCTTTGACAAAATTCAACAGCCCTTCATGCTAAAAACTCTCAATAAACTAGGTATTGATGGGGCATATCTCAAAATAATAAGAGCTATTTATGACAAACCTACAGCCAATATCATACTGAATGGGCAAAAACTGGAAGCATTCCCTTTGAAAACTGGCACAAGACAGCGATGCCCTCTCTCACCACTCCTACTCAACACAGTGTTAGAAGTTCTGACCAGGGGAATCAGGCAAGAGAAAGACATAAAGGGTATTCAATTAAGAAAAGAGGAAGTCAAATTGTCCCTGTTTGCAGATGACATGATTGTATATTTAGAAAACCCCATCGACTCAGCCCAAAATCTCCTAAGCTCATAAGCAACTTCAGCAAAGTCTCAGGATACAAAATCAATGTGCAAAAATCACAAGTATTCCGACACACCAATAACAGACAAACAGCCAAATCATGAGTGAACTCCCATTCACAACTGCTTCAAAGAGAATAAAATACCTAGGAATCCAACTTACATGAAGGGATGTGAAGGACCTCTTCAAGGAGAACTACAAACCACTGCTCAACTAAATAAAAGAGGACACAAACAAATGGAAGAACATTCCATGCTCATGGACAGGAAGAATCAATATCGTGAAAATGGCCATACTGCCCAAGGTAATTTATAGATTCAGTGCTATCCCCATCAAGCTACCACTGACTTTCTTCACAGAACTGGAAAAAACTACTTTAAAGTTCATATGGAACCAAAAAAGAGCCCGCATTGCCACGACAATCCTAAACAAAAAGAACAAAGTTGGAGGCATCACGCTACCTGACTTCAAACTATATTACAAGGTTACAGTAACCAAAACAGCATGGTACTGGTACCAAAACAGATATATAGACAAATGGAACAGAACAGAGGCCTCAGAAATAACACCACACATCTACAACCATCTGATCTTTGACAAATCTGACAAAAGCAAGAAATGGGGAAAGGATTCCCTATTAATAAATGGTGCTGGGAAAACTGGCTAGCCATATGTAGAAAGCTGAAACTGGATCCCTTCCTTACACCTTATACAAAAGTTAATTCAAGATGGATTAAAGACTTAAATGTTAGACCTAAAACCATAAAAACTCTAGATGAAAACCTAGGCAATACCATTCAGGACACAGGCATGGGCAAGGACTTCATGACTAAAACACCAAAAGCAATGGCAACAGAAGCCAAAATTGACAAATGGGATCTAATTAAACTAAAGAGCTTCTGCACAGCAAAAGAAACTACCATCAGAGTGAACAGGCAACCTACAGAATGGGAAAAAATTTTTGCAATCTACACATTTGACAAAGGGGTAATATCCAGAATCTACAAAGAACTTACACAAATTTACAAGAAAAAATCAAACAATCCCATCAAAAAGTGGGCAAAGGATATGAACAGACACTTCTCAAAAGAAGACACTTATGCAGCCAACAGACACATGAAAAAATGCTCATCATCACTGGCCATCAGAGAAATGTAAATCAAAACCACAATGAGATACCATCTCACACCAGTTAGAATGGCAATCATTAAAAAGTCAGGAAACAACAGGTGCTGGAGAGGATGTGGAGAAATAGGAACACTTTTACACTGTTGGTGGGACTGTAAATTAGTTCAACCATTGTGGAAGACAGTGTGGCGATTCCTCAAGGATCTAGAACTAGAAATACCATTTGACCCAGCCATCTCATTACTTGGTATATACCCAAAGGATTATAAATCATGCTACTATAAAGACACATGTGTTTATTGCAGCACTATTCACAATAGCAAAGGCTTGGAACCAACCCAAATGTCCATCAGTGATAGACTGGATTAAGAAAATGTGGCACATATACACCATGAAATACTATGCAGCCATAAAAAAGGATGAGTTCATGTCCTTTGTAGGGACATGGATGAAGCTGGAAACCATAATTCTAAGCAAACTATCTCAAGGACAGAAAACCAAACACCGCATGTTCTCACTCATAGGTCGGAATTGAACAATGAGAACACTTGGACACAGGGTTGGGAACATCACACACCAGGGCCTGTCGTGGCATGGTGGGAAGCGGGGAGGGATAGCATTAGGAGAAATACCTCATGTAAATGACAAGTTAATGGATGCAGCACACCAACATGGCACATGTATACATATGTAACAAACCTGCACGTTGTGCACATGCACCCTAGAATTTAAAGTATAATAAAAAAAAAAAAAGAACTGAATTCCTTGGACAGAGAAAGATAGGACCAGATAATATTCTTTTTTAACATTTAATTAAAAATATAAATAAATTCAAACCTATGGAAAACTTCAAACATATACAGAAGTAATCAGAACACTATAATGAACCACCATGGACAGATATGGATACCTCACTTTAGCACTATCAACTCCTAGCCAATCTTGCTTCATCCGTAACTCCCTACTTTACCTCATTCTTTTATTATTTAAGTATATTCCAGACATCAAATACTTTCATGTATAAATGTTTCAACATGTCAGATGAATGTTTGAAACTCTTCCAACTCCAAGATCACATGTTTCTATAACACCAACACGAGAAAACTGAGACGTGTACTAACATTCAGAAAGTGAATTATGTGTACCATTTACCCAACCAGTTCTAGATAAACTAAGGGAGTTCGTGCCTGAACTGTCTCATTGTCTAGTTTCACGGTGACATCTAGTGGATAAAAACTGCAACAGAAGTGGTAAGATCAGAAAGCATCTATTGTCATGGAGTCATATGGACAAAGTTTACAGGCTCAAAATAGTTAAGTCACTGAGCATTCTTCAGTAGTTCATGTCCTTTTAAAAAAAAAAGTGTGGGGGTATTATAAAAACTTTAAAAAATCTTGTGACATTTAAGGTTTTTCATAACCTGATTTCCTCCTCCTTATCCAACCCCATTTTTGGTTATTCTCCATTATAAACTACCAATTAGAAAGGTTCCATTACTTATTCCCAAATACACCTGGCTCATTGGAGATTCTAGGCTTTTTTTTTGTTTGGGTGGTTTTTAAGAAAAAATTATCTCGGCCAGGTGTGGTGGCTCACACCTGTAATCCCAGCACTTTGGGAGGCCAAGGCAGGCGGATCCCTTGAGCTCAGGAATTTGATACCAGCCTGGCCAACATGGTGAAACCCCATCTCTACTAAAAATACAAAAATTAGCCAGTCATGGTGGCAGGCACCTACCCCAGCTACTCAGGAGGCTGAGGCAGGAGAATCAGGAGATTCTCTTGAACTCAGGAGGAGGAGGTTGCAGTGAGCCAGGACTGCACCACTGCACTACAGCATGGGCAACAGAGTGAGACTCCGTCTCTAAGAAAAACAAATTCTCTTGAATTTACCAATACAAAATGTGTAGTTCAAGTCTATCTCTCCCATGAATTCTTCCCCTACTGTTTCCTTAAAAATTTCTGAACTCCCATAGCACAACTTTATTGCAAAACACAGAAAATCTCTCTATATTATTATCTGATACAATGAGTGGTCTATTAGTTTTGTATTTCTACCTGAAAATATAAACCCATGGAAGGTCCTATTTTACATTTCCTTAGTATCGCTACAATCCATAACAAACAGCATAGGCAAATACTGCTGACTGATGAGTTCTATTTTTGTATTAAACAGATGAAGTAAAATCCTCACTACAGTGGGACTAACAGCTACAAGCACCACGAAAGCAAGGACTGTGTCTGTCTTAAGTCAATGTTCTATTCCTTGTACTTTATGCAGTGCCTGGCTCAATAAATATTTGCTAAACAAATAAAAATGATTATTACAAACTGAACAATGACAAGAAAGAGTCAAATAGTTGTGGACAAAGAAAAAAATTTTAATAGTAGTTCAACATGATAATGTGTGCTTCTAAACTTTTCCTATTTATACTAATAGCACAATTAAATTTTGACCAAGTATGTTAAGCAGTAATACAGCTTTTATTTTCACATACTCATAATTTTCCATATTTTCTCTCTTCCTCTCATTATTTCTAGTAATACATTTTAAATAAGATGAAGAACAATTACTGAAGCAGAGTTGAAGACTGTATCAACTGGACAAAAGCTCAGGTATACTAAGGTGGGGGCTAAATGGACAGAGTCAAGCAATGTGAATGGATGAAATCTACTCACAGTGGTTAATTTTTAAATATTAGGTATATAAAATGAGTCATTAAATAAAAATTACATTTTTCCAAAAACTCTGGATATGTTACGAATTTACTATGTATTATTCTTTAACCTACAACTATAGATTCATTTATTGTGATAATCAGATTAAAAAACAAAAATAAGAAAAATGAGACAAAGATAAATAATAAATGAAATGCCACCTATGTATACTGAACTTCTTTGCAACGAAGGTAAGAATTATTTCTCTCTGTAAATTACAAACTAATAGTAGCTTGCCTAGAATATAATTTCAATATAACTTGGAAAATCCATGTTCTTGACCTAAAGTGCTTTCTAATAGGTTTTGAATTCTAGCACTTTGGCACTTTTCTTTTTTTTTTTTTTTTTTTTTTTTTTTTTTGAGACGGAGTCTCGCTGTCGCCCAGGCTGGAGTGCAGTGGCGCAATCTCGGCTCACTGCAGGCTCCGCGGCACTTTTCTTTAGATAATTTTAGAGTATCTTACCAAACACAAATGAATTTAAATTTAAAATTTTTAAAAAGCATTATCCCACTATTCCCCACTTTACAAAGCTAAAAAAAAAAAAAAAGGGGGATGATTATCAAAAGTGAAGCTGAGTGTGATAACTCTTAATCCCTACCTCATACCCTAGATGTCATATTTATAGTTTAGGGGATAGGGAAAATATCATAGACATAAAATAAAAAGAACAGGTACTTACAGCCTGGGCTTGTTGTTGGAATAATTCGTTCTGATTCTCTTCATCCTCTATTCCATCCCCAGGCATCAGGGAAGGAGGTAACCTAGAACTTCCAATAGCAACATTCAAATTGTTTGGAAAAACACTTGTCCTTTTGGAAGTTAAGTGTGTTGCTGAAGACTGCATGGCTATGGAGCCTTCTTTTTGTGCCTACACGAAAGAAGAAAGGGGGATAGTAACATTCTACCCCAATCCAGAGCAATCAAATAATGCCTCTAAAGCAGTTCAGAAGATTTTAAATTGGGGTGGGGGGCAGGGGAGAGGCTTTAGCTGGCAGAGAAACTAACATTTACCAGGCACCTCCCATGTGCTAATAATTTAGGTTATCTCATCTAACTCTCACACAATCCTATGAGAGAAGTATCATATCCTTATTTTATGGATGAAGAAACTACAATCAGTGAAGTTAAGTAATTAGCCAAAAGTCAATAGCTAGAAGTAGCAAAGCCAAAATTCAAACTCAAGTCTGAACCCAAAATTCTGACATTGCTTTTAACTACTTGGTAAAAGCAAAAAATTGAGTCAGAACACAGGAATAAAACATGGTTTCTCTACAAAAAAAATTTACTGTCTTCACTAGTTAATTAGATTATATTAGGCATGTAATCAAAGGAAAGCAATTCTGTTACTGCCTAATAGCTTATCTCATAACACACATATTTTCCATTCAATCTTTACTCAGGCTCACTTTTGAACTTACTCTTTCATAAGACTTCTGAAGCTGTTGCTTTTTTCTCAACCTAATTTGTTGATTTACTCGGTATTTAACTTGTTTCTGAAAATGTTTCAAAGCTTCTTGTTTTTTTCTTAGCTGTTCCTTTAGTTCTTCTTCAATTAAATATGCTGATGTCTTTAAAGATGAAAGACAGAAAATGAACTTAAATGTTAGCAGTTTTGTCCATTAGGGCTGTTTTAAACACAAAACAGTCAGGATAAGGATACAATCCTGAAAAAAATAATTCCATTCTGTACAAAAAAAAATGGAATGTATGAGTATCAAATCTTAAATTTTTTATTGAATTAGAACTAACGATGTCTTCATTAAATCTTAATGAACCAAATAAAACCTAACACGTTACACATTTTCTAAAATGGAGTAAATAGTCAAGACACACCAGGTTACTTACCACTCACCAAATATGTCCTATTGTTAAAATGTCTTCATATTTGGCATTATGCTCCATTTTTAACCTGGCATGCCCTTCCTTTCATCTCCACCTAGTAAAGGCCTATTCAGTTTTCACAACCATTTAATACCCACTCCCCAGTACCTTCCACAACACTCTCTCTCTAAGCCCTCTTATGCTATAACACCTCTCATTTCACCAATGTTAACTGAGTATAGTACTTCTTGACTCCCCTACTAGATTATGAACTCTTTGAGGACAGGATATGTATTCAATTCTCCTTTATTTCCCCTACGGCATCTAGTACAGAGCCTTCACTATAAGGGTAGTCAATATATATTTATATAATTGCTCAATTCCAAAACATATTCTAAACCAGGGGTGTCCAATATTTTGGCTTCCCTGGGCCATGTTGGAAGAACTGTCACATAAAATACATTAACACTAGTAGCTGATGAGAAAAAAAAAAATCACAAAAAAACTCATAGTGTTAATTAAGAAAATTTATTAATTTACATTGGGTCGCATTCAAAGCCATCCTGGGCCACATGTGGCCCATGGCCGCATGTTGGACAAGCTTGTTCTGAACAATCTGGAACACTTTATCCCATTTGAGTTCTTGATCTGCATTTATCTCCTCTAAGTGCTTTGAATAATAATCATAGTCATCATCATAACAGCACTTATCATTATTATGGATCTATCAGGTGACAAGTATTTTAACTACTTTGTAGCACTCTATCCTCAAAACCACCTTTGGCAGTAGGTATTCTTATCCCTTATGTTACAGATGAGGAAGCTGGAGTTCAGAAAGATTAAGTAATTTTAATATAGCTAACTAGTAGCAGAATTAGAAGTTTCTGACTCCAACAATTATGTTCCTCTCTACACTGCTTTTCTCTTGACTATGTCTCTCTTTCACTAGGAATTTTCAAATTAAATAAAATCATCATCATATCTCGTACCTATTCCTTCTAACTCAGTGATTCCAACTTCTAATTCTGAAGGGTACCTCAGATCATTTTACAGGCTGTCATTAAATTCTCAAAATCAAATGCATTCAAATTTCAATTTAAGTTAAAATTTCCAAGATGTCTATCCCATAAACTACTCTAGTGGAGTGTACAAGTGTCAAAGAACAATTAGGTAAAATAATTCCAACGGAGAGATATATACGTAATGAAGCCTGAACAACTGACCCAGCTTAACTCAAGCCCCAGACAAGTTTAAGCCATTCGGCCTCTTTCTTTTACCTCCATTTTCTCTGCTCCTCTTTTACTCCACAAGATTACAAGCCAGGTCATAAAGAAACTTCCACCTCTGTTCTTAGAGTGCTCATTCTGAAGGAAGTCAGCACCATATAAAAATTCAGACTACCCTGAGATTACCATGCTGTGAGGAAGCCCAAGTTAGTCAAACAGAGAAGCCATGTGAAAAGAGAAACATATCTAACCAGCACCCAGACATTCTAGTCATCCTAGGCCAAGCGTCAGATATGTGAATAAGAAAGCCATCTTGGACATTACAGCCCAGCAGGTGCCACATTACTGGGAGAACTTGACTATTGTCTAGCTCCAGCCAATAGCCGGAAAATAGTCAAGGTGTCTCAGACATGTCCAGTTATTTGAGCCCCAGCTGAGGTCCCAGACACTATGGGGCAGAAACAAGCCATTACCACTGTACCCTGCTCAAATTCCTGTTACATAGTATTATTTGCTTTATACCACTAAGTTCTGGGGTGGTTGGTTACACAGCAAAAGGTAACCAGAACAAATTATAAAATAATGCAATCCCATATATGATGATAGAACAGCAGTGTCTTTTGATGCTAATTTATTAATAATTATTGGGGGGAGGTAGTCTAAAGCTATGACATTTTTAGGAATCCTGATGGCCCCCTGAAATTTTGGGGAGAAAAATGAGTAGAAGTTCCCCTTTAGAACAGACATGATCTAAGGGCCAAGCTTTAGAAGTAACTATTCAGCATTTATTTTGAGCTGACAGAGCTATATCCGTTAATAAGGGTGGATACCCAGACTAGATATGCTAAAGCTATAAGGAGTTCTATTAGATGCTTGATCAAACTCCCTTTGGCTGGAACTGATCAGAAATTTTTAAATCAGGAAAAGGAGATATGTTTATCCATGTTCCAAGACTTTAATATTTTGAGTTAATGTGTGTGAATACGATAGTCAATACTTCTTAACATAGAAAAAGTTTGATGGTGTCAAATTTTAGGCATGTTGACACTACTGATATTATACAGATGTAATTTGAGCAATTACAAAGAGGTGTCAACAACTTAAATACCAAAATATCTTTATACCAAATCTTACCAAGTCTTGTGGGGTGTTTCCTGCATTCATCCCTTCTCATTCCACTCCTTTTTTTTTTCCAGAGATGGGGTCTCACTCTATTGCCCAGGCTAGAGTGCAGTAGTATGATCATAGTTCACTGCAGCCTACAATTCGTGGGCTCAAGCACTTCAATCATCCTTTTTCAAGGCTGTTCTTCTCTATTTCTTACCACTAACAAAGTTTCGATGCTATACTCCATGCTTAAATTATTATAATTATATTCTAATTTATCCCCAGGATCCAATCACTCCCTATCCTTCAAAACCTTTGAAGCAATTCATCTAAAGAAAACACTGGTTGATCATGACATTCACCTGTAAATATTAAACAAAGTCAATCCCTTCTCCAAAATTTCCTAAGGTACTCTACCATCCCTATTTTCCATAATCCTGTCAGCAACCATTCTCCTACTAAGCTTTCCACTCCAATCGATCTAATCTACCCTTAGAATCCTGAACCTTGCTTACTTCTTACTCTCCTCATTCTCCTTAATAGGAGAATCATTCCCTTCCCTTCTCCGATCAAATTCTTCATTACACTTTCCTGGGTCACATCAACCCAACGTCATAGCTTCTTGATTGAGCATTATATTCTTAGAACTTAGATAGAGATACCACCTAGACTCTTAAAATCCTTTTTGGAAATAGGCAGGGTAGGAATAAATCAATGAATATACATACATATGTGCAAACATAAATAAAATGAATATAGTATATTGCATTACTTTAACATTTAAACACATCTCATTTCTCTTCTGAGATCAAGTACACTGAGGGAACATATCTCATCCTTTTTTCATCCATGTTCAGCACCTTGTCTACACATACAGAAGACATTTTGTGCCTTTCATAAATACTTCATGAGTGTCTATATTGATTAGGCAGTATTTAAGATAAAAGTGGGAATGTGATGATAAATGACATTTGTTCTCTACGCTCAAGGAGCTCACACTGCATCAGGAAAAGATATATAAACAATCTACTATAACACAATGTGGTAAGTGCCAAGTTAAATTTGAACAAATAGCTAAGGGGCACAGTTTGGTGAAAGACTATCAGAAACCATGGAATTTCTAGTTAGACTTTCTCAGATTATCAGAGTTCATCTCTTTCTCCTTTATTCTATTACTCCATTTTGCCTGAATCCTCATTACAAAATTTATCATAAACCTTAAGCAACCAATTAATGTTACTTGAAGTATGCCAACTATCATCCATACTAAGTTGCAGTGTCTGGAAGATGTAGATAGTGCTTATGTCTTGGGCATAACAAGCAATCAAGAGTCTGAAGTAAACTGATATACAGATATATATCTATATAACCTGTTCCATGTAGATTATGCTCTATATATTATAGTAGGTGAGTAATAAATATTTGATTATGCCAACTAAAGCTGCAGTCAAGTTTTGGCAAATACTTGTTCTATAATCCTAATGCAAGAGCATAAACTATTTATGGCAGAATAGAAACAGCATCCTCGGACTGTTCATCTTTAAGCACCCAGGATTAGAGAAGGCTAATAAAAAGGGTGGTGGGGAACCCCACCATATTTGGATCAAACTGACACTCACATATGCTGGGATTTCCGAACTACCTGGTGAGGCAGGTTCCACCCATGCCCCAACTGGTACTATAGCCTCGTTCCTCTCAGCCAGCACTGCCAACACGTCCTTGCTCTTCAGGGGGTTTAAAGCCAGGGGCAACCTTGAGGTATTTCGAGGTTTCTTTCGGGCCATACTTCCCAGCATCTGTGACTCCTGATTAGGAGAAAGAAAAAGCTTAAAATCTTCAAATGACTGCATTAAAAGTTCAACCTCCTAACACATGAGCCACAGGCCCGTGAAAAGGAGAGAAGCCCTGGAGGCAGAAGCCTGGCATGAAGTGGAAACACACGGATTCTAGAGAAAAAGGAAGAAAAGAAGGGAAGAGAAATGGGAAGAAATAAAGAGGCAAAGAAAGGTTTTTAAGTTGCCTTCTAGAAGAAATGGCGATGAGAGGGAAGAGAAAGGATGGGAATGAGAGAACGAAGACTGTCCTCAGCTGTGGGCGCAGCGAGGCGGGAAGGGAGGAATGACAGCTGCAACCCGGAGAAAGAGGGAGGGGCGGGGACCTGTGTCTGCAGCCGAGAGTCCCAATAATCGGTATAGGTTATGGGAAGACGCGCTGAACGGCTGGGAGCCTCGGGCCAGATAAAAGCCTGCTTCTGAGGCCCCGAGGCCTGCTCCGGCTGAGATGGCACTGGCCAGGAATCGGCCCGCAGCTCGCCACAGACTCAGTCTACTCGGAGTACTAAGGTAACCGCCTCAAGTAGACCGCCACTTTGCGGTGGGCTGCTCCGTCCCGCCCATCCGTAGCCTTATGCCCGCCCTTTCCGGAGCCCGCGTCCCCTCCCGGAGCTGGGAAGGCGTGAGAGGTGGAGTTTCGAGCGCCCGAGGTATCGTCATTTCCTCTTCCTGTCCGGCTGAGGGGGCGGGGACGTGTGGGTAAGCGGAGTCGCTGGGTAATGCGCCATGTGAGGCGCGGTGGGACTGTCGTTCCTGGACCAACGCCGAGACTTCCTAAATCCCTCCGGAAAGGGATGCGTTGGGCCTGTGATCTGGCGACTAGGAGGGTCAGGAGTCCCAGTAGAGGGAATCACGGGAAAAGAATGAAAGAGGGAGGCGAGCCTGGCACGGCTTCCTGGAGAAACAAACTAAGCTAACAAATTTTTCGGATCCTTTGTGCAGCTAATTTTACAGTACTGTTTCATACATCTTATTATATTTGGACATCACGGCCTGTTGAGTGGTCTCCCTCTCTGCTGCAAGCTCTGCTGTAATCCAGAGACACTCAATTATCTCTGTAGGATAATTTATTCATTCGATTAACATACATTACTACTAACTTTTTATAAACCAGTACTGTTCCAAGCACCGGAGATACATAGCTATGAACGAAACAAATATCCCTGCTCAGGGAATTCACAATAGAGTGAGGGGAAATAAGCGAATAAACAATGAGTAAGTAAATGTGTGTGATGTGGAGTAAAAGCAAAGAAAGCGGATAGGGAGTGTGGTGGGCAGGGTGGGGATTGGAGGGATGAAATATTAGAACGTCCAGAGAAGCTGCACTGAGATACTTTTCAGCAAAGACTTAAATGAGTTAATGGAAGAAGCCACTGTGCTCTTCAACGGAGGCTTTATAAACATGTTCCAGATATAACAGCAAGTATAAACGCCCCAAGGTGGAAGCATTGCCTGGTTGAGAAAAAGTCAGGAGGATAGTGTGACTGGAGCAGAGGGAGAGTGGAAGAATGCTGAGACAGTAGGTCAAGCAGGCAATCCGATCAAACATCGTAAGCCACCATAGGTGTTGAGATGGGGAGCCACTGGAGCAAGGTTTGGAGCAAAGGAACACCATAATGTGACAAAATTAAAAAAATAATAATTCCGAATGCTGTAGTGAGAATAGACTGTAAAGAAGACCAATTAGGTGGCTATTGCAATAATTCAGTTAAGGGATTGTGATGTCTTGGATCAAGGAGGTAGTGGTGGAGATGATGATAAGTGGTTGGATTCTGTATCTATTTGGGAGGCAAAACTTTCAGGATCTGTTGAAGGTTTGGATATGGATTGTGTGAGGGAGAGATGTCAAGGAAAACTAGGGGTTTCATCCTGAGCAGCTGTCAGGATGAAATTACTATTTACTGAGATAGTGAAGATGGTGGAAGGAGTAGATTTGGAAAGGGGAAGATCAGGAGTTCAGTTTGGGGCAGATAAAGTTTTATCTAATCAACATCCGAGAAGATAGTATGAGAAAAAGTGTCTGGAGCTCAGAGAAGGGTTCTGGGCTACAAATATAAATCTAAGAGTCGTTAGCCTGTAGATTTAAAGCCATGAGACTGGATGGAGTCATCAAGGGGTTGAATATAGACAGATAAAAGAATAAATCCTAAAACAGCCCCAGGGTATGTCAGTATTACAGAGGCTGAGAAAAAGAGGAGGAGAATGCTAAGAGATTGAGAAGGATTAATCAGTAAACCAAGGAAGAAAACTATGAGGGTGTGATACCTTGAAAGCCAGGTGAAAAAGAAATGTTCCATTGAGGGCAGACAATCTGTGTTAAATCCTACTGACAGATCAAATAAGGTAAGGACTGAAAATTGACTATTGGATTTGACCATGTGGAAGTGATTGATAACTTTTAAAAGAGCAGTGTCTTTAGAGTAGTTGGAGAGCAAAAGCCTGATGGGCTAGGCAAGAAAGAGTAGGAGAAGGAATTGGAGACAGCAATTTTAGACAATTCTTTCCATGAATTTTGTTGTGAAGGGACACAGCGAAAGAGGTGGCTGAACGTAGAGGTAGGATCATTGGAGAGTTCTTTAAGATCATAGCATATATTTGTTATTGATGGAAATTAACCAATAGACAGGAGAAAACTAATGATGCGGGAGAGATATGGGAGAATTTAGGGATCTACAGTCATGTGTCACTTAAAGATGGGGATACATTTTGATAAATGTTAGGTGATTTTGTCTTTGTGCAAACCTCATAGAGGAAATGGAATTTAGTGAACAAGTGGAGGGATTGGCCTTAGATAGCAGGAGGTATGGTTAATTATAATAATAGCAGAAAAGTTAGAATACACAGTAAACTGATAATTAGGTAATGTGGTGGCAGGAGCTTATGGAAATTCTCTTCTGATTACTCTGTTTTCTCTGTAAAATAGTATTGTAGCCAACCTCCAAGATGGCCCCTAATGATCCCCACCTCTTGGTGTTCACACCTTTGTGTAGTCCCCTCCCACATTGTACCTAGGTTGGACTGTATGACCAACAGAATATGGCAGAAGGGATGGTATATTACTACAGAGGTTAGGTTATAAGAGATATGCTCACATGGGCTCGCTCACTCTCTCTCCCTCCCTCCTTCCCTCCCTCCCTCCCTCTCAGATCTCTTGTTCTGAGGGAAGCCATGTACATCATTAGCAGTTCTATAAAGAGGATCACATGGCAAGAAACTGAAACATTCTGCCAGCTGCCCTGTGAAAGAACTTGGAAGTAGACCCTCCAGCCCTAATCAAGTCTTCAGAGACTGTACTCAGCCAACAATTGACTGCAACCTCATAAGAGACCCTGAGCCAGACCGCCCAACGAGAAACTGTGTGAGATAATGTTTGTTGTATTAAGATGCTAAATTTGAGGGTCATTTGTTATACAATGAGAGAAGTAGGAGGTAAGGGACTATGAAAAGTTGGTAGAGTCAAGAAGTTGTAGGTTCCTGTGGTGGTCTAAAGTTTGTTAGAACAGGATACTCAAAAGAATGTGCTAAGATAAGAGGTGGTCTGAGAGTAGGCTGCTTGGAGCTGAGTGTATGCAGAGGTTGTGGTTATTGGTGCTGTCAAAGTCTATGGTATGACCAAAGGAGGGAAAGCTAAGGTGGGTTAAAGAACAAGATCACTGGAGAAGAGGTCATAGAAACCAAACACCAGAGCATTGATTGGATGATCCATGAGGATACTGAAATCACCAAAAAATATAACAAGAATGATGTTGGAGAAAGCCAGAAGCAACAATCTTGAAAAGGCTTGGAGGTTGGTGGGTAAGTATAGCTTGGAAACCCAAGCATGGTATATTCTGGTGACATGAGGTTCAAAGTTGGAGGTGAGGTTAAGAAAAAGGGAGGATGTGGTTTAGCAAAAGCACTGAGTAACTGAATAGCAAGAAGGAAACCCATCCCACCTCCACCCAGAGGGGCAAGGAACAGAAAACAGCTACTATTAGGTGAGTGCAAAAGTTATTGTGGTTTTTCATTGTTGGAATTTGCCATTTGATGTTGGAATACATGCTTGAATAAATGTGGTTATGTTATACATCAGTTTAATGGGCATTTCTCACTTTTATTTTTTTGCTAATGACTTCTTGCTGTTTATGTTTATTTTAGACTATGGAAATTATGTTAGACAAAAAACAAATGCAAGCAGTTTTCTTATTCGAGTTCAAAATGGGCTGCAAAGCAGCAGAGACAACTTGCAACATCAAGAGTGCATTTGGCCCAGGAACTGCTAATGAACGTACAGTGCAGTGGTGGTTCAAGAAGTTTTGCAAAGGATGGCCAGGCGCAGCAGCTCACACCTATAATCCCAGCACTTTGGGAGGCCAAGGCATCCGGATCACTTGAAGTCAGGAGTTCGAGGCCAGCCAGGCCAACATGGTGAAACCCCATCTCTACTAAAAATAAAAAAATTAGCTGGGCATGGTGGCATGCACCTGTAATCCCAGCTACTCGGGAGGCTGAGGTGGGAGAAGCGCTTGAACCCAGGAGGCAGAGGTTGCAGTGAGCTGAGATTGTGCCACTGCACTCCAGTGACAGAACAAGACTCCGTCTCAATTTAAAAAGAAAGAAAGAAAGAAAGAAAGTTTTGCAAAGGAGCTGAGAGCCTTGAAGATGATGAGCATAGTGACCGGCCATGGGAAGTTGACAATGACCAATTGAGAGCAATCATTGAAGCTGATCCTCTTATAGCTACATGAGAAGTTGCCTAAGAACTCAATGTTGACCATTCTATCGTCACTCAGCATTTGAAGCAAATTGGAAAGGTAAAAAAGCTCGATAAGTGGATGCCTCATGAGCCAACTGAAAATAAAAAAAATATATCGTTTTGAAGTGTTGTCTTCTCTTGTTCTACACAACAATGAACCATTTCTCGATTGGATTGAGATGTGCTATGAAAAGTAGATTTTATACAACAGCTGGCAATGACCAGCTCAATGGTTGGGCCCAGAAGAAGCTCCACAGCACTTCCCAAAGCACCAAAAACAGGTCATGGTCACCGTTTGGTGGTCTGCTGCCAGTCTGATCCACTACGGCTTTCCGAATCCCAGTGAAACCATTACATCTGAGAAGTATGCTTAGCAAATCAATGAGGCACTGAAAAGTGCAACACCTGCAGCTGACAGTGGTCAACAGAAAGGACCCAATTCTTCTCCACAGCAACTACAATGCCCGACTGCATGTCGCACAACCAACCCTTCAAAAGTTGAACAAATTGATCTATGAAGTTTTGCCTCATCCACCATATTCATCTGACCTGTGGCCAACCAACTACCACTTCTTCAAGCATCTCAACAACTTTTTGCAGAGAAAACACTTCTACAACCAGCAGGATGCAGAAAATACTTTTTAAGAGTTTGGCGAATCTGGAAGCACAGCTTCTTACACTACAGGAATAAACGAACTTATTTCTCATTGGCAAAAAGGTGTTGATTGTAATGGTTCCTATTTTGATTAATAAAAATATATCTGAGCCTAGTTATAATCACTTAAAATTCATGGTCCAAAACCACAATTACTTTTTTTTTTATTATACTTTAAGTTCTGGGATACGCATGCAGAACATGCAGGTTTGTTACATAGGTATACATGTGCCATAGTGGTTTGCTGCACCCATCAACCTGTCATCAGTCTATCTTTTTTGTTAATCTTTGCAAAAAACCAGCTCCTGGATTCCTTGATTTTTTGAAGAGTTTTTCCTGTCTCTATCTCCTTCAGTTCTGCTCTTATCTTAGTTATTTCTTGTTTTCTGCTATTTGCTCTTGCTTCTGTAGCTCTTTTCATTGTGATGTTAGGGTGTCAATTTTACATCTTTCCCACTTTCTCCTGTGGGCATTTAAGTGCTATAAATTTCCCTCTAAACACGGCTTTAGCTGTGTCCCAGAGATTCTGGTACATTGTGTCTTTGTTCTCATTGGTTTCAAATAACTTATTTATTAATGTCTTAATTTCATTATTTACCCAGTAGTCATTCAGGAGCAGGTTGTTCAGTTTCCATGTAGTGCGGTTTTGAGTGAATTTCTTAATCCTGAGTTCTAATTTGATTGTACCATGGTCTGAAAGACTGTTATGATTTCCGTTCTTTTGCATTTGCTGAGGAGTGTTTTGCTTCCAATTATGTGGTCAATTTTAGAATAAGTGCGATGTGGTGCTGAGAAGAATGTATATTCTGTTGATTTGGGGTGGAGAGTTCTGTAGATGTTTGTTAGGTGTGCTTGATCCAGAGCTGAGTTCAAGTCCTGAATATCCTTGTTAATTTTCTGTCTCGTTGATCTGTCTGATATTGACAATGGAGTGTTACAGTCTCCCACTATTATTGTGTGGGAGTCTAAGTCTCTTTGTAGGTCTCTAAGAACTTGCTTTATGAATCTGGGTGCTCCTGTATTGGGTGCATATATATTTAGGATATTTAGCTCTTTTTGGTGTATTGATCCCTTTACCATTATGTAATACTCTTCTTTGTCTCTTTTGATCTTTGTTGGTTTAAAGTCTGTTTTATCAGAGACTAGGATTGCAACTCCTGCTTTTTTTTTGCTTTCCATTTGCTTGGTAAATATTCCCCTATTCCTTTATTTTGAGCCTATGTGTGTCTTTGTACATGAGATGGGTCTCCTGAGTACAGCACACTGATGGGTCTTGACTCTTTATCCAATTTGCCAGTCTGTATCTTTCAGTGGGGGCATTTAGCCCATTTATATTTAAGGTTAGTATTGTATGTGTGAATTTGATCCTGTCAAATTATGACGCTAGCTGGTTATTTTGCCCATTAGTTGATGCAGTTTCTTCACAGTGTTCATGGTCTTTACAATTTGGTATGTTTTTGCAGTGGCTGGTACCAAAACCCCAATTACTTTTGCACCAACCTAATACTTGAGAAGGCAACAGAGAGGTTGAATTGCACACCTCCATACACAGACACATACTCACACACCAACACTTGGGAAGAAGTGTTGTTAGGTATCTCCTTGCTTTCTTCAACCCACCACCTCAAGGTCTGTGCCTCCCACTAGCACCTGGGCCAGTGGTTTCATAATAATCTACATTCTTTTTTTTTTTTTGAGACAGAGTCTTGCTCTGTCACCCAGGCTGGAGTGCAGTGGTGCAATCTTGGCTCACTGCAACCTCCACCTCCCGAGTTCAAGCGATTCTCCTGCCTCAGCCTCTCCAGTAGCTGGGATTACAGGCATCTGCCACCATGCCCAGCTAATTTTTGTATTTTCAGTAGAGATGGGGTTTCACCATGTTGGCCAGGCTGGTCTTGAACTCCTGACCTCAGGTCATCTGCCTGCCTCAGCCTCCCAAAGTGCTGGGATTACAACTGTGAGCCACCACACCCAGCCAATAATCTACATTCTTGATATGTCCAGAGAATTCACATCTAAGGCCCTGTTCCCATTTTCTGACCTCTTCAGGAATGCTTATATTCTATATAACCAGAGTTGGTTTCTCAGCAAGGAAACTGTTTGCTTAGAAATGTCTACCTTCTTCAGGAACTTAAAAGAATGGATATTGCTGGCACCAAAGTGTTGAGGCCCTGCTCCAGAGCACTCCTCATCGGAGTTGGATATAATCCCTTTTCTGTGTCTGGGGGATCCCTGGACATGTCTGCACAAAGCCCCGAGTCACTGGGTCCTTGGCAGCAGTCCACCCCACACAGAACTGATTGTTTCATGAGCATGAGGGAGCAATTTGCATTTTTGGTCACTACTTTCCTATTTGTTGCTGGCTGACCCACACCTGTAACAAATTAGAAAACTTGGTCACATGTCAGTTCTCAGGGCATAGCCTAAGGAGAACATCTATAGAAGTGAGAAACCTGCCTATCTCTACTCTCAGGGGAACTGGATTTTGGGGAATGAAGCCTCAGGCAGCTGAGTCATGGCCACTTTCAGCCTGTCTCCCAAGTTTCAGCAGGGTGTTCCAAGGCTAACTGATATTCTGGGCTATTTCCTGAAAATGGACCATAGCACTGTCCTTTTTCTTCCTCCTCCTTATCCACCTCTCAAAATAACCTTTCTAACTAGGATAACTAGAGAGTCCTTCTGCTTGCCTGTGCAGACCAGGTTTCTGCAGTAGCATTTCACTGTAAATGGCACCAATAGCAGATTGCTGCAGTTAAGCCCAGTTTTCTCAATAGCATCTGCTGTACTACTTATTGCAAAAGATTCTCTAGTTTTACCATGGATGCAGAAGTCTTTTTCTCCTTACTCTTGGTGTGTGATTAAAAGAAAATTAACAGGGATTTCAGCATCTCTCTACATTACCAAGTATTCATCTAGGAAGTTGAGAGATGCACTATCCAGATCTTCCAAGGAAGGGCTTTTTGGCTGTCTACTCCCTCCACGACAGAGCGAGACTCTATCTTAGAAATAAATAAATAAATAAATAAGTCCTTCTTTCTGTTCCCTGTTGACACTGTTGAGCCTCTGAATTATCTCAATGCTACCCCATCTCTAGTCTTTCCAAATACATAAGCCAATAAAGTTCTTTATTATTAATGCCAATTTACATTAGGTTTTATATTATTTGTAACGTAGACCATAGACAAGCTCTGAGATAAGTCCATTGGTAAATATTAGAGACTAAAAGAGACGAGCAGAATGAGTCAGAGCTACCTACAAAAATTGGTTCCTGGAGCGGCCTCAAAACTGAGCCCTTCAATTCCAGATCCAGGTCTTATGTATTCCTGCAATATGCCTCTCCTCTGATGGTTGATGGTACTTCACTGGGATATCTATTCTTTGAAGCCAAAGAAGCTTGACTAAGGTAGGAGACTTTTCCTTTTTTTTTGAGACAAATTCTCACTCTGTCGCACAGGCTGGAGTGCAGTGATGCGATCTCGGCTCACTGCAACCTCTGCCTCCCAGGTTCAAGAGATTCTTCCACCTCAGCCTCCCGAGTAGCTGGGATTACAGGCATGTACCACCACACCCAGCTAATTTTTTGTATTTAGTAGAGTCAGGGTTTCGCCATGTTGGTCAGGCGAGACTTTTACTTTAAAGCTAGTTTTAGCCAAAATTATTTTATCTATCCTTGTTACTTATATTATTCACTCTATGCTTGATTTTAAAAAAAAATCTCTTGAAGTATAAAAATTGTAATCATTAAAGATACTTAAAAAATATGTTGCAGGCTCTAAAAGCAACTTTTAAAAAGGAATTTAAAAAATGTAACCCTTAAAAGGTGTAAGACATGAGGCCTTAAAAAAGAAAATAAGAGGAAAAAGTTCTGGAGAAGAGAGTGTCATGGCTGCACAGCAACGTGAATGTAGTAAATCCCACTGAAATGGACACCTTAAAAAGTTAAAATGATAAACTGTATATTTTATATATTTTACCACAATAAAAATAAATGGAAATAGATTTTATTTTAAAAAAAGCAGTAAGGCTTTCTAGATAACTATTTGGAGAAAGCCAAGTTATTCATTTGTGTGTGTTCAGCTATGATTATTTAAATTATCTACTATTAATAGTCACATTCTCTATATCCCAAATCTTTGGGGATAGCATATTACAGTGGAGAAAGGGGTTTTAGAGCTAAACTTGGGTTTATGTTCCAGTTCTGCAATTTACTATCTGTGGTCAAGTCACATTATCCAAGTCTTTATTTCTAGATATGTAACATATGTAATAACAATTGACCCTTGAGGGTTTGTTTGTGTTTTGTGAGAAGTAATGTTACATATGTAAAATATATCATGCATAATAGACTTTCAGTAAATGCTTGCTAACTTTTTTTTAGGAAGCAAGATAGAGTCATAAAACCTTAGAAGATTTTGATTTGTCTTCCCAGCATCCCTTCTCCCGCTTTTTCTAGTAATGGCCCCACCTGTGACTGTGGGGTTAAGTACATGGCCCAGCCTGGGATAGTGTTCTAGTCTCCTTGCTACAGTGATTGATCCAGAGCTGTGCATGTGACCTAAGCCATGGCCTTTTGCCAAGATTATTTTTTAACTAGTTCCATCAAGAGTCTTCTTCTCCTGCCCGCATGACAAGCTGCACTGTCCAATATGTTAACCACTAGATACATGTGTTAAGTTTAATTACAATTAAATGAAATTTATAATGTATTTCCTCAGTCCCACTAGCCACACGGGGCTAATTAATGGCTACTATATTTGACAGCACAGATATAAAATACTGTCTTATTTCCAATTATTCCTGCTCCCTGAAAAATTTTGTTACATAATGCAAGAAATTCTTCCCTTTTTGCTTCAGATAGTTCCAGTTGAACTTCAGTCACTTACAATCAAATGATCTTGACAAATCACATTCCTTAGTTTGTCGGGCCACAAACCAGATGCAGAATCTTGGAGGCCTGACTTTGGCATGGATCTTTAAACTAGACAAAGCCAAATCCTGTAAGTACTGCAACAAGGGGAAAATTGGGGGCTGTCTTCAAGACACCTCTGCTGACAACTTAGCTAGGGCCTCCTTTTAAGAAATGTGGTCCCTCCCCATATTGAATCCTGTGTATCACAAATCTATCTTCTTAGTGTCCCTGGCCTAACCTGTGGGGGCCCAGTTTCCCTTGCTTACTAAGCTTTTTTTTTTTTTTATGGTCCTGTCACCTGCCTGATCCCTTTTCTCACATCTTGTCTCAGAACTCTCCTTTTCCTACTTAGTTTTTACTTCTGGGCCTGGCTGAAGGCAACCTCTTTCAGGGGTACAGCATTATGAACACTAGACAGGAAGCACAGCTGAGTCTAAGCTGTGCCAACTTGCAAATGTGAAGGAAACCTCTTTCAGGGGTACAGCATTATGAACATTAGACAGGAAGCACAGTTGAGTCTAGGCTGTGCCAACTTGTAAAATGTGT
This sequence comes from Homo sapiens, assembly GCF_000001405.40. Classification (NCBI taxonomy): domain Eukaryota; kingdom Metazoa; phylum Chordata; class Mammalia; order Primates; family Hominidae; genus Homo; species Homo sapiens. Next base: position 124,943,851 of record NC_000011.10, on the reverse strand, counting down.
GACTTGGAGCAGGTTATTTAACCTCTCTAAGCTTCATGATCCTCCTTGAAAAATGGAAAAAAAAATCCCACTGCACAGCGTTGTTAGAAGGCTAAATAAAATAATATTCTAAAAGATAATTTGTAAAGGGCAATGCAAATGTTTTATCAATTATACTTGCTTATAGATGTAGGTGCAGCCTTCCCAGCTATAATATATTTCAGCTCCTAGACAGGGATCCAGGGATGGTGTCGTCTATTACTTTTGAATGTGCCGCCTTCCTCCTCTTCCACATCCCACCACTTTTATTAATGTTTGGAACATAGAGTGTTCTTCACACAGTAGGCAATTATCAGATGCTGGCCAGCTGATTCCCATTTCTGAGCCTCCCTCTTTGGTAGGAGGGTGAACGACGGCAGAGGGCAGCGAATCCTTCCCCTGACACGGTTGGTGGGTGGACACCATCTGAGGATCTAGGAGAAGGGAAACAGTGAAGGCTTTCATGAGTTGGGGTGTAATTTGTGGCTTCCCCATGATTTTTCAACCTGTTTGTATTTAAGCACTGAAGCTTTACAAGAACAGAACTCCAGAGATATTCTCCAGAATGTCCTTGCTGCATCTTAAATAGGTCAGCAAAAGCTGGATCTTTCCAGCCCTTTAATACCAATTAATTTCTCCTCTTTGTTCCTCTGGAGAGTGGCTGAATAGAGCACGTTTAGCAACCATGGACACAAGCCTGAGTCCCTCTCACTTTCTGAGGAGGCCGGAATTCTATTCAAAAATCAAATATTTACTCTCAGTATAAAAGACTTTGATGTTCTCCTGTTTTCAGCAGAGAAATGGGAGCCCCTCCTTGCTGCCCTTCCAAAATTTACCCAGGACCCCATGCCACTCCCAGGATCATGTATTTCTCCCAACAAACTCCACATCTTGTGGAGACACCATATCTCTGCAGAACCCTTTTCATCTGAGTAACTCTTCATGTTTACAGAAATCTGCAGCCAGCAAAACCAATTTCAGGATGAAGGAGCCTTTTGACTCCATTTCTACTTTCTATTTGATGTTTTTCTGAGGCCCCCAGAGTAGGGCCACCTAGGAGAACTTTAGAAAGAGAACGAATAGAAAAGAAAATGTTCTTGGGGAGGGCCATTCCTCACTGTCCAGGCATACAGAAAGCTTGTTTTGTTCCGAAGGGAGCTAGCTAATCTGTCTCTTATTCAGAGCTTGCTGTAGGAGCTGGGCCCTGCCTCCTCTCAACACAAAGCCTCATACAATCTCGTTGTTTCCCAGGCAATGTGCTGCAGCTCTACAAATTCTCTGGCTGGTGTTTGCCTCCTGCGTCCTCTGTCCATTAGGAGAAATCAAACTTATGGTAGAGACAACACCAGTACCATTTGCATATAGATTTATACAACAAAAAATAAAAATGAAAATAACTTCATCACTAGGCCAGGCACAGTGGCTCATACCTGTAATCCCAGCAGTTTGGGAGGCCGAGGTGGGTGGATCACGAGGTCAGGAGTTCAAGACCAGCCTGGCCAAGATGGTGAAACCCTCCAACCTGGGTGACAGAGTGAGACTCCATCTCAAAAAAAAAAAAAAAAAAAGAAAGAAAGAAAGAAAGAAAGAAAGAAAGAAAATACCTTCACCAATACTAGAAGGCCCAAGGAGTGGGGAGAGAGGGCTGCTTCATATCCAGAGCTTAGTCAGGGAGTAGGTCCTGGAGGGTAAAAGCTTATACCAGGAGGAGGAATTCCTACTGGTGCATTAGGGGTTGGTCAAACCCTAAGCTTTTTTGGTGATCTGTCTGGGATCCAATCCAAATTTTGTCACTTAACAGCTATATGACTTCAACAAGCTGCTGACCTCTCAGAAGTTTGTTTTCTTGTTTGTAAGATGGGGTTGGAAGAAATAAATAAGCAAATATCTATATATATAGTGGTTGACACAGTCAAATGCAGAGTAGCACTTTCTCTCTTTCTCTCTCTCTCACACGCACACATATATATATAGAGAGAGAGAGCAGTTAGAAGAGGGAGGTAAGAAGCCTCAGAAATTAATATCTCCTTACCCCTCAGAAGCAGCCCCTTAGCTCATATCTGATGGCAGTTGGTGGATAAATACCCCAGCTCCCTATCCCCTAGGAGGCATATTCTTTACTACCACCTAGGGCTCCCAAGAGGAATAAGCTCTAGCTGCCCACAATAGTGATTTGCTTCATATGCAGCCTTTACTGGCTTCCTTTCCTTCCAGTTTCATTCCCCCAATATACTGCCTGGTTTGGCTGTAATTACCTTTTGGATAAACTATTTGACTTGTTAACTTAGGATCTGCCTCTGAGGAAACCCAAACTAAGATACCAATATTTCTTCAAATTTTTGAAGGCCTAGGTTTTCAGGATCATCCCTGACTCCATACTCCTGCTTCAGCTGAATTAGTCAGTTTAGAGCTCATTTCACAGTTCTACATATGCCGTCCTTTTTCCATACCGTGTTGTACCAAACCTGGAACTCAGTCCTCTGTGTCAGTATAAATGCACACATGCTAATTGTATTCATTTTCTATGCTACATAACACATACTGCACATTTAGCAGCTTAAAACAGCATACATGTTTTATTATTATTTGAGACAGATGCTGGCTGTGTCACCCAGGCTGGAGTGCAATGGTACAATCTCAGCTCACTGGAGCCTCAACCTCCTGGGCTCAAAGGATCCTCTCACCTCAGCCTCCAGAGTCACTGGGACTACAGGTACATACCATCATGCCCAGCTAATTTTTTGTATTTTTTTGTGGAGACGGAGTTTTGCCATGTTACCCAGGCTGGTCTCCAACTCCAGCCATCTGCCTGCCTCAGCCTCCCAAAGTGCTGGGATTACAGGCATGAGCCACCATGCCTGGCAGCATACATTTATTTTCTTACAGTTTCTTTGGGTCAGGAGTTCACGCACAGCTTAGATAGATCTGCTGCTCAGGGTCTCGCACCAGACTTCAATTAAGGTATCAGCTGTCCAAGTTCCTTTCTGGAGCCTGGGGGGGTCCTCTTCCAAACTCATATGGTTGTTGGAAGAATTCAGTTCCTTGTGGTTGTAGCACTGAGGTTCCTTTTTCTTTTTTTTTTTTTTTTTCTTTGCTAGCTGTTGACTGACAGTTGCTCTCAACTCCTGGAGGAGGCCAGCAGTTCCTTGCCACAGGGGCCTCTCATGCCATGGTGGTACACTAGACAATCTCTCTCTGGTCTGTGTCTTCCATATTGTAACCTAATCAAGAGAGTGCCTATCCCATCACCTTTGCCATATTTTATTGGCTAGAAGCACACACACATACTGCATTTGAGTGTAGTAAAATTTTGAAGAAGTTTTCTTCAAGTTGAAGTTTTGAAGAAGACAAAGGAGGGGAGGTATACAGTGTAACAATGCAAGCTGCTCTTAAATTTTCTTCAATTCCCCACCATCCCCTCTTCCTGTCTTCATCTCTCTCCACTTTGCACTTTCCTTGCCCCCAAATTCCTGTTTATTTCTAACGAGGAGCAATTTATCTTTTTGTTCCTTGACTCTTAATGCTCAAGGTCTTACCTTCTACTTCATGTAGCATATCAAGATATCTTTCTTGCTAAAGAAAATTCCCTCACTCACAGGAATTTTGGTGCCATTGGTTGGAAGGCTTTTTCTCATTCTGCTACCAACAATGATTCACAATTTAGTGGAGGAGATGGATATGGCTCAATTAATAACAGGTAGTGAATGGAGGGGAGGAGGAGGCATGCTAAACATAAAAATCACCACTGATGGGATATTATTAGTAAGGGCGATTTCTAAACCTCTCTTATAGTATTATCATTATTCCCTGGAGACAGAGGAACAGGCCAGGTGGGTGGGGACACTCTTACTTCTAATAGTAGAATTATTTAAAATGGTACTTATTCACATGTCATTCATGTGTGTTATTTTTTCTTGCCTTTACTATTAAGTAATTTAATTTTTTAAATGATTTTTGCTTGTCCATTTGCTTTTAAGTAACATCGGGAGTCCAGGGTCCATCAGTAGATAGCCATTTACCTTTGGGCAAATTACTTAACCCCACTACTCCTTGGTTTCCTCATCTGAAAAAATGGAGAAGTGAGACAAAGGTTATCATAAGTGTCTCTTGCTGCACAGTGAGTCCACTGCTCTGTGACTGTTACAAGACCTTCAGTTCTTGGAAGACAGAGTTCAGTTTTACAACTTCTTAGCCTCCTTTTTTGTTTGTTTATTTGTTGTTTTGGCCAGCTCTCACAGAGGTTTGCATCGAATGGTGATTCGGTTAAAATCACTACCTTCCTCCTTCCTCCCATTCTAGAGACAGATACTTCTGAGTTTCTGCTGGTGGATGCATGTGTGTTGAGGCGCTCCATCCTGAGCTGCAGGAGCTCTGTCTGGGTGCTCAGTGCAGAGTTGTGAGTACCAGCAGCCAGGGCTGCCACTGTTGCAGGGGATAGGAGTCCAGATTCCAGAGCCCCAGAGGGGTTTCCAAATAAGGAGTATTCTGAAGTAACTGTGTGCAGTGAAGGGGCCAAGAGAACTGGGCTATGCTGCTCCGAAGAGGACAGTGCCCTCGGAAATGAATCTGTCAGAGTGCTCAGAGAAGGCAGGGTGGTGGGCCTTGGCTGAGCAAGGGATGACTGCCATCAGTCAAGCAGTTCATGTCGACACCATTGTTGGAGCAGCCTCATTATGCAGAGCTCAGAATTGGGCCCCATGGGGAGATCCAGAGGAATGAAGAATTACGTTCCCTGCTCCAGAGAGGCTTGCAGGCTCATGAGGAAATGGCCGCAATAACCACACTTTCTGATCCAAAAATTGGACATGCGGACTAACAAATATAAATATATTTTTGACATTAAAGAAATGTAACATTAATAGTCGGAATATCCCTTAAAAAAAAAAAAGCCAGCATCATCAACAATCATGAGACAGACACACCCAGAGGAAAAAACTCAAAGAACACAAGGAAGGATAACATAAGGCGAGCCAAGACAGCTGAGATAAACACTTTGTGTCATGTGTGAGGCTGTTACTTTATCTTTCTGTAAATCAATTGCCTATTGGATCAGTGTCCCCACTCAAAGTGAGCCCCGGTTATTTCTGGGAATTCCCAAGGGATGCCTCATATGTGTCCACAAACTGTGGCCTCACTCCCTTGCTTGCTCCCCCAACCCCCAGTTGTCCAGCTGCTTGAGAAGCCCTCTAAAGGAACTAAGGCAAGGGCTTATCCATTCAATATTTGCCAACTGCCTATTGAGCACCTACTATGTGCCTGCCCCGTATTCGGTACTATAGACAGAGAGACAAATAAGACAGCTCTTAAATCAAAGAGCTCTCTGTTTCTTAGGAGAGAAAGGCACATAAGTAGATGATTATAAGTTTCTAAAGGCCTACTCAGTCGCTGGAAGCAAGATTGCAAAATTACTCCTCATACATTCCAACGTACAAAGGAAAGGGAAGGCCTTTATGTCTTTGTAGTTGCTGTGATCTTCCACATGAACCTCTCACCGCCCCCAGGGTAGCAGAGGAAAATATCACTCCATCTCAGTAAGCCCAGTCTGATCCAACCATTTTCACACTGTCTTTAGGTAGCTCAGTCTCTGCTTGGACAGCTCAGGCAATTGCTCAAGCAGTCTTTCCAATGTCCTCTCCCAATCCCAGCTCCTCTCTAATAAGAGTTGGGGTAAATATACATGGTGTGGCTGAAGTAACCTTGTGGCAACAGGGGGAGACAGTGTCTGTGGACCTGTGTGGTATTCTCAGGTTTCCCACCAGTCTCTACTCAGGGTCTACATTTTTTCCTGGCCTGATGAGCTACCTGAGGCTCCCACCACAGCAGTAGGTGGTCCCAGCTGTTGCCTCTGGCCTCAGAATCCCCGTACATGGCAGTGCCTTTGCTCAATCTTCTGTTTCCTGCCAGTTCTTTACCCTCTCGGCACTTCTGAGTCTCCTAAAGGGCTTCTGGACACCTAGAAGCCCTTGCAAATTCTGTGCAGGTATAAAGAGCCACCTCTGGGGCGGGGAAGTGGGGATATTGAGAACTTAGATCCTTTTAGTCTCCCTCTAGCACATTTTTCTTTCCACAGTGCTTCAGGATAACAAGGGCAGACTTCGGGCTTTCTATTTCCCAAACACTGCATCCTCCTTTTACTCCCATCCATAAGCCTCAAGGCCCAGCCATCACAGGCAAAGAGGCCATTTATCTACACTCCAGAAGGACTCTGTGATCCAGTCCACAGGCTGATCTATGATATGTCAAGGGGTAGATAAAAGAAATTAGAATGCTCTTTTGTCCCTTACAAAGACTGGCTAAGCCTTTCATCTTGCTATGGACTTTGAAATGCTATTTTAAATGTCAGAAGCTGAATATTGACTCTTTTTGTGTACCTGCTATAATAACATTACCTCTTCCAGTGGAAGAAAGGTGCCTTGAGTTGTCTAGGGAAAAGTCATAAACACAGAAATGCAAAAGGAAAAAAGAATCCCCTTTATATATTTCAGAATGTTTTCAGAGAGGTCTGTGAAGTTCAGTGCTTCCCAACTCTTCTCCCTCTGCCGAGGCTCAGAAGGGCTATGTAATAATGCTTCAGTTCTAGAAAGTTGACCTACTCAGGCTTTCTCCAGTATGTAAAAAGAATATTTAGAGAGATAATTGCTGCACTTACAAAACCAAGACCAGGGGTTAGGGATGACCAAGAAGGAAGTTGTGAAGTTTGGTCTCCCAAAAATATAAAGATCCCAGCATGAATGAAAAAAGAAACAAGGCAATTTTTAAAAAGTTTAAAACATCATCTCTGTAACAAAGGATTTGCTAGGTACTCTTCTGTACCAAATCTCCATCAACGCTCCCAACAATTCCCCTCAAGGAAGCTCTTCTTTTCCCCATTTTACAGATGAGAAATTGAAGGCTCAAAGAGGTTGCGAGCCCATCCCAAGATCACAGTTACTAGGCATCCATTCCCTTGGCCGCCCTCATGAAAAGGTGTGAACACATGAATGGGGGTCAGAGTAGAGCTAGAGTGTTTCTCCTCTTCACAGCCTCAAAACAGGAGGGCACAGCTAGGCTGTTAAGCTGGTAACAGAACCCTAGGATGCTGGCTGTTAGGAGATGACCTTCATTTTGCTCAGACATGTTCTAGAAAATTGCCTGAAAGCAGGGGAATGAACAGAGTGGCTTCTGGAAAGAGGTGTCCAGCATCTATGTGATTCTATGATAGAAGAGAAAATTCCAAGCCACGGAAAGACAAGTGTAACAATAATAGAATTCAAGCTGTTTTCCAGTCTTCTTCCTTTGGGATGGAACAGGGGTTTTCCATTTCTTCAGCAGTTGTCTGGAGTCTTTCACTTCCCAGCTTTTTAAAATCTCTTCTCCCTCCCTTTTCAGAGCTTATTGGAGGTCTGTCCTGGCATGTACCCTCCTCCTCAGGGAGAAGGAGTGTTAGGTGGAGACAGGGTAGGTTGGGACACAAAGTCCAGTTAAGTGTGTGTCCCAGCTCAGTGCTCTGAGCCCAGATCCTCATCTCCCTGGGTAGTGAGGCTCAGCACAGACAAGCAACCAACTGCTGGGCTGCCGGTGCCCCCCATGTTGGAACCTGAGTTGGAGATTATCTCCTAAGCAGATACCTGCTTCCAAACTGGGGATGTAGGGCTTGGAAACTAGAAAATGCCAGGTCTGAGGGAGAGGAAAGAACAAGTCCAGCAATACACAGAGCTCTGTGTATTCAGAGGGAAGTTGGCAGGGTTGTGTTCGGGCAGAGAAACTCCGAGTGGTACAAAGGGGACGTGCCCAGAGTGGAGAAATCATGCTAATTGTCTGCACTAGAGCTGGAGAACGCCACCCAAAATGAAGAGAGAAAGGGGAGCCCTGTCCAGAGCCTCCAGGGCCCTGCGCCTTGCTCCTTTTGTCTACCTTCTTCTGATCCAGACAGGTAGGAGGCCAGAGGGTAAGAAAGGGTCTGAAGAAAGGACCCGGGGCTTTTACAGCAGACGGAGGGGAGAGTGGAGGGCCTGAATGCCTTTGGGGCAGGAGTGGGGGAGAGTTCAGCTGCCGTGGGAAACATGTCAGGGAATTCAGGCATTAGCGTTGAACGTATTTCTTTATTTTGTGTGCCTCCCGCGCGGCCCCTACCCCCTTCCCCCAAAAGGCTGCATGACTTTGGAGCTCCCACGGCATTCAGTACATTAGATGGCGGGCACTGGGCCATTTCGTATGGGATGACTTGTTGGCGTGGGCCAGTCTGGCATTCTTTCCAAGGGATTGTGGTGGGGCTTGATGGGTAGGGGTAGGGGAAATTTTCTTTTTATACCTCCCCAGCCCCCGACTCTGGCTTCTCTGTGTGTAAAAGAGTAAGGCAGATGAAAGAAGCTTTGGAGATAATGAGCCTCCTAATGTGGGATAGTCATACCCACCTATCCATAATTCACTCCACTCCATAGCTGCTTACCTCCTCTACCGCCCCCTACCAATCCTTTGAGAAGTGATCTTATTTAAATATACCTATTTATGAGTACATACACATATACACACACACACACACACACAATTACAGAGCACCTAGGAATTCACAACTTAGTGAGGCAAACAGATGTGGAGATCATTTTACTAAACTGCAGGAACTATCATAAGTCAATTATGCAGAGAATGCATAGCAATCAGAGAAAGGTCACCTACCCCATCCAGGAAGCTGGTGCTGGTGGAGGGGGTGTTGGTAGGGTAGGACACAGGGTGTGGGAATATCAGGGGGAGGTTTTCTGGTAGAAGGAATGTGTGCACTGAATTTTAAAAGATGGGGAAAAAAGGTAGGAGTATAAGTGGGTGTTAGGGTTGGGAAATGAGCAAAGGTCAACAGCTTGAAATAACATCAAGTGTTTAGTCAGAGCCCAGCAGTTCATCACTGCTGGAGAGAAAAGCATGAATTGAGTGAGGCAAGAGCTTTGTAAACCAGACTCGTAATCTGGGGATTGAGAGGTGAGGGAATGAGCGGTTTTTAATTTGGGGACTGTCAGGGTTACATGTACCTTTCAGATAGCTTACTCAGTCTGCAGGGGGTCATTCGAGGGGAAACTGGAGGCAAATAAAATAAGAAAGGAAGTTTGTATTCATTTTCTAGGGCTCCTATAACAAAATACCACAAACTGAGTGGCTTAAACAACAGAAATGCATTATCTCAAAGTCGTGGAAGCCAGAAGTGGGAGATCGAGGTGTCAGCAGGGCCATGCTCTCTCTGAAGCTTCTAGGGAGGGCTCTGCCTTAGGGTTCTCTCCTAGCTTCTGGTAATTCCTTGACTTGTGGCAGCATCACTCCAGTCTTGGTATGGCATTCCCCGTGTTTGCATGTCTATGTCCACATTTCCCCTTTTTATAAGGACACATACTAGATTAGGTCCATCCTACTCCAGTATGATCCCTTCTTATTAGATCTGCAGTGACCCCATTGCCAAATAAGTTCACATTCTGAGGTACTTGGGGGTTAGGACTCCAACGTATGAATTTGAGGGGAACACAGGTCAAAAAGCTATTGCAATAGATCAAGAGAGAAATAGGAGAAATAACATGGACTGAAATTATAATAAAGATAGAAGGAATGAGGCATGTTGAGAAAATATTTTAGAGGTAAAGTCAGGAGCTAGTGACCTGTAGGAAGTAGGAGGATTTAGGAAGGGAAGGAGGATTGCTGTGTGAAACCTTAAACAAAAAAAATGAGTATCATACATGTTTAGATTGAAATACTTATGAGGCTTCCGTGTGAAGATGTCACATAGCCTGGAGTTGGGTGGCAGAGAGGTCAGGGTTGGAGAGAGGTATTTGGCAGCCGTTAGCCCATAGGTGAGAGTTAAAACAATAAGAATAGATAATATTACTTAGGAAGGGAAAAACGTGGGATGAAAATGAAACATCATGTAACCTCAAGATTTGTAGAGGAAGCAGAGGAAGAAATGCCCATTAAGGAGACAAAGAGAGAACAGCCAGAGAGACAGAAGGACTAGAAGCCTGTGGTGCTGTCCAGAAAATCAAGGGAGTTGAGAGTTTTCAGGAGTAGATCAATACCATTGAAGTTGTCAAAGAGATCCAATGTGACAAAGACCCAAAAGAGCCCATTGGATAAGGCAATTAAGAGGTTACTGTTGGCTTTGGTGAAATGACAATGAGCTGAAGAAATAATGAGAGCTGAAGGTATGGAGACAGTGAGTTGAGAATAGGAACGACACAAATATACAAAGCAGAGATGGCCCTAAACTCTTTCCGGTCATCAAATGGTAAGGAAAAAAATTATAGAAAGATCACGTCGGTCAGTAAGACTGGGACAAAACAAAAGGTGATCAAGGATATTCTATGTGGAAAAATGTAACTTAGTAAATACACCAAAACATTCTAAATGTGGCCGGGAGCGGTGGCTCATGCTTGTAATCTCAGAACTTTGGGAGGCCTAGGCAGTTGGATTGCTTGAGCCCAGGAGTTCGAGACCAGCCTGAGGAACATGGCGAAACCCCATCTCTACAAAAATGAAAAAATTAGCCAGACCTAGTGGTGCACGCTTGTAATTCCAGCTACTCAGGAGGCTGAGGTGGGAGGATTGCTTGAACCAGGGAGGTCAAGGCTGCAGTGAGCCATGATCACGTCACTGCACTTCAGCCTGGGTAACACCAAGAACCTTTCTCAAAAAAAAAAATTATAATGTAAGTTATGCTAATAGGATATTAGTTAATGACCTATGATAGATAAGAGGTAAGTGCTGGGAGAGGCCATTGTACTGCTGTGGACTAAAGAGTAATAAGAGCTGAGATTCTAGAAGGAATCCCTGCCATCCCTAATATATTATTTAGGAAAATGTTTGCTTCTGGGACCAATAAATTCCAAAATTTAAGTTCCTGGCAGTAACTATGTGATAGCCCATTGTAGTTTCAGACTAGGCCTGGGAAGAGGAAGGACTCTACTCTATGAAGTTTTTCAGGGACCAAGCCAATGGAGCCCTATCAACTTTGACATGTGCTTCCAAAGATCACCATGAGGTGTATCTTCTTTTCTTCCAGGTAGAGAATTTTATTTTATTTTTTTAATGGAGAAACATAAAAGGAAGACTTTGCCAAACAAGGTCTGTAAGTGATACGTATCACTTGCACTAGTTCTCTTTGCTACGACTCAGTCACATGGCCATACTTAACAACAAGGGAAGCTGGCTGGGAAATGTAGTTTTTAGGATTGGCACTCAAGGGGAGACTGGACCATGTGGCCCTGCCTCCCCAAGATTTACCTTAATCTTATACTATGGCAGACACCACCAAGCTAGCCCTGAGGCGTCATGGAGCTACACAGTCTTTAATACTCTGCCCCTGACATGGACAAATGAAGCTTCTCTAAATTCATCATTTTTATTTCCCAATTTTTAAATTCCAATTTATGAAACATTCAAATAAAAATTTTCTGGAGACCAGGACATTAACTGACAGACATAGGCACAGCATGCCGTAAATGTAGGTAAGTTTATTTTCAAGGTTGTATTCTCTGGAATACAAGAACTATTCCATCCTCTAGGGACCCAATAGAAACAAGTCTCTTACCTGGGTTCCATGCTCTTTAGCCCCAAGTTCACCCCCACATTGTAGGTGCTGTCATTTTTTAAATTGTTTATTAAAAATTACATACAAGAAGGTACATTTAGCCTAAAGATACAGTTTGGTGAGCCTTTAAAAAGTTAACAAACCCATGTAATCAACCCTCAGATCAAGAAACAGCATATTTTGGCACCTCAGAATCACCCTCATACTATCTCAGTTACTGCTGCCTTCCCACTGGGATTATAGTGGTATCCTAACTTCTAATAAAAATTAATTTTGCATGTCTTTCTATAAGTGGTATCATATGTATTCAGTCTTCTATGTCTGAACACCAAGTTTGTAGGATTCATCTAAGTTGTCGTAGTTTATTTGGTCTCACTGCTGTATAGTATTCCATTGTATGAATATGCCACAATTTATTGCTCTATTCAACTTTGATAGACACTTTGGTTGTTTCCAAACCAATCCAACCAACTTAGCCCCATCGGGGCTTTATGAACAGAGTTGTTACTGTTATACATCCTATTATAGTACATGTCTTTTGGAGAACAGATATGGGCATTTCTTTTGGGGATACATCTAGGAGTAGAATTGCTTAATTATAGGGTATTTGTGTGTTTAGTGTTCATAGACATGGCCAAACGGTTTTCAAAAATGAATGTATCAGTTTACACTCCTATCAACATGTATGAGAGTTTCAGATGATCCATATCTTCCCAATAATTGTATTTTCTTTTTTTCCTTTTGGCCATCCTATTGGGTATGAACTGGTATCAGATTCTGGTTTAAGGTTGGTGTGATGGCTCACATCTGTAATTCCAGCACTTTAAGATGCCAAGGCATAAAGATTGCTTGAGGCCAGGAGTTCAAGACCAGCCTGGGCAATGTAGTAAGATCTCTTCTCTATAATTTTTTTTTAATTAGCTGAGTGTGGTGGTGTGTTCCTGTAGTCCCAGCTACTTGGGAGGTTGAGACAAGAGAATCTCTTGAGCCCAGGAGTTTGAGGCTGCAGTGAGGTATGATCACACCACTGCAGTCCAGCCTGGGCAATAGGGTGACACCTTGTCACTGAAAAAAAAGAAGTTTAAAATTGTATTTCCATTAAAATTAATTGCCCATTTTCCTATTGTGTTGTTTGAATTTCTTTAAAATTGTGAACTTGTGGGAGTTTAAATAATATATTTTGCATATGAGCCTTTTATAGGATATATGTATTGCAAATATCTCCTCCCACTTTATGGTTTGCCTTTCGCTTTCACAATGGTATCTTTTGATGAATAGAAGCTCTTAATTTTACTGAGTCTAAAGTATCATTTCCTTCTTTGATGGTTACCACTTTCGTGTCCTTTATAAGAGATCTGTGTCTGCCCTCAAGTCAAGGACATAGTCTGTTTTCTTTTTCAAATGTTGTTGTTTTACCTTTCATATTTAGATCTGCAATCCATCCAAAATTAATATTTGTGTAAGGTGTGAGGTAAGGGTCAATTCGTTTTTATCCTACATGGCCCAGCACTATTTTGTGAAAAGCACTTTTCTCCCTGCACTGCAGTATCACCTTTGTCATCATTTGAGCAATCATATTTAAGTCTGTTTTCAGACTTTCTGTTGATCTATTTGTCTATCTTCATGTCAAGATCACAAAGTAAACCTCCTGGGATTTTGATTGGCATTGTATTAAATTATAAATCAGTTTAGGAGAATTGACAGCTTAACAAGAGTGATTTTTCCAGTCCACAAACATAGTAACTCTCTGTGTGCCATCTTAATACCTATTAACTAGGTACGCATTCCTGAACATCTACACTCCTTAGATTGTAGATAAAAAGCTACCAGCTCCTTTCTTCCTGGATCCCAAAAGCCTTCTTCACAGCTTCTGTTTCCTGATTTTCTCTCACATCCCTGAATAACTGGCGCTTCAAATGACTTGTAGGCCTCAACAGGATAAAAATGTAAGAATACAACACGGCAGCCCCAACATCCACACAATAAGTGATGCACCTATAGAGTAACAGCAGAGGAGCGGGGTGGTTTTCTCAAACCCTCATTAATTAGGAATAATATTAAAAACCAAAAGCAGAAACAATATGTTTTCCTTTTAGGAAACTGAGGTGTTCTGCCCTTGGATTATTAGATGCAGTTCTGGCTACCACACCATAAAAGGAAATAACACAGTTGAAGAAAGCCCAAGGAAGGGTATCTATGACGGCCAAAAGAATGAAGAGACTTTTTTATGGTGACAGACCCAAACTAAACCAAAAACTTTTCAGATGAAAAGGGACATGGCAGCAGCCTTTGGTGTTAGGGAATATGGATAAGGTGTGTATAGACCAAATCCTAGAACACATATTTGGCACTACCCCCATTGACACTTTTAAAAGGTAAATTTAAGACAAATACTGGCGAAAGGAAACTTTGGCCCAGCAAAGGGAGCACATAAAAATGAGTGGATGGTGATTTCTCTAAGGGATGACCCTATTAAGAAAAGCCAAGGCTATCTGCAGGTGCATTCTTATACCCTAAAGTTTGACATTCCCGGCATCGCAGCAGCTCAAAATCCTACTTGAGGAGTGGCCACCGATCTATCCCAGTACCGCATTGTTGAGGTTGATAGGGTACAACTTGCTGAGATCTCATTTCCTTTTCTTCAGCCTCTGGTGGGAAGAGAAACTTTCTATATTATGATGCCTTGGAGACAATAATTAAGTTAATCACTTCTCAAGGTTGAGTGGTCCTAGTCCTTTTATTTCCACTCTGGACCTTAGTTGTGAGCTATTTCCTCATTTCTGTGTCGTGCTTTGGCTCCTGTCCCAGTTCTCTGTGTCCCTTGAAAGTTGTGGAACCCTGAACTTAATACAGAGTACGATTTTGGCTAGAGTTTTTGGGAAACTGTTTGCTCAGCAAACTGCTCTCTCTGTCAGCTTTCAAGAAAGACTCCTTCATTCACTTATGAACACGTGTGATACATCCTTTTGGCCCACGGACATGCCCATGTTCATAGGCATGATGAGGGGACTTATCTAGAGGAGGGTAAGGCCTCAGGCAATCTGTAGGCCATAACTTCTCCAATATTTTTATCCAGAACAAATCAACTTTAAATTGGCAGAAAGGCTTCAGGGAGAAATACATAGCAAAAAGGCTACTAGGACTTTGGATGGGATAGGAGAGCATGGAAGCCAGGGAAGCTCCAGGAGGCCACAGAAGATAGAAGGGAGAGGGGAAATCCCTTCCACTTGTTTTTGAGGTTGTCACTGTCCAGACTCCCAGAAGAAGGAAATGAGAATCCTCAAAGTTTGGTGCTTGGGGACATTACACCTGTGAACCCCAAATATCTCAGACAGGTGTCAGTTAATTTACAAAGTTTATTTTGCCAAAGTTGAGGATGCACACCTGTGACACAGCCTCAGGGGGTCCTGATGACATGTGCCCAAGGTGGTCAGAGCATAGTTTGGTTTCATACATTTTAGGAAGACATTAGACATCAATCAACATATGTAAGATGAATGTTGGTTCGGTCCGGAAAGATGGGACAACTCTTAAGTCGGGAGAGGGCTTCCAGGTCATAGGCAGATAAGAGACAAATGGTTGCATTATTTTGAGTTTCTTTTTTTGATTAGTCTTTCCAAAGGAGGCAATCAGGTATGCATTTATCTCAGTGAGCAGAGGGGTGACTTTGCATAGAATGGGAGGCAGGTTTGTCATAAGCAGTGCCCAGCTTGATTTTCCCTTTAGCTTAGTGATTTTGGGGCCCCAAGATTTATTTTCCTTTCACATACCAATTTACTAAACTCCAGCATGGCTCTGCACATGTAACCCTTGCGTGCATAGCATACTACTGCACACTGGGTCCCGAGAAAGGGGGTAGATGTTCCCCAGCTATTTGATCATCACCCCAGTGGCCTTTAATAAAGCTCATGACTTTTTCAGGGCCACCTCTTGTTATCCATACCAAAGCCTATTTGCCTACTCAGGGAAATTCGAAAGTTTGGTTTTCTAAATCAAGCCATGCCTTGGACCTAGCAGTTGATAATCACAGAAATTAAGAATTGGAAGAAACCTTAAGGATCATGTGGCCAAATGGACTTTAGTCTGATGCGCAGAGCCAGTAGGGATTCCCAGTTGCTCCTTGGGTTATTGAGGGGGGATAGGACTCATCCCCACCACCTCTTCTACCAAAGCAGGTGAGATGGAACCATATTGCCTTTTTCCATTTTTATTTAAGATTTTGTGGGAAGAAAGTATCATTAATTTTTAAAAGTCTGAAAATAGTTTATGTTGTTCATTTTACTTGCCCCAAATTAAGATTTTTGTTCAACAGCAAGCATATGATATTCACACATTCAGCTTTAATCAGTAGAGCTGTCTCTTCTGCTTTAATTAATTAATTTACTTATTTATTTATTTTTTGAGAGAGAGTCTTGCTCTGTCACCCAGCCTGGAGTGCAGTGGTGCAATCTCAGCTCACTGCAACCTCCACTTCCCAGGTTCAAGCGATTTTCCTGCTTCAGTCTCCAGAGTAGCTAGGATTACAGGTGTGTGCCACCATGCCCGGCCTGTTTCTTCTACTTTTAAGGTTTTATGGTTCTAACATTCCTGGCAAGTAATGAATCATAGAATGTCAGAGCTAAGGCCAGGTATGAATGGCCCACGCCTGTAATCCCAGCACTTTGGGAGGCCAACACGGGTGGATTGCTTGAGCTCAGGAGTTCAAGACCAGCCACCTGGGCAACAAGGTGAAATCCCGTTTCTACAAAAAAATACAAAAAAAAAAAAACAAAAAAAAAAAACCTAGCTGGGCATAGTGGCACATGCCTGTGGTCCCAGCTACTTGGAAGGCTGAGGTGGGAGGATCGCTGGATCCTGGGAGGCAGAGGTTGCAGTTAGCCAAGATCGCCCCACTGCACTTCAGTCTGGGTAACAGAGTGAGACCTTGTCAAAAAAAAAAAAAGTCAGAGTTAAGAAGCCCCCCTAGAGATCTTCTGGTCCTGCTACTTCATTATACAGAGGAGGAAGCTGAGGCCCAGCAAGGTGTAAAAGTAGCCAGTTGGCCTTTCCTTGGTCATTTCCAAAGATGAGGAGCTCACTACTTAGCAAAGCACTTTTTCCAAAAATGGATCTAATATGTTTAGTAACCACGCAGTGGCTCATGCCTGTAATCCCAGCACTTTGGGAGGCTGAGGCGGGCAGATCACAAGGTCAGGAGATTGACACCATCCTGGCTAACACGCTGAAACCCCGTCTCTACTAAAAAATACAAAAAAATTGGCCGGGCGTGGTGGCGGGCGCCTGTAATCTCAGCTACTGAGGAGGCTGAGGCAGGAGAATGGCGTGAACCTGGGAGGCGGAGCTTGCAGTGAGCTGAGATTGTGCCACTGCACTCCAGCCTGGGTAACAGAACAAGACTCCGTCTCAAAAAAAAAATTTTTTTTTTGCTTTGTTCTTCACCACCAACCTTTTCGTTTAATTGCCTCTTGGTTTGGTCTGGGCCCTCCAAGCATGAGGAGAGAAATAAGGAATGAAAAGGTACAGCTCAGTTTCCTCAACTGAATGGCAGCAGCAGCAGAGTGAGAAATAAGGCTCAGAAAGAATGAGGGAGCTTCAGAGGGAATCCATCAAAGGAAGCGGCAAGGGGTGCAGAGGGACTGAGAATCTGCATGTATGTGTCTATTCAGCTAAACTCAGCCCTGCTCCCAACCGGCGTCCTCTCCAGAAGACCCTCCTTCGGGTGGTTGGATTGCTCTACAAGGCCAGGTGACACCAAATAACAGCATCTTTTCAGATCCCAAAGCTCCTAAGAGGTCTCTGAAATGCCCTCTGGATAGGGCATCCATTGGACAAGTGGTAAAATCCCAGAATTACAAGGCTGGAACAAACCAATGAGACCATCTAGCCTACTACTCCTTTTATCTGTAGGGAATCTGAGCTCCAAGGAGATGGGACCCTCCTAAGTCATGTATCAATAATAAGGCCCAAAACTCTGCTCAATTTTGTGTTCTGTCTGCTGTATGACAATGACTAATATGCATATTGTACTTTCCAATCCTGTGAACTTGATAAGGCAGTTGCTGTTGTTATTTTTTTATTTTTTATTTTTTTGAGATGGAGTCTTCCTCTGTCACCCAGGTTCAAATGCAGCAGCACTATCTCAGCTCACTGCAACCTCTGCCTCCTGGGTTCAAGCGATTCTCATGTCTCAGCCTCCCGAGTAGCTGGGATTACAGACACATGCCACAATGCCTGGCTAATTTTTTTTATTTTTAGTAGAGACGGGGTTTTGCCATGTTGGCCAGGCTGGTCTCGAACTCCTGACCTCAGGTGATCTGCCCATCTTGGCCTCCCAAAGTGCTGCGATTACAGGCGTGAGCCACCGCGCCCAGCCTTGTTATTATTATCCTTATTTTACAAATGAGAAGAATGAGTACCCAAATCCACATAGCCAGTAAGAGGTAGAGCCCAGCATGAAAAAGCTTTTTCTGATTCTAAGCTCTTTGTTCTACCCATCGCAAATCCTTCTTCTAGGGGTACAGATTGGGCTGGAGTTTGGGTGAATTCCCAAAACCACCTTACTAGTTGCAGGACTATTCTGCACTGAGTGAGCCTAGTAAGATGCTACATGCATCTGCAAAAAAAACGGGAAGAGGCTCTCGGTATAACTAGAAAGTGGTCTTCAGGCCCCTAAACTTTCCCTTTACTGGCACTGTCTCACGACCCGCTCCTTTCTTTGTGAATCTGTGTTCCATGCTTTCTCCATCTCCTCACCCTCCCAATCCCCAATCAAGAAGATCTGACAAATTCACCCAGAGGTCTAATGACCTATAAGCTTCATAGGGGTAGGGATTTTTGTTGGCTTTGCTCATTGCTATATCCTAAAGACATAGAAAAGTGTCTGGCAGATAGGAGATGTTCAATAAATATTTTTATGAATGGAGCGCATAGGGTGTGGGTGAGCCACAAGAGAAAGGCAATAGACAAAGTGCCAGAGAGGCAGAGGGCTAGGTGGAAAAAGCATTGAAGGCCATGAGATGGCTGTGAGAGAGAACAAAGGGGCAGAAGTGCACAGAGCTACTGTGGGGGAGGAGATAGCACCCAGGCTTAAGAAGCCAGGATTGGCAGGGAGTGAAGAGCCAGAGAGGCGAAGCTTTGGGAGATCAGAGGGCTTAAAGTTGGGAGTGGGCTAAGGAGCCCAGGGCCTGATGCTTCCCTCTTCCTCATGGGCCTCTGTTCACAGACCCCCTGGAGGGGGTGAACATCACCAGCCCCGTGCGCCTGATCCATGGCACCGTGGGGAAGTCGGCTCTGCTTTCTGTGCAGTACAGCAGTACCAGCAGCGACAGGCCTGTAGTGAAGTGGCAGCTGAAGCGGGACAAGCCAGTGACCGTGGTGCAGTCCATTGGCACAGAGGTCATCGGCACCCTGCGGCCTGACTATCGAGACCGTATCCGACTCTTTGAAAATGGCTCCCTGCTTCTCAGCGACCTGCAGCTGGCCGATGAGGGCACCTATGAGGTCGAGATCTCCATCACCGACGACACCTTCACTGGGGAGAAGACCATCAACCTTACTGTAGATGGTAAAGCGCTCTGGCAGGGAAAGAGGCAAGACTGGCAGGTGGGACTAGGGAAAGGTCTGCCCAGCGCACCAGCTAGACTGAGGGAAAACCAACCCAAAAGGCACTTGGGAGCTGAGAATGAGGCAAGTGGACATTAGAAGTTGGCAGACAGGCACAGCACAGCTAACATGTAGAGTGATTGCCATGTGCCAGAAACTATTCTAAGTGCTTTGCATATGTTGACTCATTTAATGCTTATAATAGTCTGGTGATAGTTCATATCATTATCCTAATTTTGCAGATGAGGAAAGTGAGCCACTGAAAGGTTGAATAACTTGCCCAAGGTCACACAGCTAGAAGTGATAGAGCCAAGATTTGAACCTAAACAGTTGGACCTAGGCTTAGCCCAACTGAAATATCTTCCTGGCTGGGTCAGTTTAAGACATTAAAGCCCAGGGTTCATGGCAAGGCATTTGGAAAGAGGGAATGAGGGCAACACCATGTCTGCATTGTTCAGCATTGTACCCGCCATGCCTAATTGGTGCTCCATAAATAGTCAGTGAAACGAATGAATAAGCGATGGGAAAGAACTGGACTTAGGATGTCTGAAGTCTTCTCAGCCCACAGATTGAGTTGGAAGGTAGTGTTAAAGGTGTGTTGGAAGGCAGGGAGCTAAAAAGGGGAAGGGAGACACTTCTTAGCCAATGACTTACAGGCTCCCCCATTCCTGCGGCTCAGTGCCCATTTCGAGGCCACAGGTGTTGGTGGCTTCAACCACTGTGCTGGAGCTCAGCGAGGCCTTCACCTTGAACTGCTCACATGAGAATGGCACCAAGCCCAGCTACACCTGGCTGAAGGATGGCAAGCCCCTCCTCAATGACTCGAGAATGCTCCTGTCCCCCGACCAAAAGGTGCTCACCATCACCCGCGTGCTCATGGAGGATGACGACCTGTACAGCTGCATGGTGGAGAACCCCATCAGCCAGGGCCGCAGCCTGCCTGTCAAGATCACCGTATACAGTGAGTTTCCCCGCAGGCTTTCCTTTAGTACTCAAAGCCCCAAGAGGCAGGTGACCATGAGGGACTGAGGACATCCCAAAGAAATGTCACTGGGGGGAGGGGAACAGAGATGGGCCAACTATCCATGGAGGACACCAACAGGTAGCCAGTGGGTTCTGTACAAGCTCCACCACCAGCATCAGCCAGGCATGCAGCCTGGGGCTCCCCCTCTCTTCCATCCATGGCAGGAAGTTCTGCTCACCACATCTTGCCCCTTTGAAGTCCCTCCTGCCTCTCTGCTTCTCTCTCTCCCTAGGAAGAAGCTCCCTTTACATCATCTTGTCTACAGGAGGCATCTTCCTCCTTGTGACCTTGGTGACAGTCTGTGCCTGCTGGAAACCCTCCAAAAGGTCTGGGTAACTCTCCTGAGCACCTGAGTCCTTCAATCCATCCCAAACCTAAGCCCCATTATTTTCTTAAGTCTCTTTAAATGCCTTTCCTCCCAGGGTTTTGCATCTCTTTCCGAGAGATCCATTCTTCCATTGTGTATGCACCAGCATCTTGTGCTCCAAAGCCCCCACAACCCCAGCACCAGTAACAATAGGTTTTTTCACTGGCCAACCACCTTTTTTGGGACCAGGCACTGTGGCTGTGGTTAGCCTGCTACCTTTTAAGTATGATTATCTGTAGTTTACAGATAATGACACTGAGACTCGGATTGGTTAAATGACTTGCCCACAGTCACAACGCTAGTGACAGACTCAAGGTGCAAACCTAGATGTGATTCCTTCCAAAGCTCATGAACTGTACCCAGCCCATCTTCCTGTCACAAGGCCTCTTTTATGGCCATCAGATCCCTCCCTGTGTCCCCACTGGATCTTCTACTCACATTCAATAATTCGGCTCATAGTGGGGCTGAATTGATTCACAGGAAACAGAAGAAGCTAGAAAAGCAAAACTCCCTGGAATACATGGATCAGAATGATGACCGCCTGAAACCAGAAGGTGAGCTCCCAGCCACCCAATCACCCATCCCATCAACAATCAGATCAGTGGGCTGCTGGGAAAAGGCAGAACTGGGCGACAAGGAAAACAGCTCTGCAGGGACCCTTCCCCCACCAACTGCACGAAGACTGCAGAGGAGGGAAAGGTTTGGCCAAGGTAGGAGCCAGGATATTCAGATATGTTGGTGGAGGTTGTGGCGGGCCATTCGGGAAGCACAGAGAGTAGGTGCCGGCTGGTGGGGAGAGTCTGTACCTGGGCCAGCCACCCGCTTCTCTCCCCTGTGCAGCAGACACCCTCCCTCGAAGTGGTGAGCAGGAACGGAAGAACCCCATGGCACTCTATATCCTGAAGGACAAGGTGAGCGGCTCTGGACT
This sequence comes from Homo sapiens, assembly GCF_000001405.40. Lineage (NCBI taxonomy): Eukaryota > Metazoa > Chordata > Mammalia > Primates > Hominidae > Homo > Homo sapiens. Next base: position 124,922,370 of record NC_000011.10, on the reverse strand, counting down.
GGGTGCCCAGAAACATGCAGTGATCCCCTCCCACATGCCTGATGCTAGGGAGCCATACTATATTCCTATCCCTTTATAGCAGCAGTCCCCAACGGTTTTGGCACCAGGGACTGGTTTCAAGGAAGAAAATTTTTCCATGGATGGTGATGCGGGTGGTTTCAGGATGAAACTGTTCCACTTCAGATCATCAGGCATTGGATTCTCTTAAAGAGCGTGCAACCTAGATCCCTCGCATGCTCAATTCACAATAGGGTGTGTGCTCCTACGAGAATCGAGAATCGAATGCAGCCACGAATCTGACAGGAGGCGGAGCTCAGGCGATAATGCAAGCCATGGGGCATGTCTGTAAATACATATGAAGCTTTGCTCTCTGGCCTACCGCTCACCTCCTGCTCTGCCGCTCCCTTCCTAACAGGCTATGGACCAGTACCAGTCCTCGGCCTGGGGGTGGGGACCCCTGCTTTATAGTACTCAGAATAACCCTGTGAAATATTTGTGTCATGCACATTTTAGAGATTAGAAAAAACAAGGCTGTGAGATTAAATGACTTGCTCAGGATTAAACAAGTCAATGAGTGGCAGATCTAGGTTTCAAACCTAGGTCTTTGGACACCAGTTCTGGTGATTTCCCCAGTATTCCACAACTAACTGTCCCAGGCTGTCCACGACGGGTGGAAAGAGGAGAGTAAAGGGGAAAAGCACTCAAATCATCGCATTTCAACATTTACTTAACACCTATTATGTGCTAGGAGGCCCCATGCTCAGTGTGGAATATCGCCAGGAAAACCAGACCTGTCTGCAGCCTTCCAGGAGGTGGGCGTGCAGAGGGAAACTAGGTCCCTCCCCTCGGAATTCCAGCAAGCTCTAACACCAGGCGCGCTCCCAGGCTGGGCTGACTGTCCCCTGACCCCTGCGGCGCGTGTCCTTGCAGGACTCCCCGGAGACCGAGGAGAACCCGGCCCCGGAGCCTCGAAGCGCGACGGAGCCCGGCCCGCCCGGCTACTCCGTGTCTCCCGCCGTGCCCGGCCGCTCGCCGGGGCTGCCCATCCGCTCTGCCCGCCGCTACCCGCGCTCCCCAGCGCGCTCCCCAGCCACCGGCCGGACACACTCGTCGCCGCCCAGGGCCCCGAGCTCGCCCGGCCGCTCGCGCAGCGCCTCGCGCACACTGCGGACTGCGGGCGTGCACATAATCCGCGAGCAAGACGAGGCCGGCCCGGTGGAGATCAGCGCCTGAGCCGCCTCGGGATCCCCTGAGAGGCGCCCGCGGTCTGCGGCCAGTGGCCCGGGGGAAAGCTGGGGCTGGGAAGCCCGGGCGCGGCGCGCTGGGGACGAGGGGAGGTCCCGGGGGGGCGCTGGTGTCTCGGGTGTGAACGTGTATGAGCATGCGCAGACGGAGGCGGGTGCGCGGAGGCGGCAGTGTTGATATGGTGAAACCGGGTCGCATTTGCTTCCGGTTTACTGGCTGTGTCCTCACTTGGTATAGGTTGTGCCCTCTTAGGACCACATAGATTATTACATTTCTGGCCCAATACCCAAAAGGGTTTTATGGAAACTAACATCAGTAACCTAACCCCCGTGACTATCCTGTGCTCTTCCTAGGGAGCTGTGTTGTTTCCCACCCACCACCCTTCCCTCTGAACAAATGCCTGAGTGCTGGGGCACTTTTTTTTTTTTTTTTTTTTTTTTTTTTTTTGCAAGTTCAGATTAGAGAGGCCACTTTCCCAGAATCCACAGCTGCACTAAGCTAAGGAGAAGCCAGATGCCGGTTACTGGGTGTGCAGGGGCTGTTCTGAGCTGGGGGGATCATTGTGAAGGCCTTCTTCCCTGGGCACCTGGTACCTGGGGACCTACAAGGTGGTGAGGGAAGGGTACGAGTACATTCCTTTTCCCTCTGACCTGGGCGCTAGCAAGGGCAAAGAACCCGAGCCTGCCAGCTTGGCCTCCTCCCACAGCCTCCCTCGGAGGCATGCCATGCCAAGCACTCTTTCTGTCTCTGTTCATGAATAAAAGAGATGGATGGGCTTATTCTTATAGAGAAGTGAATTTCACTTACTCCCCTGGCCCGAAAACTAGACCAAATGAGGAACTGTTTTAGCTCATCAAACTCATATATTCCTCCTGGCTTCCTTACAAAACAAGCCTTTCAAACAATCATTGTCCTCAGGAAAGTTGTTGAGCTTCCTCCAGCTGTGAGAATAAGTCCTAATCTCCAGAGAAATGGTGGGGGGAGGAGGAGGCTTATTGCTTCCCAGCATTTGGGGGGAACATGATCCAACCCCTGGCCTCCTGCCACCCATCTGCCCTGCTCCCACATGCTCAGGTCCCAGGGCACAGAAAAAGGGCAGACTCCCTAATCACACTAACATCAAAATAAAGAGGCTGGGCCGCTGTGTAGCCAGGACATGCCCATGCCACCGCCTATTGAACAGTTCATAGGAGTGGCAGTAATCTACTGTGTGAGGAGAGAGGGCAATTAAAAAGCTGAAAGAGAAGGAGGCCCTCTGTGTATTCCATTCCCTCCTCCTTAATGCCTCCAAGGGTCCTTGCATCCCTAGTCTCCTAAACTCCAGCTCTGATTCGCCATCAACCCATGGAGCAATTCCAAGGCCCCAGTTACCCATCACCTCCACACCAGGTCAAGTTTTGTCTCAGCCCCAAAGGCACTGACATTTCTAGTTTGCCCCCTCTGCCCTGAACCCCACAGCATGCCTGTCTCAGCTCCCTGTCCCTCGGCACTTCCCCAGGCTCATTTGAGCAGGTGTGCCTTCGCAGCTCCCCTAAACTTCCCAGGTGCCTCATCCATAATGAGATAATGCATGTAGGGGAAAAGTTTCTCAAGAAGGTGGAAGAGGCAGCAGGACTTGGATAAGGAGTACCTGCTGGTCAGCCTTGAGATGCACAGGTGAAGGTTAGGGTGAGATGAGAACATGCCATACCCTGGTGCTGAATCCCTGAGGGGCCAGCTTGCCAGGCTTAAGCCAAATCTGCCTTAAATTGGGGGTGGGGAGGGGTAAGTAAGGAAGTGGGGTTTGTTTTTGTGTTGTTTTCATCTTCATCTTTGTATTACTAGCATCCAGCAGAGTGCCTAGCACATACTGGATGCTCAATAAACTTTTGATGAAATGAAATGACAACTTTATTCCACATAAACAAGGGTAACAAAACAAGCTGCTTAAATATACCAGTCATTTCTCTTCTTCTCCTTTCACCTCCTTTACCCTCTTTCCAAACCCCAAATTGTCCGTTCCAAAATCACTTACCCGTTCATTCATTTACTTATTCAGGTGTTCTTTTATTTATTCGACAAACATTTGTTTACCTACCATGGACTAGGCCCTGTGCTAGACACTGCTGATACAGCATAACTATGTCAGGAAGACAGATCAGTAAACAGATTACAATATAGTGTGTAAAATGCAATGGCAGAAGTAGATACAAGGTGCTCTGGGAGCATGTAGATTAGATGTCAGCAAAGGCATCTTGGAGGAGAACAGACCTGAGTTGAGTCTTTCTTAGAAAGACTTGTTAGTTAATCTGGTTTTTAAAAGTATGAGAGGACACACTCCAAGCAGAGGGAGAAGCATGTATAAAAGCTTGGAAGTGCAAGACACGATGGGGGGGAATTCAGGGTACTGAGCCTAGCAGTTGATGAAATTATTTCAGGAAAGTATACAAAGTAGAAGGTGAAGAAAGCTGCAGATAGATTTCTGAGGCATCAGTATGTGTAGAAAATTTAAAAGGACTTCACCAAGAAGGCTTAAAAGGCACAGCCAGCAAGATAGGAGAATATATAGGAGATAACTATATCACACAATCAAAAGAACAAGAGAGTTTCAAGAAAAAGGGAGCATTCGGGACTACAAGGGCAGGGGGCTCACATATGAAATGAAGTTAAAAGTGCATGTTAAATTTGGCAACAATGAAAACATTGAGTGACTTGGCATAAGTAGTTTCAGACATGTAGTAGGGGTTAAAGCCAGATTGCAACAGGTAAAAAGTGATATGTGGAACTTCTCTGCTAAATACTTGAGACTAGATGTTTGAGAGGTCTTCCTGTTTCAAAACAACTAGGTCTTGCTTAAATGATATTTGTTTTGCATTGCTGGCTTCAAGAGATGGGGGAATTTTTTTTTTTTTTTCAGACAGAGTCTCATTCTTGTCACCCAGGCTGGAGTGCAATGGCGCAGTCTAGGCTCACTACAACCTCTGCCTCCTGGGTTCAAGTGATTCTCCTGCCTCAGCCTCCCGAGTAGCTGGGACTACAAGCACGTGCCACCATGTCCAGCTAATTTTTGTATTTTTGGTAGAGACAGGGTTTCACTATGTTGGCCAGGCTGATCTCAAACTCCTGACCTCATGATCCGCCCACCTTGGCCTCCCAAAGTGCTGGGATTACAGGCATGAGCCACTTCCCTGCCAGAGATGGGGGAAATTTTTAAGCAGTCAGAAGTAAAACAAAATTTAAAAGCACAGTGAGCTCAAAGTACTTAGCACTCATTAAATATGAGATTACCAAGGGAGGTGAAGCAAGATGGCTGAATAGAAGCCTTCACTGATTGTCTTCCTGCAAAAACACCAGATTGAACAACTGTCCACACAAAAAAAGCACCCTCATAACAACCAAACATCCAATGAGTGATCACAATACCTGGTTTTAACTTCATATCACTGAAAGAGGCACTGAAGAAGGTAAGAAAGACAGTCTTGAATTGCTGACACCACCCCTCCCTCATCACCCGGCAGCTGCCGCATGGAACAGAGAGAGAATCTCTGCACTTGCGGGAGGGAGAGTGCAGTCATTGTGGGGCTTTGCATTGGAACGCAGTGCTGCCCTGTCACAGGGAGAAACAACACCAGGCAGAACTCAGCCAGCACCCACAGAAGGAGCATTTAGACCAGCCCTCGCCAGAGAGGAATTACACATCCCAGTGGTTGGAACCTGAATTCCAAAAAGACTCACGACCATGGGTTAAAGTGCTCTGGGGTCCTAAATAAACTTTTAAAAGTCTGTCTAGGACACAAGGACTGCAATTCTAGGGGGGATTCCTGATGCTGTGCTGGGCTTGAAGCCAGTGGACTTGAGCATATGATCTAGTGAGACACCAGCTGGTGCAGCCAAGGGAGTGCTTGCATCATCCCTCTGCCAACACCAGGCATCACAGCTTGCAGCTTTGAAAAAGACTCCTTTCTGTGGTTGGAGGAGAGGAGCAGGAAGAGTAAACAGGACTGTGTATTGCAACTTGGATATCAGCTCAGCCACAGTAGGACAGGGCATAAGACAAGCTCAGCCACAGTAGGATAGGGCATAAGACAGAGTCCTGAGTCCCCCATTTCAGGCCCTAGCTCCCAGACAACATTTCTAGACACCCTGGGCCAGAAGGGAACCCATTGGTTTGAAGGGAATGACCCAGTCCTGGCAGCATTCATCACCTGCTCTCTCTAGAGCCCAAGGGCCCTCAATAATTTGCAATAGAACCCAAGCAGTACTTGCCATTGGCCTTGGGTGAGACTAAGAGACATGTTGGCTTCAGATGTCACCAAGCACCTTTCCAGCTGTGGTGGCTATGGGAAGGGGCTCCTTCTGCTTGAGAAAAGTTGAAGGAAGGATAAAGGGGACTTTGTCTTGCAGCTTAGGTACCGGTGTGGCCTCAGTGCGGTAGAGAACCAAGTGGGCTCTTGGGGTCCCCAATTCCAGGGTTTAGCTCTTGTATGGCATTTCTGGACCTGCCCTAGTGGCCATAGTGGAGCCCACTGCCTAGAAAGGAGAGTCCTATGCTTAGCAGCATTCATAAGCTGACTCAAGAGCCCTTGATCCATGAATGAACATCAGCAGTAGCCAGGCAGTATTGACCATGGGCCTGGGGCAGTGGTGACCAAGGGAAGAGACACCTCTGCTTGAGGAAAGGAGAGGGAAGAGTGGGAAAGACATTGCCTTGGGCTTGGGTGCCAGCTCAGCTGGAGTAAAATAGAGCACCAGGTAGATTCCTAAAGTTTCTTACCCCAGGCCCTGGCTCCCAGGTGACATCTCTGGACCTGCCCAGGACTGGTGGAAACTTGGCACCCTGAAGTAATGGATACAAGCCTGGCTGGCATTGCCACCTGCTGACTCTAGAGCCTTAGGGCCTTGAGCGAACATAGCTGGTAGCCAGACAGTGGTTACCACAGGCCTTTGGTGACACCTGGTGCTGTGCTGGCTTCAGGTCTGACGCAGCACAGTCTCAGTGATGGTGGCCACAGGGATACTTGTGTCACCCTTCTTCCAGCTCCAGGCAGCTCAGCACAAACAGAGAGAGAAGGAGAGAGAGAGAGAAAGGGAGAGAGAAGAGGAGAGGAGAGGAGAGGAGAGGAGAGAGAGACTGCTTGTTTTGGAGAAAGAAAAGGAAGAGAATAAGAGTCTATGTCTGATAATCCAGAGGATTCTTCTAGATCTTATCTAAGACCATAGGGTGGTATCTCTTCAAGTCTGCAGGAGCCACAGTGTTACTGGACTTGGGGTGCCCCCTAATGCAGATACAGCTGCAGTCACCAAAAACTAAATCACAACACCCAAGTTCCTTTGAATACCTAGAAAGCCTTCCCAGGAAGGAAGGGTGCAAACAAACCCAGACTCCAATGAACATCCACAAGCATCAAGACCATTCAGGAAATATGACCTCACCAAATGAACTAAATAAGTCACCGGTGACTAATCCCAGAGAGACACAGATGTGTGACCTTTCAGACAGATAATTCAAAATGGCTGTTTTGAGGAAACTCAAAGAAATTCAAGAGAACACAGAGAGGAATTCAGAATCCTATCAGATAAATTTAACAAAGAGATTGAAATAATTTAAAAGAATCCAGTAGAAATTCTGGAGTTAAAAACTGCAAGTGAAATACTGAAGAACACATCAGAATCTGTTAATAGTGGAATTAATCAAGCAGAAGAAAGAATTAGTGAGTTTGAAGACAGGCTATTTGAAAATACACAGTTATAGGAGACAAAAGGAAGAAGAATAGAAGAGAATGAAAGTATGCCTACGATATCAAGAAAATAACTTCAAAAGGGCAAATCTAAGAGTTTTGGGCCTTCAAGAGAAAATCGAGAGATGAGGGTAGAAAGTTTATTCAAAGGGATAATAACAGAAAACTTCCCAAACCAAGAGAAAGATATCAATATTCAAGTGCAAGAAGGTTACTGAGCAGATTTGACCCAAATAACATTAACTCAAGACATTCAATAATCAAACTCCCAAAGGTCAATAATAAAGAAAGGATTCTAAAAGTAGGAAGAGAAAAGAAACAAATAACATATAGTGGAGCTTCAATATGCCTAGCAGCAGACTTCTCAGTGGAAGCCTTGCAGGCCAGGAAAGAGTGACATAATATATTGAAAGTGCCAAAGGAAAAAGAACTTTTATTGCAGAATAGTATGTCTGGTGAAAATATTATTCAAACATGAAGGAGAATTCAAGACTTTCCCAGACAAACAAAAGCTGAGAGATTTCATCAACACCAGACCTATCCTATGAGAAAGCTAAAGGGAGTTCTTTAATCTGAAAGAAAAGCACCTTAATAAAAAATAAGAAATTATCCGAAGGCACAAAACTCACTAGTAATAGTAAGTACACAAAAAGACAGAATATCAAAACACTGTAATTGTGGTGTGTAAGCTACTCATATCTTGAGTGGGAAGACTAAAAGATGAACTGATCAAAAATAATAATTACAACTTTTCAAGACATAGTACAATAAGATATAAGTAGAAACAACAAAAAGTTAAAAGTAGGGGCATGATGTTAAAGTGTAGAGTTTTTATCAGTTTTCTCTTTACTTGTTAGTTTGTTTATGCAATCACTGTTAAGTTGTCATCAGTTTAAAACAACAGGTTATAAGATATTATTTGCAAGCCTCATCGTAACTTCATATTTGGAAACTTACAACAGATAACACGAAATATAAAAAGCAATAAATTAAAACATGTCATCAGAGAAAATCACCTTCACTAAAAGGAAGACAGGAAAGAAGAAAAGAAGAAAGAAGACCATGAAACAACCAGAAAAAAAAGTAACAAAATGGCAGAAGTAAGTCCTTACTTAACAATGATAACATTGAATGTAAATAAACTAAACTCTCCAAACAAAAGATGTTGAGTGGCTGAATAGGTTACAAAATAAGATCCAACAATTCGTTGCCTGCAAGAAACATACTTCATCTACAAAGACACATATAGGCTGAAAATAAAGAGATGGAAAAAATATTCCATGCAAATAGAAACCAAAAAAGAGCAGGAGTAGCTATACTAATATCAGACAAAATAGATTTCAAGACAAAAACTATAAAAAAAGACAAAGAAGGTCACTGTGATGGTTAATACTGTCAACTTGATTGAATTGAAGGATGTAAAGTATTATTCCTGACTGTTTCTGTGAGGGTGTGGCCAAAAGAGATTAACATTTGAGCCAGTGGACTGGAAAAGGCAGACCCACCCTTACTCTGAGTGGGCACAATCTTATCAACTGCCAGCGTGGCCAGAACAAAAACCAGGCAGAAGAACGTGAATAGACTAGACTGGCTTAGCCTCCCAGCCTACATCTTTCTCCCATGCTGTATGCTTCCTGCCCTCCAACATCAGACTCCAAGTTCTTCAGCTTTGGGACTCAAACTGGCTTCCTTGCTCCTCAGCTTGCAAATGGCCTATTTTGGGACCTTGTGATTGTGTGAATTAATACTCCTTAATAAATTCCCATATATGTATTATATATTATATATCTAATATATATTATATATCAAATATATAATATATATTTGATATATAATACATAATATGTATTTTATATATTATATATTATATATAAAATATATATTATAAAATATATATTTTATATAATATATAATATAATATATATTTTACATATTATATATAATATAAAATATATATTATATTATATATTATATATATTTTATATTATATATATTATATATAATCTATATTTTATATATTTTATATTATAAATTATATATAATATATATTTTAGATATTATATATAATATATATTTTAGATATTATATATAATATATATTTTATATATTATATATTTTATATTTTATATATAATATATATAATATATTTTATATATTATATATTATATATTTTATATATTATATATTATATATTTTATAGATTATATATATTATATATATGAAATATATAATATATATAATATATATTATATATATGATGTATATTATATATATTATATATATTATATATTATATATATGATATATATATTATATACATATAATATATATATTAGTTCTGTCTTTCTAGAGAACCCTGAGTAATACACATTTTGGTACCAACAAATATTAAGGATGGAGTTCTTTTGTTGGTTTTGGGGTTTCTGGAGTTGGCTGCTAAATATGATTAGACCCCAAAATGCTAAGGACTCTACTTCTAATAGTATGGAGAACACTAATAGTCCCTGGCATGAGCTGTTTACAGAGTTATGCAAAATAAGTGCATTTGACACTCCTGATTCACTGCTCATGAGAGGCAAGGAGTTTAGTGACTCTGTACATAATAACTTTGACCATATGTGGAGAACCAAGGAACATAATGAAGTTGGTTGGTTGCTCCTAAGTTCACTGGACAAAGTGATGAAAGAAAATTGTGAACTCAGAGATTCTAACTCCTGGCTTCAGAAGCAGATACTGAGCCTCAAATCTTCTAAGATTGCCCTGAGTATGAGTCTTATCTCCTGAAGAGAAAAGATGAAGCTGTGGAAAACCAGACACAAGCTTTTATCATGCGAGTGGCTGGCCTGCAATGAAAGGTGCATCCACAGCCTTGCCAGGTGTCTACTGTTAAAATGAGGGCATTGATTGGAAAAGAATGGGACCTTGCAACTGGGAATGGGGATATGTGGGAGGACCCTGATGACACTGGGGACACTGAGCTTGTAAACTCTGATGAATTTTTTTTGCCAGAAGAAATAGCTTTCTCATTCCCAGTAGTGGCAACATCCCCTCCCTGACCCACACTCCCATCAACCTTTCCACCTTTGTCTGAGGGGTTAAACCCTGTGCTGCCTGAGGCAACAGTGATGGCCTCCCCTGAGGCAGTTGCCAGGCAATATAAGTTGATTCTCCTCAGGAGCTATCCCCAACACCTCTGTTTGCTTCTAGAACTATAACAAGACTAAAGTCCTAGCGGGCTCCTAGAAGTGAGGCTCAGAATGTGACCATGAGGAGATGTGCTACACTCAAAAAGAACTGCTTGAGTTCTCTAATTTATATAAGCAGAAATCTTGAGAAGAGTCATGGGAATGGATATTAAGGTGTGGGATGATGGTAGAAGGAACATAGAGTTTGATCACGTGAATTTGTTGATTTGGGCCTACTAAATAGGGATTCTACATTTAATGTTGTAGCTCAGGGAGTTAAAAAAGATTCTAATAGTTTGTCTGCTTGGTTAGCTAAAATATAGCTTAAAAGATGGCCCACTGTGAGCGAGCTGGAAATACCTGATTTCCTCTCTTGGTTTAGAACGGGATCCAAAGGTGTAGGGAGATTGGAATGGTGGAGTGGATTAGTCACTTTAGACCTTCTCATTCCAGCTGGGAGGGTCCAGAATATATATCCTTGACCAATGCTTTCTGAAATACATTTGTGAGGGCAACACCTATATCTTTGAAGAGCTCTGTAAGGATTGCTCTTCTAGATCTTGATGTATGCCAGATCTAACAATGGGAACCCCAGTCACTCAACCACAAAATTTAAATACAATGGAAATAACTGGATCCCGAGATGGCAGGGCCAAGTGGCAGCACTCAACCATCAAAGGTAAGGTGGGCATGGCTACCATAATGGACAACAGAGGCAAAGCAACAATCTGAATCGTTTGACTTATGCAGAGCTCTGGCACTGGCTAATTAATCACGGTGTTTCTAGAAGTGAAATTAATAGGAATCCTACTGCATTCCTACTTAATTTATATAAGCAGAAAAATTCCAGTTCAAGTGGACAAAGACTAATTTTAAATATAAAAACAGAGAATCATGGCCCCTCAATCAATATCCAGACTGGAGCCATTTTGTAGACCCAGAACCTCTTGAATGAAGGGGAAGTCTGCTCCCCTTGAAGAAGGACCCCACTATACTACCAACAATTTATGCTATAAATCTTTCTCCCATCCTTCCCCAAGGAGAACTCTGGCCTTTTACCAGGGAAACTGCACTGGGGAAAGAAAGATGATCAGACATTTTGGGGACTACTGGAAACTGGCTCTGAGCTGACACTGAATCCAGGGGTCCCAAAACATCATTGTTGTCCTCCAGTTAAAGTAGGGGTTTACACTGCTCAATGAAATAAAAGAGGTTACAAACAAATGGAAGAACATTCCACGCTCATGGGTAGGAAGAATCAATATTGTGAAAATGGCCATACTGCCCAAGGTCATTTATAGATTCAATGCCATCCCCATCAAGCTACCAATGACTTTCTTCACAGAATTGGAAAAAGCTATTTTAAAGTTCAAATGGAACCAAAAAAGAGCCTGCATTGCCAAGTCAATCCTAAGCCAAAGAACAAAGCTGGAGGCATCACGCTACCTGACTTCAAACTATACTACAAGGCTACAGTAACCAAAACAGCATGGTACTGGTAGCAAAACAGAGATATTGACAAATGGAACAGAACAGAGGCCTCAGAAATAATGCCGCATATCTACAACTATTTGATCTTTGACAAACCTGACAAAAACAAGAAATGGGGAAAGGATTCCCTATTTAATAAATGGTGCTGGGAAAACTAGCTAGCCGTATGTAGAAAGCTGAAACTGGATCCCTTCCTTACACCTTATACAAAAATTAATTCAAGATGGATTAAAGACTTAAATGTTAGACCTAAAACCATAAAAACCCTAGAAGAAAACCTAGGCAATACCATTCAGGACATAGGCATGGGCAAGGACTTCATGTCTAAAACACCAAAAGCAATGGCAACAGAAGCCAAAATTGACAAACGGGATCTAATTAAACTAAAGAGCTTCTGAACAGCAAAAGAAACTACCATCAGAGTGAACAGGCCACCTACAGAATGGGAGAAAATTTTTGCAATCTACTCATCTGACAAAGGGCTAATATCCAGAATCTACAATGAACTCCAACAAATTTACAAGAAAAAAACAAACAACCCCATCAAAAAGTGGGTGAAGGATATGAACAGACACTTCTCAAAAGAAGACACTTATGCAGCCAAAAGACACATGAAAAAATGCTCATCATCACTGGCCATCAGAGAAATGTAAATCAAAACCACAATGAGATACCATCTCACACCAGTTAGAATGGCAATCATTAAAAAGTCAGGAAACAACAGGTGCTGGAGAGGATGTGGAGAAATAGGAACACTTTTACACTGTTGGTGGGAAGGTAAACTAGTTCAACCATTGTGGAAGTCAGTATGGTAATTCCTCAGGGATCTAGAACTAGAAATACCATTTGACCCAGCCATCCCATTACTGGGTATATACCCAAAGGATTATAAAACATGCTGCTATAAAGACACATGCACACATATGTTTATTGCAGCACTATTCACAATAGCAAAAACTTGGAACCAACCCAAATGTCCAACAATGATAGACTGGATTAAGAAAATGTGGCACATATACACCATGGAATACTATGCAGCCATAAAAAATGATGAGTTCATGTCCTTTGTAGGGACATGGATGAAGCTGGAAACCATCATTCTCAGCAAACTATCACAAGGACAAAAAACCAAACACCGCATGTTCTCATTTATAGGTGGGAACTGAACAATGAGAACACATGGACACAGGAAGGGGACCATCACACACCAGAGCCTATTGTGGGGCGGGGAGAGGGGGAAGGGGTAGCATTAGGAGATATACCTAATATTAAATGACGAGTTAATGGGTGCAGCACACCAACATGGCACATGTATACATATGTAACAAACCTGCACATTGTGCACGTACCCTGAAACTTAAAGTATAATAAAAAAAATATAGAGAAATAGTATAAAAATAAAAAAATAAATAAATTAAGTAGGGGTTTATGGAGGTCAGGTAATTAATGCAGTTATAGCTCAGGTTTGACTTACAGTGGGTCCAGTGGGTTCTTGAACTCATCCTGTGGTCATTTCCCCAGTGCCAGAATGAATAATTGGCGTAGACATACTGGAAGAACCCCCACATTGGCTTCCTGACTATTAGGGTGAGGGTTATTATGGTGGGAAAGGCCAATTGGAAGCCATTAGAGCTGCCTCTACCTAGAAAAATAGTAAATCAAAAACAATATTGCATCTCTGGATGAATTGTGGAGATTAGTGCCACCATCAAGGACTTGAAATATGCAGGGTGGTGACTCCCATCACATTCTCATTCAACTGTCCTATTTGGCCTGTACAGAAGACAGATGGATCTTGGAGAATGACAGTGGATTACTGTAAGCTTGACCAAGTGGTAACTCCAATTGCAGCTGCTGTAGCAGATGTGGTTTCATTGCTTGAGCAAATTGACACATTTCCTAGTACCTGGTATGCAGCCATTGATTTGACAAATGCCTTTTTCTCCATTCCTGTCCATAAGGCCCACCAGAAGCAATTTGTCTTAAGCTGACAAGGCCAGCAATATACCTTTACTGTCCTACCTCAGGGGTATATCAACTCTCTGGCTTTGTGTCATAATCTTGTTCAAAGAGAGCTTGATTGATTTTCCCTTCCACAAGATAACACACTGGTCCATTACATTCATGACATTACGCTGACTAGATCCAGTGAGTGAAAAGTAGCAAACACACTGGACTTATTGGTGAAGGATTTGCAGGCCAGAGGATGGGAAATAAATCTGACTAAAATACAGGGGCCTTCTACCTCAGTAAATTTCTAGAGGCCCCATGGTGTGGTGCCTGTCGAGATATTCCCTCTAAGATGAAGGATAAATTGCTGAATTTGGCCCCTCCTACAACCAAGAAAGAGGCACAACGCCTAGTGGGCCTATTTGGATTATGGAGGCAACACGTTCCTCATTTGGGTGTGTTACCCCGGCCCATTTATCAAGTGACCCAAAAGGCTGCCACTTTTGGGTGGGGTCCAGAACAAGAAAAGGTTCTGCTGTGCAAGCTGCTCTGCCACTTGGGCCATATGACCCAGCAGATCCAGTGGTGCTTGAGGTGTCAGTGGCAAATAAAGATGTTGTTTGGAACCTTTGGCAGGCCCCTATAGGTGAATCACAGCAGGGGCCTCTAGGATTTTGAAGCAAGGCCCTGCCATCTTCTGCAGATGACTCTCCTTTTGAGAGACAGCTCTTGGCCTGTTACTGGGCTTTGGTGGAAACTGAACATTTGACTATATGTCATTAAGTTACCATGGCACCTGAACTGCCTATCATGAACTGGGTGCTTTCTAAACCATCTACCCATAAAGTGGGTCATGCACAGCAGTATTCCAAAATCAAATGGAAGTGGTACATACGTGTTCAAGCTCAAGCAGGTCCTGAAGGCACAAGTAAGTTACATGAAGTGGCTCAAATGCCCATGGTCTCCACTCCTACTACCCTGCCTTCTCTTCCCCAGCTTGCTCCAATGGCCTCATGGGGAGTTCCCATCATCAGTTGACACAGGAAGAGAAGACTAGGCCTGGTTCACAGATGGTTCTGCATAACATGCAGGCACCACCCGAAAGTGGACAGCTGCAGCACTATAGCCCCTTTCCAGGACATCCCTGAAGGATAGCAGTGAAGGGAAATCTTCCTAGTGGGCAGAATGTCCAGCAGTGTACCTGGTTTTGCACTTTGCATGGAAGGAGAAATGGCCAGATGTGCAAATATATCCTGATTCATGAGCTGTAGACAATGGTTTGGCTGTATGGTTAGGGACTTGGAAGAAGCATGATTGGGAAATTGGTGGCAAAGAATTTTTGGGAAGAGGTATGTGGATGGACCTCTCTGAGGGGTAAAAAACTGTGAAGATATTTGTATCCCATGTGAGTGCTCACCAACAGGTGAACTCAGCAGAGAAGGATTTTAATAATCAAGTGGATAGGATGACCCATTCTGTGGACACCACTCAGCCTCTTTCCCCAGCCACCCATCATCACCCAATGGGCCCATAAACAAAGTAGCCATGGTGGCAGGGATGGAGGTTACGCATGGGCTCAGTAATATGGACTTCCACTCACCAAGGCTGACCTGGCCACAGCCACTGCTGAGTGCCCAATTTGCCAGCAGCAGAGACAAACACTGAGCCCTCAATATGGCACCATTCCTTGGGGTGATCAGGCAGCTACCTGGTGGAAGGTTGATTATGTTGGACATTTTCCATCATGGAAAGGGCAGCAGTTTGTCCTCACTGGAATAGACATTTATTCTGGATATGGGTTCACCTATCCTACATGCAATGCCTCTGCCAAGACTACCATCCGTGGACTCATGGAATGCCTTATCCACCATCATGGTATTCCACATAGCATTGCCTCTCACAAAGGCACTCACTTTACATCTAAAGAAGTGCAGCAGTGGGCTCATGCTCATAGAATTCACTAATCTTACCATGTTCCCCATCATCCTGAAGCAGCTGCATTGATGGAACAGTGGAATGGCCTTTTGAAGTCACAATTACAACGCCAACTAGGTGACAATACTTTGCAGGGCTGGGGCAAAGTTCTCCAGAAAACTGTGCATGCTCTAAATCAGTGTCCAATATATGGTACTGTTTCTCCCATAGCCAGGATTAATGGGTCCAGGAATCAGGGGTGGGGGCACAAGTGGCACCACTCACCATTACCCCTAATGACCCACTAGCAAAATTTTGCTTTCTGTTCCCGTGACATTACGTTCTGCTGGCCTAGAGGTCTTAGTTCCAGAAGGAGGAACGCTGCCACCAGGAGACACAACAATGATTTCATTAAACTGGAAGTTAAGATTGCCACCTGGACACTTTGGGTTCCTCCTACCTTTAAGCCAACAGGGTGAGAAGGGAGTTACAGTTTTGGTTGGGGAGACTGACCCCGACTTTCAAGATGAAATCAGTCTACTACTCCACAACGGAGGTAAGAAAGAGTATGCATGGAATACAGAAGATCCATTAGGGTGTCTCTTAGTATTACCATGCCCTGTGATTAAGGTCAATGGAAAACTACAACAGCCCGATCCAAGCAGGACTACAAATGGCCCAGACCCTTCAGGAATGAAGGTTTGGGTCACTCCATCAGGAAAAAAACCACAACCTGCTGAGGTGCTTGCTGAAGGCAAAGGGAATACAAAATAGTAGTAGAAGGCAGTCACCAATACCAGCTAGGACCACATGACCAGCTGCAGAAACAAGGACTATAATTGTCATGTACTTCTTTTGTTAAAAACATGTTTGTGCATGTATACACTTGTACTAAGAAAACATCATCATTTTATTTCCTTTTTTTAAAATCATGTGACATAAAATTTATTGGCTTCATATCAGCATTTAAGTATTGTTAACTTTATGTAGTAGCATTTGGGTCGGGGATTGGTGCATTTCTGGTTGCACAACTGACAGTTGTATTATGTTAGGCATAATTATGACCTTATTATTGTCTTTATTTGAAGATTATATATGATCTCAGGAGATTGCGTATGGATTCAAGTTGACAAGGGGTGGACTTGTGATGGTTAATAGTGAGTGTCAATTTGATTGGCTTGAAGGATGCAAAGTATTTTTCCTGGGTGTTTATGTGAGGGTGTTGCCAAAGGAGTTTAATATTTGGGTCAGTGGACTGGGAAAGGAAGACCCATCCTTAATCTGGGTGAGCACAATCTAATCAACTGCCAGCGTGGCCAGAATAAAAACCAGGCAGAAGAATGTGGATTAACTAGACTGGCTTAGCCTCCCAGCCTACATCTTTCTCCCATGTTGGATGCTTCCTGCCCTAGAACATCAGACTCCAAGTTCTTCAGCTTTGGGACTCAGACTGGCTTCCTTGCTCCTCAGCTTGCAGATGGCCTATTTTGGGACCTTGTGATTGTGTGAATTAATACTCCTTAACAAACTCCCATATATACACACACACACACACACACACACATACATACATATATCTACATCTATATATATATACATATACATATATGTATATGTAAATCTATACATATACATATATGTATATGTAAATCTATACATATACATATATGTATATGTAAATCTATACATATACATATATGTATATGTAAATCTATACATCTATAAATATACATACATATATATATATCCTATTAGTTCTGTCTCTCTAGAGAACCCTGACCAATACAGTCACTATATAATGATAACATTTCAAATAGCAAGAGGGCATAGCAACTCTAACTATATTTGCACCCAACACTTGAGCACCCAAATATATAAAGCAAATATTATTAGAGCTAAAGACAGAGATAGAAAATAAAAGTTATAGACTTTAACACCTCACTTTCAGAATTGGATAGATCTCCCAGACAGAAAATTAAAAAGGAAACATTGGACTTAATCTGTGCTATAGACCAAATGGACCTAACAGAATATTTACAGAACATTTTATCCAATGGCTACAGAATACACACCCTTCTCCTCAGCATGAAGATCATTCTCAAGGATATGCCATGTGTTAAGCCACAAAACAAGTCTTAAAAATCCAAAAGCATTGAAATAACATCAAGTATCTTCTTTGACCACAATGTAATAAAACTAGAAATCAACATGAGACTTGGAGCAGATGAACATCCAAACTATATCATGAGAGAACAAAATCAGTTTGAAAACTTAGGCAAAGTGGAAAATTGTCCAGAAAAATGTATCATACTAAAACTGACTAAAAAAGAATTAAAATATTGAATAGTCTTGTTATTATTAAAGAAATTGTGCCAGAAAAAAATTAAAATCATCCTATTTAAAAAATCAGCTTAAATGTTTTTTCAGGAGAGTTCTACCAAACATTCAAGCAACAGATATTTTCCATTATATATAAAATATTGCAGGAAATTTAAAAAGTGTGAATACTTTTGAACTCATCCTTTGAGATTGGCGCAACCGTGATATCAAAATGAAACAAGGAAAGTAAGAGGAAAAAAATTATAGGTCAATTTCATGAACATAGATGCAAGCCATTCTAAACAAAATATAAGCAAGTGAATCCAAGAATGTTTAAAAGGGGTATCTATCATGACCAAACTCTATTTTTCCCAGGAATGCAAGAATAATTTAACATTAGCAAATTCATAAATATCATTTGCCACATTAGCAGATTAAAGGAGACAAACTATCTCAATAGATGCCCAAAAAAAGCACTTGTAAACTTTAATACTTAATTATGATTAAGATCTCTTAACAAACTAGAAGTAAAGGAAACTTGTAAAACCTGATAAATAGTATCCATAAAAGCTAACAACAAACATCATTCTTAATGGTGAAACACAAGAAACATTCCTTTTAAAATGAAGAAGTAAATAAAGATGCAATCACTCCTATTCAACATTGTACTGGTAAAGTGAGAAAAAGAAATAACAATATAAAGTTTGGAAATAAAAAACCAAAACTGTCACATATTCAGATTTTATGACTTTCTACATAGAAAATTCAAAAGAATCTACAAACCATTATTTCTAATATCAGGATATCTCAGTTCTTTATTGCCCTGTAACAAACCACCCCAATATTGTGTGACTTAATAGCGTTTCATTTGTTTGCAGTTCTTTGTGTCAGCAATTTGCCTACTCAGGTGGGCAATTCATTTGCTGGTGCTGCCTGTGGTCACTATATTATCTAGGGATTTGAACTGGAGCTGGACACCTTGGATAGCCTCATTCACACGTCTGGTGATTGATGCTGGCTGTTGGCTAAAAGAGTTCATCTCTGCTCTATGTGGCTAACCCAAGCTTCTTCACATGGTCATCTTAGGAAGTGTTTCAATAGGGAAAAGCAGAAGCCACAAAGCTTCTTAAGGCTTACTCTTGGAAGTTCTGTGGTATCACTTCTACTCTATTCTGTGGGCCAAAGCAATTCACAAGGCCAGCCCAGCTTCAGGGGGCTGGAAAATAGATTTTATTCTTCATGAGACAGGAAAAAAGCATTGTAAATGGATATGCATCAGGATGGTAGGGATTATTGCAGCTATCTTTACAGATAATCTGCAACACAATGTTTAACAAGTATGCTAATAATACATTTAGCAAAATATGTGTAAAATCTATATAGTGTGAATTATAAAACTTTATTAAAATACATTGTAGAAGATCTAAAGTTAAAAAGAGGTACACATGTTCCTGAATATGAAGACTTAAATGTTAGTTCTTTCTATAGATTCAAACAATTCCAATAAAAATTCCACAATATTTTCAAAGAACTTAACAAGCAGAAGACCCAAGAATAGCCAAGATACTCCTGAAAAAAGAAAGGAGGGAGGAGAAACACCCTACCAGATAGCAAAACTTATTATATAGCTCTAGTAATAGATAAAGTGTGGTATTCATGCAGGAATAGACAATAGGTTAATGAAACAAGCTATGTATACATGAACATTTGATGTATGAATGAATCATAGCAGGTCACTGGGATTAAGCAATGAATAGGGCTGGGATAATAGGCTACCATCTGAAAAAAATATATCCCTACATCAAGCCATATAAAATAATCAATTAGCGATAGTTCAAAAATTGTAGTGTAAAATGTTTAAACTTTTAGAAGAAAATATGGAATAATATATTTACTTTAGTGTAGATGAAGTTTTCTTTAAAAGTAGAAAGAATACACTAAACATAAAAATAAATATTAATAACTTTACAGTAAAATTAACAACTTCTGTTATATCATAAAGAAATAAAATATGAGATCAAACTTGTTTTTACAACATCTTTAATCCACAGAGAATTATTACCCAGAATACATAAAAACTCCTAAGAGTTATTGAGAAAAAGACAAATAAGCAATAGAAAAGTGGGCAAAAGGTAGAAGTAGATATTTCCCAGAAGATAAAACCTAAACTGTGAGTAAACCCTTGAAAAGATGCTCAGCTTCATTATTTTTTAACGAGGCAATGCAAATTAGACAACTATAAAATATCACTTCTTCTAGTAAAGTCGCAAAAATTAAGAAGTCCACCAACTGCTCTGAGGACGTGGCTCAAGGACATTGGTACAATTGACTCGGGAAACATCTGCTAATTTCATCAAAAGTGGAATATTTGTACATCTCAAGACCTAGGTATTCTACTCCTAGGTTTATTTTCTAGAGAAACTCTTAACTGGTTATACTAGGGGATATATAAAATAGAGATTCAGAGCAGCACTGTTTATAATAGAAAAAGAACCACTTGATATACTACATATTCAAGAAAAAGACCCACTTGATATACTACAAAGACACTCCTCTGCAAAGAATCATTGCATGTCCTTTCTTCCCAACAGCACCCAATTTTGAGTGAAGCCTCACTTCCCTGGACCCTCCACGAAATCACCCAATCAAAGCCCAAATCCTAGAATAGGTTCTTTCTAACATCTCTCTTACTTAGACATTCCATAGTTCTCCATGGCATGCACTCTCTCAAGCTGCAAGAAGTAAATCAACTTGTTCAACAATAGGTATGTTCCTGATGGTCTTTGACTGGAGGGCATTGACAGGGTGAACACAAAGCACAGTAACAGATCTCCCCTTCTTCCTGGACATGTGAGCAAATGGTTAAATATTGATGTCAGCAGCCCTTGAAATCTCCAACTGGGCAATGTTTAAGCTAGGTGTGATCCATAGTCATTGGTGTCGAGAAAGTTAAGAAAATGTAGGGTTGAGAGTATTCGATGTGATTTTAGATTCCAAGCACCTAAAATCACCCATGATGTTGATGGGACCAGAAACTAGGGAATAGATGCTGTCCAGTGAAGTGGCCTTAGGGTGAGTTTTCCAGCCAGCTAAGAGGAGGTTTTTACTGTCTTCTCTCTTGACTCAATTTCCCTCCAGCTGTTGGCATCTTGGAACAAACTTGAGAATTTATAGATTGAGACCAAGCAGACTCAAGCAAAAAAGGGGAAAAAACAAGAAGGCAAAAAGTGTGAGTCTCAAATCCAAAAAGAGTATCAAGGGGTAGCTGGGACTGGCTATGGCTGTGTTGGTCAGGCATGCTGATCCCAGAACACTCAAAGGACAACTAACACATATCTAGTGTTTTCAGAGAACTTTCATGTCCATTGTCTGTAAACCTCATGCAGACATTTTACAAATGAGGGCAGTGGGACTCAGAGAGGTTATGTGACTTACTCAAGATTTCTCTGCCAATAAGAAGTGGAAGCAGGATCTCAACCCCAGTGTAACTGACTCCAAATCCCACCTGAGTTTATCCCTTTTTCTCCACCAGCTTGGCCAGCAGGAGTCTCAGATTGCATCTTCAGAGATCACAGAGCAGAAAGCCAAAGAAGCCAGGAGCCAGACATTGAAGAGAAATTTCCTCTGGAGGCTTGCTCAGAAGGGCACCTGGTGCTTCCCCTCTCTTCTCCCTCTTACAAGCAACGAAGGGGGAGTTAGAAAACACAAAACACCAGAACTAGGGATGAAGGAAGGCACTGCTTAAACTGGTCACCAGGACAGCACATCACCAGAGCCCCAGAACAGAGCTTCTCTGAAATAGCAATTGGGGCGGCTCCCACCAAGCCACATCATCCCCATGACTCATGCAGTCGGCTCTTCCTTAGTTTGTGGAAATGAGACAATGAGGATGCGGATGCACCAGGTTGCTGGAAATGAGCCCTGCAGTCTCTGGGAGCCATCCAGACATACCCTACTGTTGGGAAGTCCCCTCGGCCACCACCGCATGTCACTCTGAGTGCCCTGGAGAAAAAGTTCTAGTGTCCTGCAGGAACAACTGAGGAATCTGCCCCTCCAATCACCTTCAGGTGTTAGCACCTAGCTCTCCAAAACCTGGGAGTAGGGTGAGGCTCTGCTGAAGGTGATCTCCAGGCACGGGGCATGTGACTGTGGGGCAGGGGACATTCCTCGGGCTGCAGGAGCCTCTGGGGCTCTGTCCCTGCGGTGCACACAGACCGTTTCACCTCTCCTTTCTCACCCTGCTGAGGACGGGGCTAGTGATGGATTGGAATTCCTTTGAGATTTGCCTTATTTTCCCCTGAGGGAAACCTAGCGTCTTTCTGGATTGTGGAGACTGGAGTAAAATCCAGTTGGCATTAAAACATTAGCGAGCACTTAATTAGTGTCCCCAAAACCAATGTAGAAGCAGAGGAGACTAAAAGCAGACTGCTGACAGTGACATTCTTGATAAGCTGATAGTCAGGGAGTCAGACAGTCTTGGAGGCTTTGTACCTGGGAAATCCCAAATTGGCCTCCTGTGCAGTAAATCCTCCAATCCCACCACATCCTTTCCTGTCTCATCCTCAGCTGACTTCAGTGTCACATGAATCTCCCCTTCATCACTCTGGCCCCACAGATCCTTGACCCCATAAACTCGACTCCATTCTGCCTGCCCCACAATAAATACACGTTAGCTCAGCTTTACGGATCACTCATAATGCATCAGGCACTGGATGCCAGTGGTTTTATGCTTTATGTATTTCATCATTACTTTATCCCTCAAGGTAGGAACTACTATTACTATTTCCATTTTACAGAGAACTACTATTACTATTTCCATTTTACAGATTTGCCCAAGGTCTCCACAGAAGCTGATTTCATCCATCTCTGAGCTGAATATGGACACATCCTGTGGGAATCTCCCAGCTTATCCCAGACGCTCTGAGTCCTTCTTGTCTCCCACCCTACTCCACCTAGTGGTCCATCTGCCCCTGGGGAAATGGACCAGGGCGTTACAATCCACCCCTGCTCCACTTCACTCAGCCTCTCCAGCCTGCAGCCCCACTGCCCTCTGTCCTCAGCTTCTTGCTGTGTCCTGAGACTCCCGGGGTTTTCATTCCTCTCTAGCAGGTGGTAAAGGGATAAGGATTGGGATCCAGGGATAAGATTTAAATAGAGGATTAAGGCTCTGATTGGAGTTATGGTTAGTGTAAGGATACACCCACAGAATTTGGGGTAGGAATTGGGGCCAGAGAACAGAATTTGGGATTTCAGAATTAGAGGTGCCAAGGGTAGTGACATTCTGTTCTCTGGCCCCAATTCCTATCCTTCCAGCTCTGCCACTCCATGACTTTCACTCTGCCTATTCTTTAGCCTCTGCAAACTCCCCAGTTTGTAGAGACCATGGTGTTTCCTTGCTCCAGTTCTGTCTTTGTCAGTATTGGTCTGAGTTTGAGAGGAAAGAGGAGGAGTGAAGGAGACTTCTACTTGGCAGGCTGTTAGTCTGTGGCTGGCACCGAAGCCAGGATGGGAAGGGGGAGGAAGGGAGGGCGTCAGCTGGGTTAGGGGCCCTGCAGAGAAGCTGGCCAGGAACAATTGGGAACAAAGGCTGGATACTCTTCCGCTGAGCCCCAGAGCCTGGCCTTGGCCTTCCGGGAACAGCTCCAGGAAATGGCTGAGATTCCAGATTTGGAAGGAAGAGGCCAGTAAACATGAGCTGGGATCTGACAGGGGAGTGTGGCCTCTGTCTAGGTTGTGGGGGAAAGGAGGCAGCGGGCAAGAGCTGACATTGTAGGCTCAAAACCTGCAAGGCCTGTCTGCTACATATATGGACACAGGCTCTTGGGACTGGAAAGACTCTTAAAAGGTCTTTTACTCCAACCACCTTTCCAGGGCCTGAAAAATACTCCTGCCGAGGATCCTCCAATAGTTTCAGTGATGGGATGGGCCTAAAAAGAAATACACAATGTTGGCTCAGCTTTACGGATCACTCATAATGAGTCAGGCACTGGATGCCAGTGGTTTTATGCTTTATGTGTTTCATCATTACTTTATCCCTCAAGGTAGGAACTACTATTATTATTTCCATTTTACAGAGAAGGAAACTGACTTGCCCAAGTTCTCCACAGAAGCTTATTTCATCCATCTCTGAGCTGAATATGGACACACCCTGTGGTAATCTCCCAGCTTGTCCCAGATGCTGAGTCCTTCCTGTCTCCCACCCTACGCCACCTCCTGGTCCATCTGGCACTGGGGAAATGGATGAGGGTGTTACAATCCACCCCTGCTCCACTTCACTCAGCCTCCCCAGCCTGCAGCCCCACTGCCCTCTGTCTTCAGCTTCTTGCTGTGTCCTGAGACTCCTGGGGTTTTCACTCTTCTCTAGCAGGTGTCAAAGGGATAAGGATTGGGATCCAGGGATAAGATTTAAATAGAGGATTAAGGCTCTGATCGGAGTTTTGGTTAGTGTAAGGATACCCTGTAAGAAATCCCCGAGTAGATCATGAGATAAAGCTTAGCGCTGAAGTTAGGGTCGGGGGTTATAGCTAAATGGTCGAGGTCAGAGAGTTTCTCGCCTCTGGTCTCCTCCCAGTTCTCCAAGGCACTGAGGGCCAGGCAGGAAGCATCGGTTTCCTCAAAGCCGCTTCCCTCCTGGGGCAGAGTCTCGGTCACAAACAACCACCACCGGCCCACCCCGCCCCTCCTTCCCTCTTCACTGTGAGCTCAGAGCAGCAGGACAAAGTGCTCGGGACAAGGACATAGGGCTGAGAGTAGCCATGGGCTCTGGAGGAGACAGCCTCCTGGGGGGCAGGGGTTCCCTGCCTCTGCTGCTCCTGCTCATCATGGGTGAGTTGCTCTCCCTCTCCTGGCCCATGCTCCTCCATCCAAGGCCTGCTCAGGGCAGAAGGGGCCTGCTGACTGCCTGCTTCCCTTTTGCAGTGGGGGGACCAGAGATGAGGATGAGGATGATGATGATGAGTGTGTGTAAGTGTATGTGTGTTTGTGCATGTGCGCACACACCAGAGAGAGAAAGAAGGAAAGAGAGACTGAGAGAGAAAGAAAGAAAGAGAGAAAGTAAGAGAGAGAGAGAGAGAGAGAGAGCGAACATGCTATGCAAGCCCTGGCCTGGATGCTGTGCATGCTGGCCCTCTCTCCTCCTAGCTGGCTTGTTCTTTGGGAGGCAACCTTTAGTAGTTCAGATTACAGGTTTTCTGGCAAACTCGCACACAAGAGAAGACAGATGAGGGGTGGGCCAGGAATTTGGGGTGTTGCTGGTGATCAGACTGGGCTCTGCTCCCTTTCCCTCCCAGGAGGCATGGCTCAGGACTCCCCGCCCCAGATCCTAGTCCACCCCCAGGACCAGCTGTTCCAGGGCCCTGGCCCTGCCAGGATGAGCTGCCAAGCCTCAGGCCAGCCACCTCCCACCATCCGCTGGTTGCTGAATGGGCAGCCCCTGAGCATGGTGCCCCCAGACCCACACCACCTCCTGCCTGATGGGACCCTTCTGCTGCTACAGCCCCCTGCCCGGGGACATGCCCACGATGGCCAGGCCCTGTCCACAGACCTGGGTGTCTACACATGTGAGGCCAGCAACCGGCTTGGCACGGCAGTCAGCAGAGGCGCTCGGCTGTCTGTGGCTGGTGAGGCCTGGGAGGGGAGCTTCAGGGTGGGGCAAACCTGGGTGGAGACATCTGAGCTGAATGTTCAAGGGAACATCTGAGAGGTCAGTGGGATACCTGTGAGCAGAGGCCTGGGCTGGAAGGCTTGGGAGGGCAAGCTGGGGCGGGGCTGGCCCTAAATGGGAGGCCAGGAAGGTGGGCAAAGCAGAAGGGGGCAAGAGTGATAAGGGAGAGAGAAGAGGCCTGGGCCCTGCTCCGTGTCACCTTCCATCCTCCCCACAGTCCTCCGGGAGGATTTCCAGATCCAGCCTCGGGACATGGTGGCTGTGGTGGGTGAGCAGTTTACTCTGGAATGTGGGCCGCCCTGGGGCCACCCAGAGCCCACAGTCTCATGGTGGAAAGATGGGAAACCCCTGGCCCTCCAGCCCGGAAGGCACACAGTAAGTGTGGCCCCCTCCCCCACACTTCATCCTGGCCTGGGCAGACCTGGGTACACCCTGATGGACTGACCTGCCGTCCAGCCCCGCATCCTCCGGTAGAATTTGAGGAGGGGAGAGCAGGGGGCCTCAAACTTCCCCCCAGCTCAGAGCCCCTCCCCACATAGGAGACTTCACAGTGAACCTGGCCCTGACAGGTGTCCGGGGGGTCCCTGCTGATGGCAAGAGCAGAGAAGAGTGACGAAGGGACCTACATGTGTGTGGCCACCAACAGCGCAGGACATAGGGAGAGCCGCGCAGCCCGGGTTTCCATCCAGGGTAAGGGCAGGGGTGGGCTACAATCAGAGCCAGGCTGCAGGCTCCAGTTGGGGTGGTGTATTCTGGTTTGGGCTGGGGTTAAGGTATGTGGGGTCAGGGTCAAAGTGCTGGGGGTCTCACGTAGCGGGAGGTTCCCCCCTGCTAGAGTAGAAATCGGAATGCTCAAGACCTGGAGACTCTGGGAGTTTGGGTTCCCTGGGGTTCCTCCCTGGCTGAGGGATGTTCCACGCCTCAGTTCTGTCACTCTGGCCTATAAGCCCCAGCCCAGCCCTATCCTCCCCACAGAGCCCCAGGACTACACGGAGCCTGTGGAGCTTCTGGCTGTGCGAATTCAGCTGGAAAATGTGACACTGCTGAACCCGGATCCTGCAGAGGGCCCCAAGCCTAGACCGGCGGTGTGGCTCAGCTGGAAGGTGAGGACCAGGTGCTAAGGGTAAAAGCCGATCCAGAGCTCAAGAAAGGGCGTTCCTGAGCTCTCTGACCCCCCGCCCTTCCTCGAAACTCCTTCCCAGGTCAGTGGCCCTGCTGCGCCTGCCCAATCTTACACGGCCTTGTTCAGGACCCAGACTGCCCCGGGAGGCCAGGGAGCTCCGTGGGCAGAGGAGCTGCTGGCCGGCTGGCAGAGCGCAGAGCTTGGAGGCCTCCACTGGGGCCAAGACTACGAGTTCAAAGTGAGACCATCCTCTGGCCGGGCTCGAGGCCCTGACAGCAACGTGCTGCTCCTGAGGCTGCCGGAAAAAGGTCAGGGCCTGATCCCTTCAGAAGCCAACAATATCCCCTCTGGCTCCTTCTTATTTGGGGGCCCCTGGACTGTTCTGCTTCAGTCTTGAGGGGAGATTATGGGTCCTACCCTGGGACTCCCTTCTGCCCTGGCCAGGCCAGCAGAGCTTCAAGAGGCTTCTTGTCTCTTCAGTAGGGTTCTGACGCTGTGTCCCCCAGCCCAGCTCCTTTCCCTAGAGTCCTCTCCCTCAGAGCCCCTCATAGTCTCTCTTCCACCCCTCCAGTGCCCAGTGCCCCACCTCAGGAAGTGACTCTAAAGCCTGGCAATGGCACTGTCTTTGTGAGCTGGGTCCCACCACCTGCTGAAAACCACAATGGCATCATCCGTGGCTACCAGGTACCCCCACTAGCTGTCATAGCCCTTCCTACTGCTGCCAGGACATCTCTTTTCTCTGGAGTTCTGCATACCCTTGCTCTGGGCACTGAGAAAGGTACCTGGGCAGAGAAGCAAAGGAAACCTGCTTTTGCTGAGCAAGGACCCACTGGCTTCCAGACCCTGCCAAGCACTTGACCTCCATGATCCCGTTTTACCTCACAGTCCACCCTGGGGTATTATCCCCAATTTACAGACATGGAAAGTGGGGCAAAGGCCACAGGAATAAGAAACAGAGTAGATCAAACCAGGCTGTGAGTCAGGGAGTGGGGCTCAAAGTTTGACTTCTAGAGCAGCAACATCAGCCTCACCCAGGACCTTGTTAGGAATACAAACCCTCAGATCCTTTCCCAGGCCTCATAAATCAGAAACTCAGAGATGGGCCTGGCAAACTGTACTATAGCAGGCCCCCCTGGTGACTTGGAAGCACGCTGTTGTTTGAGAATTGCTATGTTACATGTGTTTTAGCAGCTTGCTTGTGCCCTTCTACTGTTGATCTAGAGAGAGGTATCTCTCACTTGGTAGGGAGAATAGGAGGGGAATAGGAAATTGGGTGCATTCCCCAAGTGGATGGCAGGGCAGAATAACCACACCCCTGGAGTCTGATCTGCAGATAAAGGGCTTGGCTTCTGGGATGGTGCCTGGGGAAGCTGTTCACCTCTGCTTGTGCCTCAGGTCTGGAGCCTGGGCAACACATCACTGCCACCAGCCAACTGGACTGTAGTTGGTGAGCAGACCCAGCTGGAAATCGCCACCCATATGCCAGGCTCCTACTGCGTGCAAGTGGCTGCAGTCACTGGTGCTGGAGCTGGGGAGCCCAGTAGACCTGTCTGCCTCCTTTTAGGTGAGGGCAGTGCCCACAGACCCACCCTACCCTTCAGCCTGCATCCCGCCTTCCTCTCTCCCTGCTCCCGCCTCACACTTCCAGCTCTTCCCCCTTGCCTGCCAGGCCCTCAATGCCTCGACTCCCTCTCCCTCTGAGCTCTGCATCCCATACAGAGCAGGCCATGGAGCGAGCCACCCAAGAACCCAGTGAGCATGGTCCCTGGACCCTGGAGCAGCTGAGGGCTACCTTGAAGCGGCCTGAGGTCATTGCCACCTGCGGTGTTGCACTCTGGCTGCTGCTTCTGGGCACCGCCGTGTGTATCCACCGCCGGCGCCGAGCTAGGGTGCACCTGGGCCCAGGTGAGAGTCTGAGGGGGACCCACATGTATACAGGCCTCCTCAGCATCCAGCCAGAATGGTGCAGGGGCTTTGGATCTCTGACCAGGTGATCCAGCCTCTGGATTTAGCTTTCCTCCTGCCTTCTCCCAGGTCTGTACAGATATACCAGTGAGGATGCCATCCTAAAACACAGGTGAGAGGTGAAAGGGGAGGTCTGAAGTAAGGGAGGGTGGCAAGGGACAGTGGAGCTGCAACAGAGAAGAATGGAGTACTAGTCTACCTGCCAGGGAGTTTGGGACTGTCGTACATGAATCTCTCCTGTAACTCCAACTGATAGTTCATTTCTCTGTCATTAATATTCCTATCACACCACTTGACAGACTAGTAAACTGAAACTCATAAAACCTTCTAAACCCCCAATCCAGGACTCTTGTCACCCCACCTCTCCTGCTGCCTCACCCGCTAGGTGGAGAATAATCAGCATGAGACGACCACCTCAAATGTCTCATCTTATGCGTGCACCCATGGTCTACCAAGTAGTGCCTTTGCACTCAGTAATTCTCTCACTGAGCCATTGTGCCTACATCATAGTCCACCCGCAGCTCCAGCAGAGGGTGTTCAGTGCCTACATCATAGATTCTTCCTCACTGTTCTCAAAAACAGGATCTGCCCATGGGCCCTTCTGCTTCCGGTATATTCGGCTGCCAGAACAAGTCTGCAGTTCTGGGACATCATGCTGATAGAGAACACATCCTTCTTGCTCCCGTTGTCTGAGTTTTGTACTAAGTAACCGCCTCATCTCTCTGTCTGCCTTCTTGGCTCTTTATTTCGCTAGATCTCCTCTGGGAGGCTTCCCACTCCAGGTCTGCATCTATCCACAGAAGTTACTGAGCACCTACTATGTGCCAGCAAATCCAGGCCTAGAGCTGCCATTTCACTGTCAGGTCCTCAGCCCAGAGCAGGGGTCCAAGCTGGCTGGTGTTGTGTTTTGAGTTTTCTGAGCTCACTGGCTTCTTTCTTCCAGCTACCTCCTGGCTTTGTCTGCTCTGCCTTAAGCTTTCTGTGGCTTCCCTAGGATCTCCTGCTCTGTCCTTGAGGGAGATTCCTTCTGATCTTTGGTTCATTCTTTCCTTTGGAATAGCCTCCACCTGCCAGAATCTCTCAGTGTAGGCAGAGACAGGCATGAGGGGATATGAGTGCAATCCTGTATTGGCCACGCAGAAGCAGGTACAAGACACATGGAGGGGGTCAATGTGGAAAAACATAGGAGAAAGAAGATTCCACATTACCCTGACAGTAAGAAGGGGATGGAGAGAAGAGCAATGAAGCAGCAAGTAATAGCCTGCTATGTCCACAGGGAAAGACAAACCATTTGTTCTGGCTCGGGTATAGGGTGTGAGATGGGTCAGAGCAAAGGCTATAGTTAGGGAGCTGGAAGCCAGACCAAGGAAGGTCCTCTTAGCCATGCTAGGTACCTGGGCTCTATCATGGTAAATGAGGGGCCATTGAAGGTCTTACGCAGAGAAGCTCCTTGCTCAGATCCCTGTTCTTGAAGGATCACTCAGGCAGCCAGAGGCCAATATCCATGGAGCAAGCTCCTGCTCTGCCAGCTGAGTGATCTCACATTTCCTCATATAAACCCAGACCATCAGTCTTGAGTGTGGAAGGCCCTATTGCCATCATTTTACAGATGAGAAAACTGGGGCTTAGAGAGGATGTACTTACCCAAGTGCAACAGATGTACTTACCCAAGCTAAGCTGTGACAGATAGAGATTGTCAAACCAGATTTGTCTTCAGGTCTTCTTTTTACCTCAGCATACATAGCTGTCTGTCATTACTACCTCCCAGCTCTGGGTGACTCGGATTTCCCCTCATCCAGGAATAAGAAAGGGGTGCTGGGTTTAGGGGACCAGGTCAGAGATCTTAAGGAGTCTGTGAAAAGCTGAAAAGCAGTAGTAAGGATAAAGCCACCATCTCCTTGCCCTCTTCTGCTGCCTCTGAACAGGAAGTCTTGGCCAAAAAGGTTCTCACTTCTCCCTGTTTCTCCTGGCCTCACCCCCTCCCTCCACTGCCCCAGGATGGATCACAGTGACTCCCAGTGGTTGGCAGACACTTGGCGTTCCACCTCTGGCTCTCGGGACCTGAGCAGCAGCAGCAGCCTCAGCAGTCGGCTGGGGGCGGATGCCCGGGACCCACTAGACTGTCGTCGCTCCTGTGAGCATGCTCAGTGGGGGCAAGGGCCTAGCTGGGGGCAGTGATCTCAGGGATGGAAAGCAGGACATGCTCACCATAATTCCTCCTGTCATTTATGTCACAGTGCTCTCCTGGGACTCCCGAAGCCCCGGCGTGCCCCTGCTTCCAGACACCAGCACTTTTTATGGCTCCCTCATCGCTGAGCTGCCCTCCAGTACCCCAGCCAGGCCAAGTCCCCAGGTCCCAGCTGTCAGGCGCCTCCCACCCCAGCTGGCCCAGCTCTCCAGCCCCTGTTCCAGCTCAGACAGCCTCTGCAGCCGCAGGGGACTCTCTTCTCCCCGCTTGTCTCTGGCCCCTGCAGAGGCTTGGAAGGCCAAAAAGAAGCAGGGTAAGGAGGGGGAGAATAGACATAGACTGAGCTGGTGGTAGGCGGGCCCAGGAATGGGAATGTGATGGGAACAAGGCCTCAAAGCCTGGAGGGGCGTGCAACCTCCACACCCTCCTTCCATTCTCCTCTCCAGGTGGACACAAGACCTCTTTCTCCTACCACCAGAGCACTCAGCTAGGGGTGCAATAGCCTCAGCTTTTTGCACTGTGCTCTTGTTTCAGTTTGGCTACACCAGCAGTGAGCCCTAATTCTGCACTCAATTCAACTCAGCAAACGTTTAATAAGCACCACTGCATGCCAAACATGGGGAACACAAGAGACGTCAGACACAGCCCCTGACTTCTAAGGGCTCAGGGCCTGTCTAACGAAAGTGTTGACTAGCAAACAAGTAATGCTAGAGCCTGGGGGAATGTGACCAGTGCTGGCACAAAGCCTCAGGCTCCCACGAGCTCATCTCCTGGTGTACTATGTACAGGTGTGCTTGGGCACCGACTCCCAACTCACTTCTCAGAGAGGAATGGGTATTTCCTTTCTGGACAGGTTTATCTCCTGACTCCCAGCTGCATTCTTAGACTTTTCAGAGAAAAATAATTATAGCCTCCATTTTTTATCAATTGCTATATACTAGGTGCTTTACTTATGTTTGTTATTTCATTTAATCCTCACAATAGATTGGCTAGCTACTATTTCTCTAATTTTACAGACAGGAAGAGGGTCAGAATGATTGAGTTACTGGTTCAAAATTCTGCAAGTAATTAGCTGCAGGACTCAAATCTGAAGGCAGGATAGTCTGCCTCTGAAGTGATTCTGAGTCTCTCTGGAGCTCCCTCAGGAAATCCTATTCTCTCTTTGAGTATTTTTTCCTATTTCTGGCCTGCAGAACATTGGCCTGCAATCTACCTGCTGTCTTCTTGAGTCTTCTGTACTAATTAGTAAGACCTAACAAATGTTCTACAGCCAAGTCTTTTTTTTAAGTGGATTTAATCCAACTTTTAATAAGACAAAGATGGATTAAGATAATTAACAGCTTGTTCAATATCCAGAATTTTATGACTGTAAATATCAGCGAAGCTGGCATTCTTACCAGCTTTGCCTCAGAGCTATTGCATTATAAATCCTTGGTGGTAACGAAACACCAGCTAAAAAAAAGGTGGAATAGTCTCATTTAAAAAACAGCCTTCCCAGGGAGAACTACACCAACTTTAATGGAATGGATAGCCCCTCTTAGAACAGTAATGCTACTGGAAAGAGGTGAGTGGTTTTCTACAGCCAGTTCTTAAGAAGGGTTCCAATTCTGAGATGAGGCTTCCTAGCCTGTGGTTTAGGTCCTTACTTCACTCCCTGTTTCTCCTCGCTCCAGCCCCATCTCACCACTGCCCCCAGGATAGGTCAACTGCAGCGACTCCTTGGCTGGTAGACACTAGATATTCTACCTCTACCTCCCAGGACCTCAGCAGCAACAAGATCATGCTATGGTCTTCTCCAGACCCATGGAGTTGATTCTACTGCTGTTTCTTCCTCTTCTAAAACTGGCAGGCTCTCCCAGTACCACCCACTCCCCTTGACCTGCTTGTTCCTTTTTCTTATTATTTGGCCTTAGTTGGGGTTTCTTCTCCAGTGCTGATATCCTCACAATTACAGTCTCCTGTCTCTCATCCATCATAGCAGGTTCTTAGTTCTGCTCAGTTTGCCAGATATATGCACTGAATATCCTCATTCATTCATTATTTTATTCAAACAAATATTTATTGCAATTTGACCAATGAGTTTCAACCTTTCACCTTGATAACATTTTTCTTGTCCAGTTTATTCAATTAGAATTGAAACTAAAGTCCAAGTAACTCCAAGCAACATAGGAGGAGGGCTTTTGTTACCAGAGTCCCTTAGAGGAAGTGAAACAGGCTAGGATAAAAGTGGCCTTTTCCAGGCCTGGCTGTTTTCTTTCCCTTTCCACTCAAACCAGCCAACCAACTTGTGCTCATATTTCTGAGCTTAGTCAAGAAGCCAGGCACCAGACAAGACATAGCTGATGATAGCAGAGTTGGTGCACCAACCCTGAAGTTGGCTCCCCAGATTACCTGGGTCATATGAAAGCTATAGAAAATCAATAAAAACCAAACAGCCAAAGTACCAAAGGAAACTTTGACGGAGGGAGTCTAGTCATTGATGAGTTTTCATCCTAAAGGATCAGAAGGTCTGGCCACTAGTACATAAATGGGGTCTTGGTCAATGCCAAAGCCTGGCTCACTTCCCTTCTCTGAAGCTGCCCGTAGTGGCCCCCAGATCTCTGATATGTGACTGACTAGATAGCTCTACCCTGAAGGTCCTGCCTGGTCCCTGGTCCACCAAGAGGGGAAACTCTTTCCTAGCTGGGCTTCTGGTCATGGGACACTAATCTAAAGGCTGTTTCTTTTCTCCTTTGTCTGATGTTCTTCAGGTTCCTGCTCCTGGAAAAATCTCTCTCCTGTATTACCCTATTCCTCTCTGGCTTAAACTTAGATCCCTTTTGCATTCTGGTCTGACCAAGAAGCATGCTCACAGGTCATTGCACATAGTTAGGGCTGTCTCTTTAGTTTCCAGCTTCTCTGTTGTGAAAGTTCACTCAGAGCCCTGTCTCTCCACTGCCCATGTGGGCCAGATGACAGCTTCCATCTTCTAGGTGACTCTTCTCACTGTGTGTTTATATCCACATTTCTGATATCACCCATGCATTCACTCTTTCATTCAACAAAAAGTATGGGCAGGGCATTGCGTCCCTGGGATAGACCAATACCTTTTCCCACTCTGAAGTTCCTCTTCCTATTAGCTGACTGTCTCCTGTCACAGCCAACATTGTGTGTCGATCCCTGTTTTTGTCCTACCCACTCAGCTCAACCTGACAGTCTACCCCATCTTTCAAGTGAGAGACAGTCGAGTTTCCCAGAGCAGGGCTATCCAGAGCCATGTGAGATATTTGCAATGTGAGAAATGGAAATTAATAGATTCTGTCCAAGAAAAGAAGGAGTATTTTTCTTACTGAGCCAAAATTCATGAGAGTAGCAATGTGAGGGTATAGAGATCAGGAAGATTGGAATGAATACAGTCAAGGAAAAGAAAGTTGTTTTTTAAAGCATCTATCAAGGCCAAGAACTTGTGCAATCTGTTTTTACTTAATTGTCAAGACCATCATTCGAAGTGGTTGTTTACACATGAAACTGAGACTCAGAAAGGTACATGGACTGCCCTGAAGTCACACAGCTGAGCTGGGCAGGTCTTTTGACCCCAAGCCTAGTGCTCCTTCTACCCTATCACAGCTGCTGGATGAAGATGGGGGTGTGGAGGGGATTCAGGGGGTTCCCCCTCTTTTCTCTGGGTTCAGGGTCGTGCAGGCTGAATTGAATAAGGCTGAAGATAGAGCCAGCAGCTGGGGTCTGAAAAGTCCATCCTGGGCCCCACAACCACCAACCCTTTCTTTGCAGAGCTGCAGCATGCCAACAGTTCCCCACTGCTCCGGGGCAGCCACTCCTTGGAGCTCCGGGCCTGTGAGTTAGGAAATAGAGGTTCCAAGAACCTTTCCCAAAGCCCAGGTGAGAGGGGGTCCCTGAAAGGGAAGTGAAGGGGTGAGATAGGGTGTAGGGATGCAGGGGCTTACCAGCCCAGGGCCCTCCCACGGGCTCATCCTCCTTTCCCTGAGGAGGCTGATGAGGGTTGGATGGAGTAGTGGACAGGTAGCTAAGGGGGCTGGTGGGCAGGCCGGCAGGCTGAGCTCCAGAGCAGATGGGGATGCCACTGTTCTCACACCCAGGCTTCTCTTCCCCAGGAGCTGTGCCCCAAGCTCTGGTTGCCTGGCGGGCCCTGGGACCGAAACTCCTCAGCTCCTCAAATGAGCTGGTTACTCGTCATCTCCCTCCAGCACCCCTCTTTCCTCATGAAACTCCCCCAACTCAGAGTCAACAGACCCAGTAAGAGGGCATGGGGTCGGGAAGCAGGGCTGGGAGAGTGGGGGTGTGGGGAGTGTGTGCCGGGATTGGACAGGCTGGGGAAGGGGGGAAAGGACTTGAAGAGCTGTAGTAACTACGGTGCCATCACTCTCTCCCGCAAATCAGGCCTCCGGTGGCACCACAGGCTCCCTCCTCCATCCTGCTGCCAGCAGCCCCCATCCCCATCCTTAGCCCCTGCAGTCCCCCTAGCCCCCAGGCCTCTTCCCTCTCTGGCCCCAGCCCAGCTTCCAGTCGCCTGTCCAGCTCCTCACTGTCATCCCTGGGGGAGGATCAAGACAGCGTGCTGACCCCTGAGGAGGTAGCCCTGTGCTTGGAACTCAGTGAGGGTGAGGAGACTCCCAGGTGAGTAGCTTGAGAGATAACCAAAGAACTACAGAAAAGCTGTGGGGGCAAGCGCCTCTCCACCCATTCCGCCCTCCCTCAACTGGGGCTTTTCTGTTACTACAACCCTCATTCCACCCAAACCATTGCTGTCTCCCCTTTTGCCTCTCCCTAGGAACAGCGTCTCTCCCATGCCAAGGGCTCCTTCACCCCCCACCACCTATGGGTACATCAGCGTCCCAACAGCCTCAGAGTTCACGGACATGGGCAGGACTGGAGGAGGGGTGGGGCCCAAGGGGGGAGTCTTGCTGTGCCCACCTCGGCCCTGCCTCACCCCCACCCCCAGCGAGGGCTCCTTAGCCAATGGTTGGGGCTCAGCCTCTGAGGACAATGCCGCCAGCGCCAGAGCCAGCCTTGTCAGCTCCTCCGATGGCTCCTTCCTCGCTGATGCTCACTTTGCCCGGGCCCTGGCAGTGGCTGTGGATAGCTTTGGTTTCGGTCTAGAGCCCAGGGAGGCAGACTGCGTCTTCATAGGTATGTGAGGTCTCCCCATCTTACTCCTCACTCATGCCCCTTGCCTTTCTAACAACTGTTATCATGTCATCATTGTTAAAACAACTAGTTTTATTGAATGATTATTGTATCTCAGGCACTATGATAAGTGCTTTGCATACATTTAATATTGAAAGTCTATGTGGAATATTCTTTATCTCTCTTATCCTAATGAGGAAACTGTAAGTCAGATAATTTTATTGGCTTGCCCAAGTTCACCCACAGAACAAGGACAAATTGTCCAATTCTTTTTGTTTGTTTGTTTGTTTTTGTTTTGTTTGTTTGCCCAGGCAGTGGCATGATCTCAGCTCACTGCAACCTCTGCCTCCCAGGTTCAAGAGATTCTCCTGCCTCAGCCTCCCGAGTAGCTGGGATTACAGGCACCTACCACCATGCCCAGCTAATTTTTTTGTATTTTTAGTAGAGACGGGGTTTCACCATGTTGGCCAGGCTGGTTTTGAACTCCTGACCTCAAGTGATCTACCCACCTCAGCCTCCCAAAGTGTTGGGAGTATAGGCATGAGCCACTGAGCCTGGCCCAAATTGTCCAGTTCTAAAGGCAGCCAACTGTAGGTCCATTTCCCTGCCTCTAGGACTCCCCTCTTACCCCGACTTGAGTCTCCAGGAAAGGTTGCTCCATCCTCTTCCAATCCCATCCTCCTGCCCTGTCCGTGGCTGGGGCTGACGAGCCACTGGGCTCACCTCTGACATTCCCAGCAGAGTGGGACCTTTATCTCCATGTCAGCAGAAGGTAGTACAGGGTCTTGGCTCCTTGGGTGTCCCTTCCCCACATGCACCATCAGATCCCCCATCCCCATTTTACTAACCTTAACTCTATCCTTTGCCCCGACAAAAAAAAAAAAAACAGGCTTGTGGTAAATGGGAGGGCAAGGATTATCCAGGACAGAAGTGCCCATGATGGCAGAAGAAGAATGCCCAGGGAATGGGGATGTGAAGGGACAGTGCAGATAGAAGGCCAGAGCTGGGCTGGAAGGAAACAGTTCAATCACTTCTCCCTAAAGAAACAAATGGATCGGGCCCCTGGGGATGTGGCCTCTGGGACTGATGGGCTGAGTTGGGGTTAGGTTATGTTTAGGGCTGGGTACATGCCCTGAGCTGGTCCTAAGCTTTCTGTACTAAACTGGCCCCTAGGGGCTGAAGGTCAACCTCCCACAGACACCTCTACCCTCCCTGACAGATGCCTCATCACCTCCCTCCCCACGGGATGAGATCTTCCTGACCCCCAACCTCTCCCTGCCCCTGTGGGAGTGGAGGCCAGACTGGTTGGAAGACATGGAGGTCAGCCACACCCAGCGGCTGGGAAGGGGGATGCCTCCCTGGCCCCCTGACTCTCAGATCTCTTCCCAGAGAAGTCAGCTCCACTGTCGTATGCCCAAGGCTGGTGGTGAGTGTCTGTCTTCCTGGCTAATGTGTTCATCTTGACCAGAGGGCCTCTGGGAAGAAGCCAGGAGGAAGCCTGGCACTGGGGAAGGGAGATAAGGAGCAAGGGAGATAACTCCACTGTCCTTCAGCTTCTCCTGTAGATTACTCCTGAACCGTGTCCCTGAGACTTCCCAGACGGGAATCAGAACCACTTCTCCTGTCCACCCACAAGACCTGGGCTGTGGTGTGTGGGTCTTGGCCTGTGTTTCTCTGCAGCTGGGGTCCACCTTCCCAAGCCTCCAGAGAGTTCTCCCTCCACGATTGTGAAAACAAATGAAAACAAAATTAGAGCAAAGCTGACCTGGAGCCCTCAGGGAGCAAAACATCATCTCCACCTGACTCCTAGCCACTGCTTTCTCCTCTGTGCCATCCACTCCCACCACCAGGTTGTTTTGGCCTGAGGAGCAGCCCTGCCTGCTGCTCTTCCCCCACCATTTGGATCACAGGAAGTGGAGGAGCCAGAGGTGCCTTTGTGGAGGACAGCAGTGGCTGCTGGGAGAGGGCTGTGGAGGAAGGAGCTTCTCGGAGCCCCCTCTCAGCCTTACCTGGGCCCCTCCTCTAGAGAAGAGCTCAACTCTCTCCCAACCTCACCATGGAAAGAAAATAATTATGAATGCCACTGAGGCACTGAGGCCCTACCTCATGCCAAACAAAGGGTTCAAGGCTGGGTCTAGCGAGGATGCTGAAGGAAGGGAGGTATGAGACCGTAGGTCAAAAGCACCATCCTCGTACTGTTGTCACTATGAGCTTAAGAAATTTGATACCATAAAATGGTAAAGACTTGAGTTCTGTGAGATCATTCCCCGGAGCACCATTTTTAGGGGAGCACCTGGAGAGATGGCAAGAATTTCCTGAGTTAGGCAGGGATCAGGCATTCATTGACACTCAGGGAGTGTCACACATTTCTGTTCTGCAATTAAAGGGAGAATGAGGTTCATCCACCAAATTTTAAGCAGAATATAGGAAGGGCAGGGGTGGGGAGTTTCAGGGTCTGCTGGTCCTGGCAACTTATATTAAATCCACCTCCTCAAGATAAGCCTTAGGGATATTTATGGCTGAGGGAAGTGGGATGGTCTAAGGCATGGGGAAGGGTGATTGGCTGTGGGGAAAATGAAGTAATAGGTTCATTCTGCCCAAGTGTACTTGGGGTTCATGGCATTTCATAAGGACATTTGTGTAGAAAATTGTTTTGCTGGCTGGGCACGGTGGCTCACGCCTGTAATCCCAGCACTTTGGGAGGCGGAGGTAGGCAGATCATGAGGTCAGGAGATCGAGACCATCCTGGCTAACATGGTGAAACCCCGTCTCTACTAAAAAAAAAAAAAAAATACAAAAAATTAGCCAGGCGTGGTGGCGGGAGCCTGTAGTCCCAGCTACTCAGGAAGCTGAGGCAGGAGAATGGTGTGAACCCGGGAGGCGGAGCTTGCAGTGAGCCGAGATCGCCCACTGCACTCCAGCCTGGGTGAGAGAGAGAGACTCGGTCTCAAAAAAAAAAAAAGAAAAAAAAAAAAGAAAAGAAAATGGTTGTGTTATGATCTGAGGGTGGAGTTTTTGGCCCTCCGATGTCAAAAGGCCACCCCTCGAGCACTTGCAGAGGCCCAGTAGAAAAGTCGGTGGTCTCGATTGGTTTGAGCTGGACAAGAGCTGTCCCAAGTTCCTGAAAAATGACTGTAGCGCCCATTCTCATAGTGACCTATGAATGTTACCTATAAAGTAGCCAGTGAAGGTTGTTTCCACATTCAGCAGCGAGGCCTTCAGCTACCAAAGAAGCTTTGTGCTCCATGGAAAAAGGGAAAAAACAAAAAGCAAGCAGGGCAGGCAGACTTGATCAAATTAACCCCTTGATTTCACCCATCCTGAGGAGAAAACTGCTTTCAGCAGTCCCAGATGGTTTCTTAAAATAGACAAAGCAGCTGAACTCCAGAAAAGGTAGAACCACCTGTCACGGTTGGCTTAGGAACACCCTTCAAAGAAAAAAACAGAACAGAGAGATGAACCTCGAAGCAGGACTTCCAGGGCCTGAGCCACAGGAGGCACTGGAGGGTAGGCAGGCCTGCGTCTTCCTCCCTTGGCGGGAAAGGTCGGGGGCAGAATCCACAAGTTGGTGGAGGGGATGCTACAGAGCATGACAGGGCCACAGGAAGCAGAGCCTAAAAGGGGGTGCTCATCCCTCAAACCCAGCAGCTCTACTTGGAGGCCACTGGGAGTTGAGAGGCTGAATGAGGCAGGACCATGGGGACTGGGGGCTTCCTGAACCACATTAATCAGGACAGTCTGGGCCAGATTTTTGTGATCTCAGGAGGAAGAATCAGTATTCCACATACACATCTGTTCCTCTGTATTTGCTTTTCCTTATCTGGATTTTGTGGCAGTTGCGGGGAGGAGGTTGTTTTGGTTTCTTTTTAGCTTCCTGGTAAAATTCCTTTTGAAAACATCCCAACCCTGTTTGCCAGACTGAAAGGGAAAGAGAGATTTGTACACTCACAGGTCAAAGGGGCAGACGAGGTCAGGGCCTGGGACTGGAGGGCAGCTGCCAATCCCAGAGAGTCCAGGGAAGTCACTGAGTCAAGGGTGGAGCAAGCGAGAAGGAACAAAACCTCAGGTCACCAGTGAGCACACGGGATGCAGGGCAGGAGGTGACGAGGACCACGGCATTCACCACAAAAAAGTCTTAACAGTTCTGTGCCCATCAACCCAATCACATCTGGGCCCACCAAGAGCTGCCCATTTGTACATACCCTCTGTGACGGAGTCAGATGGTTTGAAAAAGCATGCTCTTCCTTCTTGCCTGGGGTTTCTCCCATAAGCTCCTCCTTTCTTTGAGTTTTTCAAAATAATTTTTTGTGAGGGGTGTATTTTCTTGTGGGAAAGTAGACAGACCCCAGAGGAGGGCACTAAAGAAGGGCCTGGCTTGACCTTCCAAAGGTGGAACATGTGTCTTATTACTGGGCATTTGGAAAGTCTCTATGGTTGTAACTCGGGAACAGTGAGCTTCTTACTCCTTTAAGAAGCAGGACGGTACAGTCCCCACCTAGTGTTTTTTCAGTTTTTTGTTTGTTTGTTTGTTTTTGAGATAGGGTCTCACTCTGTCACCCAGGATGAAGTCCAGTGGCACAATCATAGCTCACTATAACCTCCAACACCTGGGTTCAGGCAATACTACTGCCTCAGCTTCTCAAGTAGATAGGATGACAGGTGCACACAACCATACCTGGCTAATTTATTTATTTATTTATTTATTTATTTGTGTGTGTGTGTGTGTGTGTGTGTGTGTGTGTGTGTGTGTGTGTGTGTAGACACAAGTTCTTTCTAGGTTGGCCAGGCTGGTCTCAAACTCCTGGGCTCAAATGATCCTCCTGCCTCAGCCTCCTAAAGCACTGGGATTATGAGTGTGAGCCATTGTGCCTGGCCTAACTTAGTGCTTTTGACGGAGTGGAAGGGGAAGCAGAAGCTACCAGTGTGCGTTGATATACAGGACCCTGCAGTCCCCTTCTTCCCAACCTGCTGCACAGAACCAGACAGACAGGGCCCTGGGCTCTGATCAGACTCTTTTTATTGTTTTGTTTTTTATAAACAAGTCTCAGGTGGAAAAAGAAAGAAAGGGAGGAGCTAGCTCTCTGCCTTCTCAGCCAATTGAAATCGTGGAAACCAATGGGCTTCAGCTAGCCCCACTCATCACTGCTGGGGGGGAAAAGACATCCCTACTCCCCTTCCCCGTGGCACTCATGATATTCTCAATGCCCCAACAAGGGTCATCTTGGTTCCTAGGGAGAGAGAGAGAGATGCTGTTTTGTAAAACCCTGGCCCAGGGCAAACAAGTCCAGGAAGGGCTCAGGCTTTCTCTCTCCTAACCCAGTTCTCCTACGGTGAGCCCAGGCTCCTCTATTATGTGTCATCTTGTCCTCACCCCTTGTCATTTCTTTTGTTTTGTTTGTCTGTTTGTTTGTTTGAGACAGAGTCTCACTCTGTCGCCCAGACTGGAGAGCAGTGGTGTGATCATGGCTCACTGCAGCCTTGACCTCCCAGGCTCAAGCTATCCTCCCACCTCAAGCCCCCTGAGTAGCTGGGACTACAGGAGCATACCACCACGCCCAGCTAATTTTGTATTTTTTGTAGAGATGGGATTTTACCATATTGCCCAGGCTAGTCTCAAACTCCTGAGCTCAAGGGATCCGCCCATCTCGGTCTCCCAAAGTGCTGGGATTACAGGCATGAGCCACCACGCTCAGTCCCCTTGTCACTTCTACAGGATTCCTCCCTCCCCCTCACCCTCTCGATCCCCTCCTTTTGACACTCCTCCACAAGCCCTTGCCCACCTTCCTGTTTTCCATTACGCCTTGGTCCACCCTTCCCTAGTCCTCTGCCCTCATTTTTCTGCAATCTATGGCCCCTACCTCTCGGCGTTTCTGTCCTGGCCTTTGGCTCTGGCTCCGGCTCTGACTCCGACTCCGGCTCCGGCCAGGGCCCCGGGAGCCCCTAGAGCTGCTGGAGCCCCTGGAAGAGTTGCTGCCGGCCGTGGAACATGTGCTGGTGCCCTGGCCCCGGGACAGGAAGCTTGGTCTGCTGTATGGGAGCCAGGCCTCTTCTGCAGCACAAGAGGGAAGGGTAGCCAGGTGCAGGCAGGAAGCAGAACTTCCCTGTCACCCACCCTGCCACCCTGACCACAGGCTCAGCTCTGGAAGAAGATGAAGGGCAGGCACAGGGCTCAGCCAGCCTGGGGCTGAGGAGCAGCAGAGTGACCGGCACATGGCCTTGACATCATGGGTGCTCAGAACGCTGCGGGGGAGCTCCCAATCAGAGGGAGCCTTGTGGGGAGCGGGGACAGAGCACCTAGAGCCCAGTCCTCTTATCTGGGCTTCCATCCTGGGAATGAACACAACTTGGGACTTCAGGGGATTGTGCTCAGAGAGTTAGAGAGACAGGGGAGTTTGATGTGGATCAAATGCATGAACCTAACTAAAGGGAGGGCTGAGCTGGTCTACTATCAGCCCCCAGTCCCAAAGCCCACAGTCTCCTGTGGCAGCAGCCCTCCTGCCTGCCCTGGCCCTGCTTACCATCTGGGTGGAGCACCCGCTGGGCTGCCAGGGGCACGGCCTGGACCGCTTTCCTCTCCCCACTGCGCTCCCGCTCCAGGGAGGACATGCTGCCTGCTGCCCTCAGCTCTAGGGCCCAGCTCGCCTCTTCCTCTGGCGGTGGCAAGGGTGGTGGGGGCAAGTCTGGGGAGGGAGCTGTTTTCAGCGGAGCCTC
Organism: Homo sapiens; assembly: GCF_000001405.40. Lineage (NCBI taxonomy): Eukaryota > Metazoa > Chordata > Mammalia > Primates > Hominidae > Homo > Homo sapiens. Next base: position 124,879,755 of record NC_000011.10, on the reverse strand, counting down.
CTGCCACTCCTGTCACTAATCTTTCTCTCACCTGCATTCCCTGGCACCAGGAGGCTGCCAATGAACAGCCCAAGATTGGGGTTCACCTGTTCCCTCCTCCAGCCCCCAGAGTGCACCCTTGGTTTCCTGCCTATCCCCCCGCCACTACTGTCACCATCTCCCAGGTGCATCCCCCCTCACCCCCAGGACTGTTCTCCCTCCTGTAGGGAAGAGCCTTGGGTTTCTTCCGGAATCGAGCACGGGGTCCTTGAAGTGGGGGAGTCATCTCCCCATTCCCCTGCCAGGTTCTGCCTGCAGTGTTAGGAGACGGGAAGAGGAATGGGTAAGGGCAAAAATCAGGAAAAAGGCCTAAGGGTGAAGGGGAAGCAAGCACTGGAGGGAGCCGGGGGGCAAAAGGAGGTTGTAGAGACTTACCTGGGGCACTGCTGGCTGTGCTAGGGGCAGGACTGGGGCTGAGGTGGGGTGAGGCTGCAGGGCCAGCACCCAAGCCAGCAGGCCTCGCTTCACGGATGCCCAGCATGGGCTGGGATACACTGAGAGGGGAACTCGGCCCAAGGGGCACCCTCCTGCAATGACAGGAGGCCGCAGCCTCTGTTCCCTCCACAAAAACTGAATGCCTACTATGTGCCTGGCACTGTGCTAGACAATCAACCTAACAGATAAACGAGACACAACCCGTCCGCCCGTAAGTCCTCCCAAGCTAGAGAAGCATAAGGAGAGCCATATCTGAAATGTCTCAGGTAGAGTGCTGACCACTCCAGCAAGAGCCAGTCTAATGGGCATGAGAGATCTTGTCAGCCTCCATATTCCTGCCCAAATTACACTTCCACCCTGACACAGCCCTGAGACCTCTGTACCCCAGATCCATCCACCCATCCATCCATCCACCCACCCAGTCATCTACTGAGTAGATACGTATAGAGGGCTTGCAATGAGTGAGGTACTATATACCTCCCTACCTGGGCATCTGATGGAGATGGGGCATGTCAGTTGGGGGCTGGGGAGGGTCAGGAGGTGAGGGTGTAAGAGTGGCTGTGGACTGCTGTCCATAGGAAGGTGTGGGAGAGGGGGTTTCCCTTCGGGATGGGGTGACCAGGCACCCTCCACTGGAGCTGGGCTCCGTCAGGTGACTTCTCTCAGGCATTGGCGGGCACCACTCCTCTGGCTCTGAGCTGGGATCAAAGAGGCAGGAGAGAAGGAAAGGGCTCAGCTGCTTCCATACCTTCCCGTTGGCCTTCCTGCTGCCCCCTCCCCTTCCTCCCCAGCAGCCCATGGTCTGGCCGCAGGTGTGTGGGCCTGGAAGCAGGGAGCATCTCTACCTGCCCTCCAGCTCCTCCTCCGGCCCTTCTAGGCAGCTCAGTTCACAAGAAGGAGGAGGTGGGGGCAGGGCTTCTGGCCAGTTCAGAGAGGGCATCTGCACAGGTTTCCCCAGAAGCTTCACTTTGCCTCCCTTGGCTCCTGAGGAGAATAGGATGGGGACACCCGGAGAACAGGCAGGAAAGAGCCAGAGATGAGACAGGTCAGAAGGAAGTGCCGGGCTAGGTGCCAGAGGGTCAGGGAGGAGGATCCTCTTTGGGGATACCCTGGTCAGGGCTAAACGGGGTTTCAGGAGTTGGAGTCATACCACTGTCCCCCTGGCTCCACTCTGGAGGAGCGTACTGGCTCCAGGGACCCAGATCTCCTGAGGGATGTTGGGGGAAGCCCCCATGGAAGGTCTGCAGCTCCTCCCCCGCTGGGTCAATGGTGCTATAGACAGGACCCTCGCCAGGGGCGGCCGTGCCCCTGGCCGTCTGAGCTAGATACAGGGAGATTCCCGCTTCTGCAGAGAAGAAAGAGGGAGGCCCGGAAGCAGAGACAGAAACATAGAGGACAACAGAATGGAAGACAAAGGGAAATCCCACGGGATCAACTTCTTCCCCCACACAAGCCTTACATCCTAAACCAGGGTGGAGGTAGGTCTGAGAGGCTTCCCCAGCTCACATCCTCCCCAGGGACTGACCAACCTCAGAGAGACCGGGCTCCCGGGCGCCCTTCGGTTTGCCCCAGTAGGTCGGGAGAAGTGCGCTGAAGCCAGGTGAGGGAATGAGAACTCCTCACCGTTGTAATATCTGTCGTCCGGGTCAGGATTGCTAGGGCAGCAGCTTCCCCTGGGTTCCTGGGCCGAGGGGCTTCGAGATGGGTGGGGCCACGAATCTGCCAGCCATGAGTAGGGGGCGGGGCCAAGGCCCATGGGTGGCCTGAGGGAGAGCAGGTGAGCGTTGGGGACGGAGAGCCTGAAGAGGCCAGCAAAGGAAAGGGAGGTGGCGATATTCGGGAGTTTCAGGACAGTGGCGGTGGTGTTGGGGTGGGAGGTGGCCATGCTCCCTCCACCTGGGGCGTCAGCGGGGCGGAAGAAGAGTGGCCTGTCGGTGGAGGTCATCCTGAGGAAATGGGCTAAGAGAATTACCTGGAACTGGCTCCAGAGAGGCCCTCTGAGTGCGGGAAGGACACTGGGGAAAATGAGGGGGCGAATGAGTGAGAGAAGGGCCCGTCCCGGGGGGTCTGAACCCCACTGGGGCAGAGATGGCTTACCTGCCGGTGTGTAGGCAAAAGAGGCTTCCAGAAAGGAACCCGTGGGAGAAAGAAGAGGTGAAATGAGGAGAAGGGTCAGAAATACCCCTATACTTGTCCACGCCTAGGCCCCGGTCCCAGTTCCACCACTCAGGCTGCACCCTGGACCCATTTCATCAGAATTTCTCGGGGGTGGGACTCAGGTGTCGGTATTTTTCTCAAGCCCCTCAAGTGATTCCTATGTGTAGCCAACCAAGATTGAAAACCACTGACCTCAAACACCTCAGAATCTCTCCAGAGACGTCCCTTACTAGGAAGTAGCAGAACTCGGATCGCCTTCTTTCAGCGGGCCCCGCCTTTCCATCCAGACCCCGCCGCACAATTTACTGCCTGGGATCCTGGCCACACCCCCTCTTGCCAGGCCCCGCCCCCCGCCCTTTGAGTGGGCTTTCCGTCCTCGAACTTGCCCCTTCTTTATGGAGATGGTTGCAAAGCCTGGCCTCCTCGTGGCGTCTTAGAGGCAAACGTCATCCAGATCCCGCCCCGTCTTGGCCCGCAGCCCTCCCTAGTCCTGGCAGCTCCTCGAGTCGCCCCACGTATCCCGCCCCTACCCAAGAGGCTGAACTCCAGGTGCGACCCCTTTCTCCCGACCCGGTCCTCACTCGCCAGCGGCTAAGCCCCTGCCCCTCCCCATGGGCCGCCTGGCTCCCTCCCGGATCCGTCCGCTCCGAGGCCGGGAGCTCACCCGTGTAGTGGCTGAGCTCTTTGCGCTGTTTCCGGCGCCAGTAGAGGGCGGCGCAGAGCCCGAGAAGCAGCGCCCCGCAGGCTGCGCCGCTGCCCGCGAGGAAGGCGGGCTCCCGCAGCACCCTCGCCAGCCGCACCGCCAGCCCCGCGCCCACCTCCAGCCCGGGCTCCAGGTCCGGCGGGGACGCTGTGGGGGTCAGAGAAGTGAGGGGAGGAGGGGCCCGAAACCCTGGAACTGGGAAAGGGTCATTCCCGACCCGGCAGGCACAGCTACCCCAGTGGGGGGCTTGCCCCGCCCCCGTCAAGATCCTCAGCACTGCCCTCGGGTGGACTCACGCAGCTGCACCAGCACTGGGGCACTGGGCACGCCCACGCCTGCGCTGGTGGCCGCCGCGACCAGGGTTCGATAGAGGAGACCGGGCACCAGTCCTCGGAGCATTGCGGAGCGTGCCCAGCCTGCTGCAGATCGATTGAGGTGAAAGCGGCTCTCATTGCCCAGGCACCAGATCTAGGGAGGCCGAGTCCCGGATTTAGAGTCAGAAATGGGATTCTTAGCCTCACCGGGAAACTTAAGGCTCCAAATGGTAGAGAAGCCTTATACAGATGTAATTCAACCTGGAAACAACACTTGGAAACCTCTCTCTTCTCCCCTAAACTCATCCCCAACCCTAAAGCCAAACCTGTAATAGATTTCCTCCACCCTAATTCTAGCCACTAGGTCCTCCCTCTCCCTCCCGGCCTGGCCCTCCCATCCAGTCCCTCCTCAATCCCTCTACCTGGTATTCCGTGATGACCCCATTTTGCTGGGAGGGGAGTGGAGGTTCCCAGGACACAGTGATACTGCTGTTGCCATCACCCCCCAAGGCCACCGCCACTCCCTGTGGGGGGCCACTGGGGGCTGGGCCAGGGTGGAGCATGGTGAGAAGGACACAAATAGTCATTGCAAGCTGCCCCTCCTGCCCCAACATTCCCCCTCCCTGTTCTAACATCTTAGGGAACTGAGAGCCATTCCTCCTTCCCACCCACTCACCCTGCTCTCCTCCTGCAAATTTTCATCCCCCCTCCACCTCCACCCCCACCCCTTCTTCCCTCTTGTCCATCCATCTGTTCGGTGGCCCTCCTTACCCTCCTCAGGAATGCTCCTGGTCACAGAGAGGCTTTCAGCCCCCAGCCCCTCCTGGCCTTGGGCTTGCACCTTGATCTGGATTTGGGTCCCTGGAGGGAGTCCTCTTAGCACAGTACTTTGCTGGCTTGGGGACTGTAGGTCCAACATTGTCCAGCTTCCTCCCTCAGGGCCTGCTACCCTCCAAGACACCCGGAAACCTTGCACCAGCTGGACTGGGCCATCCACCTGTGGGAGACAGGACAAGGCACACCAGAAGGGGAGGCTGGGGCCATACAGGCCCTCCAGGCCATCCAGGCCCAGCCCCTCCTCCCACTCATGCCGCCTTCCCCAGCCACTCACCTCCCACTCTCCCATACTCACTCTTGGAGGCCCTCATGTGCCTCATAATCATCCCCACCCTGAATCTCCTCCCCATACCACACTCACAGTCCAGGACACCTGCAGGGTCCGGGGTCCCAGGACTATGGGCTCCTGCAGGCGCACAGCCACTTCCGCCAGTCCCTGCTGGCCTCTCCATGGGTCCTCCACTGGCCTAGAGGGGCTGCTATCTGTTGACCAAGGAACCCATTCAGCAGAGGCCACCAGGGACAGGGAGATAGGGCTGAGAGTGTGCTCGTGTCCTACCTCTGCCCTGCTCCACTTAGTACTCCAGAGCACACCCCATGGTCAGGAGGGGACTGGTCAGGAAAATAGCTTCCAGACATGGGCCTCGGTGTCCAGCTAGCATAATTACACATGCATCCTTTAAAGGCCTCAGTTCCTCATCTCTAAGATGAAGATGGCCCCTCCATGGTCCCTTCTAGTCTTAATAATCTATATTATTATCTATGGGTAAAAGGCTCAGAAGTCAGAAGCTGCCAAAATGAATGACTACCTCTCTCCCTTTCCTTCTTCCCTCCTCCCCTCTCCCTGCCTTCCTCCTCCCTTGTCTCTTCTGTGAGAGGCAAACATGATCTCCTATTCCAGGCCGGGCCACCAGTATAGACCTGGCATAGCAGGAAAGAACTGTATGAACTGCCGTGGTGTCATGGTTTTGGGGGAGAGGGTTGCTTTATGATGTTACATTTCATGCTCATGAGCCCAGGGACTCTGACCTTACCCTGTGTACGGACAGGCTCAGAGACGGGGCTGGGCTCACTGAGGCCCCAGGCTCCCACTGCTCGAACCAGAAACAGGTAGATGGTATTGGGCTGCAGACCGCTGACTGTGTGTGTCTCCAGCTGCACGCCATCTGCCACAGTACGCCATGTGTTGCCAGCTGCTGGGCTACAACAAGAAGGAGATGACAGGGTTGTCTAAGCCAGGAACTCCCAACCTGCCTACTCCATCTCATCCACTCTCTATGAACGACCATTATGTCTTCCCCTTGCAAGAGGGTACTGGAGAATCCCACCTCACAATAGCAAAGACCCTAAGGGCATAGGATCCCCTCCTTTTAACTCTCCAGGTTTGCATTCAAAACTTTCTCCATACCTGAAGGCCTCTATCACATAAGACGTGACTGCAGCCCCAGTTTGTGGGTTGGGCTTCCAGGTCAGGGTAATGCTGTTCTTGGTGATCTCAGTGACCACTGGCTGAGAGGGAGCCCCCGGAGGGGAACTGGGTTCTGTAGGGGGGTCTGGTGATACTCCCCAGTCTTCTGCAGTGGGAGATAATCTTTAAGTAGAAAGATAGGGAAAGGATAATCCTAGTGTAACCTGTCTCCTTACCAGGGGAGCTATGGAGCTCTGAGCTGCGGTGATGGTCAGAGTGGGCTATAGTATATGAACCCCTACTCACATCTGCCTCCCATGGGTACCACTACTGTCCTTCTCATCCTCACCACCGTAACCATGGCATTTGTGACATAAAGTTAATCCCGGAGTTTGAGGAGGTATCGACTACCTGTTGAAGCAGGTTTGGAGGAAGGTATTATCAAAATAAGGGAAGAAAGAAAAAACTCACCCCGCATCTTAAGCCAGCCGCTCCATGTGGCTTCCCCTGTGGAACTCTTGGCCACGCAGCTGTAGAAGCCCATGTCCATCTCCTGGAAGAGAGGGCAGAGCACTGGCAAACTGAGAGTGGAGCAAGATCCAGTGAGGGGGTGGAGGCGGGTAGCAGAAGGATGGGAAGATGTTGGATACTAGGTGCTCTGAGAGAACAGAGGGGTAAAGATGGGGCTACAGGCCCAGTGAGTACTTACTTGTGTAAGGAACGTGGAGCAGATAGCCATTCTCAGCTACTAGGGCCCCAGGGGTGACACTCACCTGCACATTGGCGATGTACAGGGTACCGTTGGCCATTGTCTTGAACTGGAGGTCATCCCCCTGCAGCCACTGCCCATCCTTCTTCCATCGGACACTGGGTTGAGGGTTCCCAGTCACTCTGCAGGGCAGCCACACGGAGGAGCCAAGCACCAGCGTCTGATTGGCTGGTCCCTGGAGGATGACAGGAGGCAGCCCATCCAAAGAGGCTGAGAGAGGAAGAACGTGTGCACCTCAGGGGAGGAGCTTAGGGCCCCGCGGGCAGCCCCTTGTCCTCATTCTCTGCTCCTTCACCCTCCCTACCCCAGCCCCTGAAACTTCCGGTGATCAGAGGGGGCTTTGATAATCATCTGAAGTCTCTGCCCAGGACCAGCCATTATTAGTGGCTTCTGCTGCTGGTTTCCAAACTTCAAGGTCATGCCTCAGGAACACATCTCTCCTCTTGCAGACATAGTATATAGACTCCAAGAGAAACACATCACTTTAGGCCATTATTTCCTCCCAAGCCATGGATCCAGTCCTATCTCCATGGGCACGTACCTCCTTTTATCTCCAGCAGGGCCTTGGCCAGGATGCTGCCAGCCACACTGACAGCCTGGCACACGTAGTACCCAGCATCCCCACGCTGCACCGCGGTGATGTTAAGTTGGCCTCTTGGAGACACTGAGAAGCGCCCCGTCGGCTGAAGTGACTGACTGGGGAAAAGCAGGACCTGGGGACAGAGCAAGGAACCAGGGTAGGGAATGAGCAGGCAGCTGGGCAGGGAGAGGTCCCCATTCCTGTCAATCTCAAAATTCAGAGAATTCCTATGATTCTAGTTCATCGTCTGTCTCCAGCAGTGATGTGAACTTGGGCAAAGTAGTTAAATGTATTCACAAAAACATCAGGGAATTTTATTAGACAATTTCAGAGTCTACTTCCCAGCTCCGTGACTTACTAGTGGGGAAACCCTGAACAAGCTGTTTAACCTGCCTGAGCCCCAATTTCCCAAATTTGACTTCTAGAGGATAGTTATAAAGATCACATGAAGTAATCATATGAAAGTCTTCTAACACGTTGTGGTAAACACATTCCTCTTCTTCCTGCTTGAACAGTTTTCATTCCATAGATCCATGGAAGATAATCCATTAGATTAGACAGGGAAGCAGGTTTGGGTCTCAGGACAAAGGGCACCATGCTGAGACCCTGGGTAACACCTGCTTCACCCCTACTAACCGTCACCCTTTTTATTCATGTGAGAATCTAATTAGAATTCAGCAGTCCCAGGTGCTAGAAAAGATGTTAGAAAATTGTGGCTGTCGATTTGGAATGAGGTAGCAGGTTGCCTTGTTTTCCAACAGAGTGGAGCTCATCATACTTACTTTATCTTGCTGACCCTGTTTCCAGTAGCAAAATTCCTACCCTTCCTTTAGAGAGAGTTATTTATGTGGTAACTTCAGTTAATGTTCATTCTGCTTCTGGATTTTGAGATTTGTTTGCAAGGTTCAAAAGGGATGACTGTGAGCTCTCCTTTGTGAAAGTCCCTTGTTGCTCTTATAAATAGAAGAGCGAGTACTTTTCTACCCTGAGCAGCTTTGGTTCAATACTGTTTCCAGAGCAGTGTGTTATGTCCAAAGCCAAAGCCCAAGGGGTCTAAAGGAGGAGAGATAAACTGAATTTGTTACATCCTCAGGATAGCCTTGCCCAAAACAGAAAGATTCTCTAAGAACCTACCATCCAGGACTGTTCTCCACCATCTAAATGTATTATTATCATTTATTAAAAAGTGTCCCAATGTGTTCCAGGCCTTTTATATTCATTATCTTACTTAATCCTCTCAAATAACCTGCAAGGGTTTCTGGGGGCTCCCAAAGATAAAACAGAAGCCCCAGAGAGAAGTTTGCAGAATGTAGAGGGAGGGAGGCTGAGCCGCAGAGGAAGGCTGATGGGAAGCTCCTTGGAGATGGCCACCCACCTGACTCCCCTCCTTCTGCCAGAAGATGGCAGGTGGGGGGTTTCCTTTGGTCTCGCACTGGAAAGCCACGCTCTCTCCAGGAGCTGCCATCTGGTCCTGGGGCTGGGTCACCAACTGGGGTGGGACTGGGAAGGGCAGGTGAGAAAAAGGAACAGGTAGTCAGAGGCACTAAGAAAGGAGACTGCAGGAACAGGAGAGAGAAGCTCCAGCTTAGCTCAAGTGTACAGGAGCAGATATCCATCTCTTCCTCCCGGCCTGTTTAGTGTTCTCCTCCTCCCACTCCTTGCAGAAGTCTCAGGTGTTCCATCCACATGCCCTTCTCTGCCCTTTCTCCCTCAGTCTCTTGCCAACCATCCTCCTTCTCCCCTCCTACCATTCCTGCTGCAGGCAGTCCCAAGTACAGCCCTCACCGTGAACACTGAGGGAGCCAGATGCTTCAGCGCGGCCCACACTGTTCTCCGCCACACAGGTGTACGTTCCCTCATCTTCGGCACTCACATGCCCAATCCAAAGGCTGTGGTCACTCCGGATCTCATACCTGCTCCACTCCCCACCCCAGGCTGGGTTGGCCACAGCTACAGACCCTTTCTCTCTCCCCCAGGACAGACACCAGGGTCAAGGTACTTAAAGACAGGCAGGACCCAGCAGGGACAGAAGCTGGTTACCCATGGACCCATCAATGGAGGTGGGGACTGGATAGGACTGGGGCCACAGGCTCTAGGGAACAGACTTCTCTGTGTTCTCAAGTGAGAATGTGCCTGTCTTCCGGTTTTCTAGGGCAGAATAGTCTCTTGATCAGGTTGGGTCTTCCTACAGGCAGAAGGGGGTCTCTCACCTGCCTGTGGGCAGTTCCCCATCCTCCTTGCGCCAGCGTAGACGAGGTGGGGGATCCCCCTTCACCTCACATAGGAAAGTCACAGGGGCATCAGCCAGGACCACCTGATTCACTGGTCTGCGCAGGAATGAGGGACGCTCTATGGAGTGGTAGTGAGTGAACAGTCAGGGTGTCTGCACGGCTACTTACTCTGCAGGCTACCTGTTCCCATAATGTCAAAATTCCCTGTGCCTACCCAGTACCATGACTTCAGCTGCCGCACTCTCCCGTTCTCCCGCCATGTTGGAGGCTACGCACACATACATGCCTGCATCGCTCTTGAGTGTATGTGACATCATCAGCTTCCCTCCACGGATCTGCAGAGCAATAATGGTAACTTTGGTCCATTTCAGCTATCACAGCGTATATATATATGGTGAATATATGTGTATATACATATGTATAAAGTTTATTTGATCCTCACAGCAAGCTGATAAAGGAGACCAAGGAAGTTGACCCACATATCAAATGGGAAGTTCCTGGGGCATCATGCCCCCGCCCCTTTTTTATACCAATTCCGTCTTCCTTATCCCTCACTGTATAGCTGACTCTTAGTCTCTGGTTAGCTAATGCCCTGATCTCAATCTCCAGCCTTGTCACCTCCCTACCCTATGTCCCCTCCCTTGTTGGGGTCTCCAATCATAATCCCGCCCTCACCGTGATCCTTCCTTCCTCTTCCTTGAGTCTTGCACCGTCCTTCCTCCAGGACACGGAAGGCTCCGGGTGGCCGCGGGGGGGCACGCATTCCAGTACTGCTGGCTCCCCCACTGCCACCACCACGTTTCCAGGAGACTGCCGGAAATCATCACGGAGGACTGGGCGGGGCGGTGGGGGGCGAAATAAGCAGGGTGTAGAGTGACATAACTGGCTGAGGACACAGGGAAAGTGTTGTCTTGGGAAGGGGTTGATCGCTGCAGACTGGAATTCGTTCCCAGGTGAGAAAATATCAGCCTGGAGTCAGATCCACTTCCTTCTCTGGCCGTGGTGTGGCCATTAGAGATCAAAGGTCGCGGTCCCAAAGAAGGATGCTGAGTGGGCTGAAGTCCTTTGGGGCTGGTTCTGGGTCTGATTGCCCAGTGCCCTCCCGCCTACCCCAGGCTCTGGAAGCAACCAGCTGACGGTCAACTGACTCTCACCTGCCACTTCCAGCGAGGCGTTTCTGCTCGCTGCTGCCCCCAGGTAGTTGCGAGCCACGCAAGTGTAGACACCTTCGTCCGGCCGCGCGCGGCGCCCGTGCACGATGCGCGGGAAGAAGAGGGCGCCGCTGGGCAGCAGCAGGCGGTGCGCACGCGGATCCTCCCGCACAGTGGCCACACGCGCCCCGTTCTTGTACCACTCAATGTTGGGTCGGGGTCGGCCTTCAGCGCGGCAGGGCAACGTGGCGGGCTCGCCTCGGGAGACCAGCAGATCTGGCGGCTGCTCCACGATGCGGGGCATAGCGTCCTCCGGTCCTACCCTTGACCCTGGGGACAGGGGGTGGCGCAGAGCGTTCAGACAGGGAAATTGTGGGGAGAGATTGAGGCTCCAGAGGGAAAGAGAATCCTCTGGTCGTTCCATCTCCTATGCTTCTCTGCGGAGCTCAGTCCCCACCTGCCTACCCTCTCCCTCTGCAGGATCCAATATGTCCTTATTGGCAGACGTTCCGCGTTCCTCGTCTCAAAGGAAGATGCCTACAGACAGGCCGGTTAGTAGAGGGATCGGGACACAAACTTCTAGGCCGGCTTTCTGGACCACCTAGAGACCTCCGTCTCCTCTCCTGCCAAGTTTAAGCGGGAGTGGCTGAACCACGCTTGGCGAGTAGACCGCTCCCTCGCCTCCTGCCCAGTGGTTTCCATCTCCACCTGCACTGGTTCACGGATCGTCCTTGCTCAGTGAAAGACCATAAACCGTGCACTGGAGCCAACAGTTTGTTCTTGACTTCTGCAAGGTCCTGGCTCAGTGAAATTGGGAATGTGGACTGGCTTGGGATCCCTTATGAAAGGCAAGACGGGAGTGACAGGGCCGGGCCTAGAAGGGCTTGTCAACCTGGATTCTATGAATCGGCACAGGGCCCTTCTTACTGACACCCCGGATAATCACGCTTCATTTCAAGGGTCCTGTGAAGTCACAGGAATTGAACGCAAATAGCAGTAGAAATGTTAGTAAGGCTCCTTTTCCTGACAGGTGCATAGTTTCCAATAGATTATTCTACTGATTGATGTTCCTCTACTTCCCCTGTTCACTCCGATCAGTTCATCCACATATTCTGTCCTACCTGTCACTTGGCCTGCAGACTTTGGCCTGTTTCACCTTCTGCAGCACGGTTAGGATCCCGGAGCCTGTTATACTCCGGCACTCTCAGCCCCTAGTCCAGCCAACAAAAGTGGATTTGTAACCCGTGGCGGCCAGTAGGTGCCACTGCAGCCTTTAATAACCTGCTGTAAAATAACCAGGGACCACTTCAAGCATCTGTTCTGCCCCCTGCCCCCTCCCCCTGTTCCCCCCTTCCTACCCTGTTCCAAAATCTGCAGGAACCTCCCGCTTCCAGCCCGCCTGTGAGATTGGGTTTCATTTCCTGCCCCCCCTCTTAGAAGTTCTGTTGTAGACAAAGCTGGACAGGCTGACCCGTGCTGGCGCTGTTCTGAGTTTATTTTAATTGCCTGGAGTCAAGAAGATCGATTTCTGTCCCACTTGGGAGAGTAATTTTCTCCATCTCCTCCCTTCCAAATGGAAATCTCTGCTTTTCACCCTTCTCTTCTCCTCCATCTCCTCCCATTCCCAATTTTGGAACACCCCGTGGTGAGCAACACTGGAGTGATTGAGAGCAAGTGTTGCTGTTGAACCAACCAGGGCTGGAATCTCAGACTTTGACGCTTCCTAGCTGTAAGAACTTGGGCAAATTATTTAACTTCTCTCAGTCTCAGTTTCTTTCTTTGTGATGTGAGAGCAGTGATAGGGTTGCTCTAAGACCATAATGTATGTAAAGCCCTTGGGGGATAAACGTCACTACTCTGCCATTATTTAAGGGCTTGTGTTCCCAGCATATGCACCTTATCTTGGCTCCTACAGTCTCTACCTGAATCAAATTCTACCAGGCCCCAATATTCTTTTTTCCCCTTGGTATAGCCCTCAGGTGTAATGGAAATGGACTGATCTGTTATCGCTAGGTTTTGCTTCATGCTGCTTTTGTGACGATTAGGGCACCATTCACTCTATAAAGCGTTTTCTCGGCGGCAAAATGTGTCTGTCAACACCTTCCTTGCATACCTCACTAAGTTTCGAGCTTAGATGAGACAAAGTATGGTGAAAACACTCTGTAAACGCGCTAGGTGAGCAGAAGCGGGACTCTGCGGGGTGCCAGCGAGAAGGGATCTGTGCTTAACCTCCTGGAAATCTAGGAGGGTCAAGAGGTTGGAGAATCGGGCTCCTCCCCCATCGTCTTTCTCCCCAATCCTTCTATACGGACCACACCCTTCTGGTCGGCCTTTTCCCCCTAATTCCTGTAGACACAGCTGCAGGCGCCCTTTCCCTGGAATTTCCCCCTCTACCCTTCCCGGTCTCAGGAGATGCTTCGACTGCAGCCTAATGAATAGCTAATGGCCATGCTAATGAGGCTCTGGGGCTCCTCCCTCAGCACCTGATGTGCCCCACACATGAACACACACATATTGCCAGGGTCTCCTTTCTCTCCACCTTCGAGTCCCCAGCACAGTGCTCGTCACTAGACTCGAGTGGGTCGAGGCAGAGGGATGGGGACCGCGTGCACCTGGAGGGAACCACACGCGAAAGCGCCCGGTAAAGCGGGGGTTCCCGATGCGGCAGGCAGGGGGCGCGCTCCGGCCTCTCCGCAGGCTGGCGGCGGCCGGCTCCCGCAGCTTCCCCGCGGCGCTAGGGGAGAGCGCGCTGTCCCAGTCATTTATTAATCACCGTAATTAGCGGTAACGACCTCGCCGCCAGCTCCGCCCGCCCGCCACAGCTCTGCCGGGGTGGGCCGGCTGAGAGTCCCGCCGCTGAAAGACAAACTTCTAAGTTTCCTTAAAATGATCGCCGCCCCTATCCCCTCCGTAGCAAACACATCCAGCATTTTGGCTTCCTCTGGTCCTAAGTGAGTTCTTGGGAAACTTCGGGGTTCCGAAGACCAGCTGCCTGGGTGGGTCACCGAGTGACCTGGCTTGGCCGAGGCCGGCGGGAGACTGTGCCCCCTCCTCTGCCCTCCCTGCGCTGGGCCCGGGCCTTTCTTAGCTCGGACTTCCCTGCCCGTTACCAGCAACGGTTCTTCTCACCTGGGGTGGGCGTTGTAGGGGAAGGGAAGGAGGTGTAAAAAGACTCAGTAGCCATCTTCTCCCAAGCCCTCGACCTCCCGCGGGTACCCCCACTCATGTGCTCGAAGCTCCAAATTATCCCTTAGACCCCACGACCCAGGGAGGCGCTGGGAGGCGCCACTCAATCCCGGACCTCGGGACAGGAGCGCTTCTCCTTCCCTTCCACGCCGCCCTCTCACCTCATCCCCATCCCAGGATCCCATATCCCCAAGAGGCAGGGTCTCACCGTTGAGAGAGGGATCGCCGGGAGGCAGCAGGGTGTGGTTGAGCGCCGCCAGCGAGGAGTTGAAGCCCAAGAGCAGCTCGCTGGAGTTGGAGATGTCCCCGGCCAGAGAGTCCGCGAACAAGTTCATCTGCAGCAGCGTTTTCAGCAGGTAGCGCAGCATGGCTCGACCCAGCTGGGATCGGGACTGGGGGCTGGGGGCCCAGCCCCTGGGTCTGAGACCCGTGGGCTGGGAGCCGTAAGCCCCTCCACAGCCTCTGCGCGCTGCGGCAGCCACGGTGCCGCTCTCCTGCCGGTGCGCCTGGGTACGGTCGGTGCCTCTTCGTGCCCTCCTCCTTCCCTCGTCCTTCTCTCCACCCCCTAGTGCCGGAGTCCCCTGGGAGCTGGGCAGGCGGAAAGCAGGTGCCACGCCGATCACGGCGTAATTAAGGGATTAATCCGCCTCCCTCCACCCTCCCACCCTTACCTCTACAGTCACTATCCGAGCAGGAGACACGAGTAGCGTAGCGCGCGAGTTGGAGTCCCCGCCCCGCACCCCAAGCCCAGCGTTCCGTTCTGGACGCGGCGAGAGATTTTCCCTGTCTCAAAGCACCCAAGATGAGGGACGAGGCTCTGTCGGACTCTGCCCTTCTGCCCAACTTTAGAACAGGAATCTGTCCTCTCTTTTCCCGAACCTTTTGGAAACTGAGGCAAAGCGCAAGCAATGCTCCTTGCTGCCAAAGTTCTGGTTTCCATTCCCTCCCAAGTCTAGGGGTTTGGCGACGGAAGGGCAGGAGACTGGGGTGGTTTGCAGCAAGAGTTGGGAGTAGGCAGAGAATTCCAAGACAGGTCCACCTCTCTGCCCTCTGGTCCTTTGGTCTGCAGCCAGGAGGCCAGAGGATGGAGCGGCGCGCCCTGACCCGGGAGTCCTGCTCCAAACGCCCTAATCTAGGAGTTCCTGTAGGAGACTGAAAGCCAGGGAAACCCAGGCAACTGTCATTTATTTGAATCCTTTTACATTACCCTGCTTTGACATTTTTTATTAAATTGTTTTACGTTTTTGAGGAGACTGAAATGGAACCAAGGATTCTAGGACAAAAACAAAGATAATATTATTTTTGTAAAGGCATGTGGGATTGCTGCAAAATTAGTGCAAATCTGTTCAAATCGGATAGCAGTCGTCCTTCCTGGGGGGGGCGAAAAGAAAACCATGGGCCCCTACTCCCACCTCCCACTTCCAGTCGCGGTCTGCTTCTGACTTTTCTGGAGTTCTTTCTACCTGAAGACCCACCTCGACAAACTCACTTTCCTAGACAGGAGATGGCTTTGGGGTATCAGGGAAAGAGAGAGGCCGGGGCATTCCTAACCTGAGGTAAGGCCCTGCTGATTGAAGAGTCAGTGCCAGAGTTCTGGCTCAGCCGTCAGGTTCTGGGATGAGACAACTTTCATGGGGCGACTGCTTCTGACCCCAAAGGGGTCGAGATCAGAGGGGTGGGTGCTATACAGTCGCAGACTCTGGAGTAAGCAGAATCAAGAATTGAAATATTTCAGGCAGAGCTTGTTCAAGGGAACCCGAGACATTGTCAAGGGGTGGGGGGCTTGTTCCAAGCCTCCTTCCTCAGTCCAGGCGCCTGGCTGTGAGCCTCCAACTATGGGTGTTTAGGTGCCTTCCAACCCTAGCAGTTCTGGGCGGGACGTAGAAAGGCTGGAAGCACTAGGTGTGGGGGAGGGGGTAGGTGGGAGTGGGGGTGGGGCCGGATGGACCCCCCACCCCACCGCCACGCAGCGCCCTGGGAGCTGTCCTTTTCAGCACCTCATCTGCAGGTGCCTGACTAGGGCCCTGGAGCCCCCAGGGAAGACATAAATCCGAGCAGACCCTGAGGCTGAGGACTGGGGTAGGTGGGAGACGGGCTAGAGACACATCCTTTCAAAAGCAAGAAGATAATAAGAGATTTGACGCCCCTCCCTTCCTCGCTCCAGGGTGGTATTCAGATAAGAGAGAAAGTAAGGGATGTATTTCCCACCCGAAATCTATCCTTCAGGAATGACCAACACAGAAGTGGGTTCTAATTCTACGTTTGCCAAGTACAAGACGTCACCGCTTTGGATCTCAGTTTTCCCATCTGTTAAGGAGGAATTGGAGTGCTTGATCTACTCTGACCTGTGAGATTCGAGGCTCCGGGGCCCTTTGCTCCGCCCCCTGCTGACCGCGGTCACCTGGGTTCCATCACAGCAGAGGCTGAATCGGGATAGAAACCCCACGTCCTGGTACCAGGCCCTACTCTGGGGCGGAGGGGGCCAGAAACCCTCCCACCATGCGGCTCCTGCCCGGTCCTAATGCCCTGATTTGCTCCCGGCTGGCCTCTCCGCAAACACAGGGCCTGCCAGCGTCTAGGGGCTTGTCACCCTGTTAGCGGATTTGTTCCCGGAGACGGCGCAGTTAATTGGCCCTTTATGTGGGGATCAGGGCGTATTTGCTCAGGGTTCCCTGAGCGGAGGCGCGGCTCAACCCGTGAGCAAGGCTGCTTCACAGTCCCTGTCACGTGGGTTTGGAGGCTGGACAAATAGCCGGGCCACTCTACTTTCCAGGAATCTGCTGTCTCTCCTACACTTCACCTCGTCTGGGCTCTCTCTAATTTTCACTCTCCACTTTTTCTTGTTTCTCTCTGCTCTTTCCTTCTTTGTACTTCTCTTTATCTTGATGATACTCTCCTTTTAAACCAAACTCAGATCTAAGCCAAGAGGGCTGAGTTCTCCCAACTGGGGATATCAGAGAATAAATACCTCCCAACCATAACCTAAGTTCCCTCCCTTTTCCTTCCCATTCTCTAGTGTCCTTACGGCCCTGGGCTAGGCAGAGTGGAGCAGAGAGTGGGCAGAGAAGGCCCAGCAGAAGTCACACCTCCCAGCTCTTCTGCAGCCCTCTCCCCACCTTCTCTTCTTTACTGAGGGTCAGACAGGCAGCCTAGAAACTGGCCCTGCCCCTGTCCACATCCAGCTTCTCTCCTGGCTACCCCCATAGGCAGTTCTGAAAGGGGTTTGCCTCCTACTAGTCTCCTCACTGCCTGCTCTGCTCTCTGAAAATTACCAAGACAACTCTTTGTCCTTTTTCTGGAGTGGGTATGCAACTCTTTGCAACTATGTCCATTTCCTAATTTGTCAACTGTAAGTGCCTGTACAGCACCTAAAACACTGAGTAGATGCCCTGCAATTGGAGGAGCCTCAGCCGGGGTGCATTCATTCTGTTGACTTATAAATTTCCACCTTGGGCTGGAGAAAGAGTCAGAGTTGGGTTTAGAGACCCTCTCTTCTACCACCTCAGGAAACTACTTCTTTCCCAGAGTTTTACCAACAATATGTACAGTCCAGACTTTAGAAAGGGTAAGAAAAAGAAACAGAGGTTTTGAAGGAGATTTGGCAGAAAGAAGAGAGAGTAGCAGGAAGCAGGGAGGTTGGGGCGAGTTGAATTTGTAGAGTTAGGAGCTAAGTTTGTTCTGATAAGGTTACAGCATCTGATGGGAAGAAGTGTGTGTGTGTGTGTGTGTTTGCGTGTGTGTGCATGTGTGGGTTCACAGGTAGAGCCCTAGAAAAGAGCCCTGGGCCAGGAGTTGATGAGGTAATATAGAAGAGGAATATTTCTTTCCTATGGTGGTATTTTGGGTGGGTGGATTTGCAGAGGAACATGGGAAATGGGAAGGGCAAGTGATTATGAGTAAGGCAGGAACCCTACACAAGAGTGGTGTTTTGGGAATCATGAGCCTCTAAAGGAACTCTCCATCCCACCCCCCACTGGTGTGTGAGTGTGTGTGTGTGTGTTCACGTGCTAGGGGAGAGAACAGCTACCCCAGGCTAACTTTCTTGGCCTAGTGCCAGCATATCGGCCAGAGAATGTGGCTGGGAATTTTCAGTGGCCAAGCTGGGGCCATATGGGGAGGCTTCTTGGTGGTCTAAAGCCTGCATGCCGGCTGGTAGTGGATGAAGCTGCTGGCATGTAATTGCCCAGGAGTGCAGTCTGAAGACAACCCCCCATTACTACCACTGCCTCCCCCCAATGTACACACACACTGTCCGGTCCATTTGCATCCCCCCAGAGCCTGTAGCCTGCCATCACTCTCTGCCTGGACCCCTTCCCAGGACATTAATACATATTGAGTGTGAGATTGTGTGTGTGTGTGTGTGTGTGTGTGTGTGTGTGTGTTTGCTGGGAGGGGGACAAAGAAATAACATCTGCCCCTTACCCCCACTAGGGTATGCCTGTGAATGGCCCAGCAGGGCTGCTGGCTTCAGAGTGATGATGCCAGGGGGCAGCGACCCAGCCAGCAGGGGCCAGAGAACCAAACAGGAGGGGGAATCAGAGAGCAAAGAGCAGGCACCCAGCTGGAAAGCAGACAGCAGGAGCCTGCCCCCGGCAGGAGCCAGAGTGTGTTGGCTCAACCCCTATAGCTGCTGAGATAATAAGCCAAGGCCCCCTGCATGAAAGTCCCCCTTTCCCCACAGGGTTCCAGTGGAGGAGACTGTGGGGAGACACTTTGCAACACACTCTACCAAGACTGGAAATCTGGAGACAACTGGGCAGAAATGTTCACATCCCAATACAGATAAAACAAAGTCCAGGGAGAAAAAGAGCTTTCTTGGTTCTTTTTATAAAACTAGATACAGAGCAAGCTTCCATAAATATACACTTGGTGACTATACCTGATTAAATAGTTAGTCCTCACAACTACCCCTGCAGAGCCCACTAGCCTTCTCTCTCTCTCCTTTTGCATTACAGCTGCTGTAAGAAAGTACCAAAAACTAGGTGGCCTAAAACAACAGAAATGTATCCTCTCACAGGTTAGAAGCCTGAAATCAAGGTGTCAGCTGGGCCATGCTCTCCCTGAAGGCTCCAGGGAGGGATCTGTTCTTGCCTCCTCCAGCATCTGCTGATTACCAGCAGTGCTTGGCCTTCCTGGTCTTGAGGATTCATCACTCCATCTCTGCCTCTGTCTTCTTATGGCCTTCCCTGGGTGTGTGTCTCGGTGTCTCTTACCTCTTCTTATAAGGCCACCAGTCATTGGATTAGAGTCCAATTTAATCCAGCATGACTTCACCCTAACTAATTACATCTGCAAAAACCCTCATTTTCAAATGAAGTCACATTCTGAAGTTTTGGGTGAGTAGGACTTTTTTAGGGGGGACAACACATTTAACTTAGTATACCTTATTTTCCTGTATTTCCTTCCTCTTCTGCTCTCTCCATATTCCTGATACTCCCCCAGGGCCCTATTATTTGAGTTTTTAAAATATTCTTGTAATGATAATCATAATGCATGTTCAGGCAAACATATTCAAGCAGTATAAGAAAGTGTAAGATGAAAAGTCTAAGTCCTCACTCCATCAAGTCCTTCTTTATCCTACAGATCCAGTTGCCTGGGTAGCTACCCGTGGTTTCTTGTGTGTCCTTTCTGATTCTTTTTAAAAAGCATATATAAGCATATGTATCTCTATTCCTTTTATTTTATTTATTAATATATTTTTTGAGACAAGGTCTCACTCCGTCACCCAGGCTGGAGTGCAGTGGCACAATCTCCACTAACTGCAACCTCCACTTCCCAGGTGCAAGCGATCCTCCCACCTCAGCCTCCCGAATAGCTGGCACCATAGGCGTGCACCACCACACCCGGCTAATTTTTTTAAAATTTTTTTGGTAGACACGGGGTTTTGCCATGTTGCCCAGGCTGGTCTTGAGCTCCTCAGCTCAGACAATCCACCTGCCTTGGCCTCCCAAAGTGCTGAAATTATAGGCACGAGCCACTGTGCCCATCCTCTCTATTCTTTTAAAGTACAAATTAGCCAGGCATAGTGGCACAGGCTTGTAGTTCCAGCTACTTGAGAGGCTGAGGCAGGAGAATCACTTAAGCCCAGGAGTTCAGGACCAGCCTGGGCAACACAGTGAGACCTTTGTCTCAGATTATTTGTACTGTTCTGCAACTTGCCTTTTTTAACCCATCGATATTTTTAGGGCATCTCTTTCTATCAGTTCATGTATCTCCATCTTTTTTACTTTACTGGCTGGCTAATATTCCATTGCATAGGTTTATTGTACATTTGTAATCAGTCCCCTATTTATGGAAGCTTAGGTTGTTTCTGGCTTTTTGTTTTACAAACAATGCTACTAATAAACATACTACACCTATATCTTTACACACATCTCTAGCTGTAGAATAAATTGTAAAAAGTGAAATTATAGAGGCAAATAATAACTAACAACAGCTAATGTTTATTGAGTGGTTTTATTAATTTCTTCATTCAGCAGATGTTCACCAGGTACCCACTGTGGGCCAGACATAGTTCTGGATGTGCAAGCTACCAGGAATGAGAAAAATCTGAGCACTTTGCAGGCATAATCTCATGTAATGCTCATAGGAACGCTGCGAGGTGGGTACTATTATTTCCAGTTTTCAGATAAGAAAATTATGCCTAAGAAAGCACAGCAAGTAAAGTAACTTTACTTAAGTAACTGCTTAAAGTTACATAGCAAGAAGTATGTGCATTTATATATATATATATACATTTTTTTTTGAGGTGGAGTCTCACTCTGTTGCCCAGGCTGCAGTGGCTCAATCTCGACTGACTGCAACCTCTGCCTCCCAGATTCAGGCGATTCTTCTGCTTCAGCCTTTTGAGCAGCTGGGATTACAGGAGTATGCCCTGATGCCCGGCTAATTTTTGTATTTTTAGTAGAGATGGTATTTCACCATGTTGGCCAGGCTGGTCTCAAACTCCTGACCTCAAGTGATCCGCCTCCCTTGGCCTCCCAAAGTGCTGGGATTACAGGCATGAGCCACCGAGCCCGGCCGCATTTAAATTTTCATATATATCATCAAATTGCCCTTCAAATGGTGCCACAATTGACAGTCCCACAGCAGTGTATGAGAGTCTCTGTCTGCTCACCATGACCAAATATTATGTTTTTATTTTTTACAATTAAATAAATGAAATATGTATTTAATTACTGTAACATATATAGTTAATTCTGAGTGAACTTGAGAACATTTTCATCTGTTTAATGGCCACTTACACATTTTTTCCACGATTTGCTCTCTTGTGTCACTGGGGAAAATTTATTATTTGTCTCATGTGTATATGTTGAAAATTCCCCTCAGTTTGTCATATAATTTTTGACTGAAAAATATTTTACCAGATTTTAGAAAACAAAGTCAAATGTATTAATGTATTTCAATATAGCTTTTCAGTTTGTTTCATGCTTAGACTTTCCTTATGCTAAGATTACAAAAATAGAATCTTTACTTTCTTCTAATAATTTCTAAGCTTTGATATTTTGCATACAGATCTTGGATGCATTTAGAATTTATTCTGGTATGAAGAGTAAGGTAAAAATATAGTTGTTTCTTAGATAAGCAGTTGTCCCTGATTCCTTCACTGATCTGCAGAACCACTTCTCCTATATGCTGAATTCCTATTCATATTCCTAAATGTGAATAGGAATCTGTTCTGTTAGTTCATCTGCATGTTATTCCCCGTGACTGTACTTAACTGTTCAATTATTATAGCTCTGTAACATAGTTTACTATCTGATAGTTTCCCTTCATTACTCTTAATGTTTAGATGTTCTTTGGCTAGTCTTATTTTTTTTTCAGATGTCCTTAATTATTTTTCTATTAAGCTTTAGGTCCTTTGAGCTGGAGCTGCAAGGTAAAATTTTAATAATAATAATAATAAGCAAAGCTATAGGAAATATATATATATATAAAAAATATGTATATATATATATATATATATATATATATATTTTTTTTTTTTTTTTTTTTTTTTTTGAGACAGAGTCTTGCTCTGTCACCAGGCTGGAGTGCAGTGGCCCAATCTTGGCTCACTGCAAATTCCACCTCCCGGGCTCAAGCAATTCTCCTGCCTCAGCCTCCCGAGTAGCTGGGATTATAGGTGCCTGCCATGACAGCCGGCTAATTTTTGTATTTTTAGTAGACACAGAGTTTCACCATGTTGGCTGGGCTGGTCTCAAACTTCCAACCTCAGGTGATTCTCCCACCTTGGTCTCCCAAAATGCTGGAATTACAGGCATGAGCCACCATGCTGGCCTATTTTTGATATTTTTATTGAGTTACATTGAATTCACAGATTAAGAAATTTGACATGTTTACAATATTGATTCTTTCTTTCAAGAACAAATTATAGGCTGGGCATTGTGGCTCACACCTGTAATCCTAACACTTTGGGAGGTCGAGGCGGGCAGATCACGAGGTCAGGAGTTCGAGACCAGCCAGGCCAGCATGGTGAAATCCCGTCTCTACTAAAAATACAAAAAATTAGCTGGGCATGGTGGCGCATGCTTGTAATCCCAGCTACTCGGGAGGCTGAGGCAGGAGAATCGCTTGAACCCAGGAGGCAAAGGTTGCAGTGAGCCAAGATCGCCCCCACTGAACTGAAGCCTGGGCAACAGAGAGAGACTCAGTCTCAAAAATAAATAAATAAATAAAAGAACAAGTTGCTGGGCGCAGTGGCTCACGCCTGTAACCCCAGCACTTTGGGAGGCTGAGGCGGGTGGATCACGAGGTTAGGAGATCGACACCATCCTGGGCCATCACGGTGAAACCCCATCTCTACTAAAAATACAAAAAATAAGCCAGGCATGGTGGCGGGCACCTGTAGTCCCCGCTACTCCGGAGGCTGAGGCTGGAGAATGGCGTGAACCCGGGAGGCGGAGTTTGCAGTGAGCCGACATCGCGCCACTGCACTCTAGACTGGGCAACAGAGAGACACTCCGTCTCAATAAAAAAAAAAAAAAAAAAAAAAAAAAAAAAAAAAGTTATTTGTTGAACATCTACTCTGTACCAAGCACTCTTTTAAGGCGCTGGGAATACATCAGTTATCAAAATAAACAAAAATTCCCTCATAGAGCTTACATTCTAATGGTGCTATAATTTAGCAGGCAATAATAAAGATAAACAACTTAAATATATAATAAGTTAAATTGTGATGAGAAGTATATGGTAGTGGCACGAGAAACTAACATTGAAATGGGGTTCCCAGAAGAGGCCTCATTGAAAAAATGACATTTGAATAAAGCCTTTAAGGAAGTGAGAGAATTAGCCACGTGGCTACCTTAAGAAAGAGTTGTCCCAGATAGATGAAATAGCCAACGCAAAGGCCCTGAGACAGGAGCATAACAAGTGAGTTGAAGGAAAAAAAAAACAGGTGGAGTAGGGTGAATAAGAGAGACATCAAGACTGGGGTAATTACGTAGGACCTTGTATGACATAATAATAACTCTAGCTTATTTTGGGTGAGATGGGATTCCGTGGAGGGAGATTTGAGTGGAACAGTGACATAACTTCACTTATTTTAATAGAGTTTCTCTGGCTGCTGTGCTAAGAACAGACTGAAGAGAAACCTGAAGGGAGGAAGCAGGGGAAGCAGCTGGGAAGCTTTGGCAAGCTTTTGCAATACACACGTAAGTGATGGTGGTGTTTCAGATCAGGGTGGCACCTGTAGAAATGAGAAGTACCTGGATTCTGGATATATTTTGAAAATAGAATTGACAAAATTTTAGTGAGATGGAGAAAGCTAAAGGCGTTGTAGATTCAATGGGTAATATTAGGAACTCGGTTGGGGACATGTTAAGTTAGAGATGTCTGAAGTTCCAGGGAGTAGTCTTGGCTACAGGTATATAAATTGGAGCATCCTCATCATATAAATGACATATGAAACCACAGAACTAGATAAGATCATCAAAGGAAATTTTAAAAATCGACAGGTCCAAGGACTGGGCCTTTGGGTACCAAAACATTTTGAATTTAGGGAGTTGAGGAGGAAGAATAAAGACGACTAAGAAGGGACCAGAGAAATAAAATAAAATCTGGGAGAGTGTGGTATCCTGGAAACTCAGTGAAGAAGGAGAAAGCAAGTGAAGGAGGAGGGAGTGACCAATGGTAAAGTGGAGTAAGACCAACTAGTGTTACAGACTGGATGTCAGTGTCTCCTAAAAATTCAGATGTTGAACTCCTAACCCCCAAAGTGATGGTATTTGGAGATGTGGCCTTTGGGGGTTGATTAGGTCATGGGGGTGGAGCCCTCATATATGGGATTAGTGCCCTTATAAAAGAGGCCCCAGAGAGCTCTCTCACCTCTTCTACCACATGAGGGCACATGGAGAATACAGCGTCTATGGACCAGGAAGCACGTCTTCACCACTGAATCTGCTGGCACCTTGAATCTGACTTCCCAGGCTCCATAACCATGTAAAATATATATTTGTTGTTTTGGCCAACCAGTCTTTGGCATTTTTGTGATAGCAGCCCACGCAGACTGAGACAGCTAAGATGAAGACTGATTGACTATTGAATTTAGTAACATGGATGTCCCTGTTGACCTTGTTAAAAGCATGTTTGGTAGATTGGTGAAAGCAAATTCTGACTGGAGTGGACTTAACAGTAAATGGAAGTACAGAAGTTAGAGTTTTGGTGAAATGGGAAGGAGATTTATAAAGAGATAGTTGAAAAAGAAATGCAGTCAGGAATTTTAACAAAATGAGAGAAACAACCTCATGTTTATGTGCTGACTAAAATTAGGTCATTGAGAGGGAAAACCTATGATACAGAGAAGAGAGGGGAGAGTTGCTGGAACAATATCCCTGGGTAGGAGAGATGATGGGGTCTAGAGCATAACTGAATGGAGTCACTGAGCCAGGACACAGATATTTCATCCATAGTAATGGGACAAAGGATAGGGTGTGGACACAGACACAAGGAGGTGGTAAGATGTGGGGCTAGGAGCCAATGGGAGTTCTCTCCTGATTGCATCTCTATTCTCCATGAAATAGGAAACAAAATTACCAGCTAGGAGTAAGAATAGGTGAAGAGGTGATGAAAGTTTGAGCAGAGAGGAAAATATCTGACAGAGTCAGGAAGGAAAGCAGGACAGTTTACAGCTATAGAAATATAGTAAAATTGGCTGGGCATGGTGGCTCACACCTATAACCCCAGCACTTTGGGAGGCCAAGGTGGGAGGATCACTTGAGGCCAGGAGTTTGAGACCAGCCTGGGCAGCACACTGAAACCCCACCTCTACAAAAAATTAAAACATTAGGCATGGTGGCATGTGCCTGTAGTCCTAGCTACTCGGGTGGCTGAAGCCAAAAGGATCATTTGAGTCCAGGAGTTCGAGGATGCAGTGAGCTGTCACTGCACCACTACACTCCGCTCTGGGTGATGGAGCAAGATCCTGTCTCTAAAATAGATATTCTTAAGCAGCATTAGAGGTCTGCTTCAGGTGAGTGATCATAAATTAAAAGTGAGACCAATGTGCATGGTTTTGCATTTTTCTGCAGGTACATTCAGTTGCTTGGATGCAGGTGAAGAATAGGTAGAAAGTTGGATTCGCCCAAAGTTGTCGGTTAGCCAGACAAGCTCAAAGACATGAGAGACAGGCAAGGAAATTGAAGATGTAAGCAAGAAACTGATTCTGATGATTGACCATGGGAATCTAAACTGAGTAAGGAGATAAGTAGAGCCATGAGTCAATAAATTGCAGGAGCTGCAGTGAAAAGAAAATTAAATCAATGGAAAGAAATTGAGATAGATGGATTGTCTTGGTGTGGCCTAAGATTTGTTGGAATTGGAATACCAAAAGAAGTGAACTGGAAAACATATGAGATAGTGACTAGAAATGAGAATGCCTGAAACTGACATCATACAGAAGTTCAGTTACTGGTTACTACAGTTTACTAGGGTATTACTGCAGGAATGAATGGCTAAGGTAGAGTAGACAACAAGATTGTGGGAGGAGAGGAGGTCACAAAACTAAGAAGCAAGGATATTAGGTGAATTGTCATAGTATGCTTTGAGATAATCAAGAATTAGAGCAGGGGAAGAGTTGGTGAGAGTGAAAGTGAGCTGTTAGGTAAACTCTGCAGGGAACGAGGTGCAATGACCCCAGGAGGAGGTAGTCAGTGGCACTGAGACAGCAGATAGTAGTGTCTTATGACATTAGACTCAAAGATGGGAAGTTTTTAGGGAGGGTGAAGGGGGAATGGTTCAGATTTAACAATGAGGAGCAAGGAGGATGCCAATCCCACTAAGTCCAATAGCACAGTTATGAAAGATAAAACAGCTACCTTGTTCTTATAGACTTTAATATTTTTTAAATTTTCATAATTTAGATCTAGATCACTTCTTGGTGTTTATTCCAATAATAATAAATAATATTTTGGTGTTACAATTGTAAACAGGATCTTTTTTTTTTACTCTTTCTAGCTTCTCTATACCCCTCTTAAGCCCTGAACCCCAAACTGAACATGCCACTCCAGAATTTCTGAGAAGGATTTCATCAACCCTTTACCTCCTGCCCATCTCCATTGTGACTGTCTTAGTTCAGGTTCTCATGAAAGCCTCCTAACTCCCTGCAATCCACCCTCTACACTGATGCTGCAAGGAGTTGCTATATATTTGTTCAACTCCCATGTAGTTAAGCACCTACTAAGTGCCAGACACCGAGCTACATGCTTGTCTCTAATGTTCAGATCTCATCATGTCACTCGCCTACTTAAAAATTATAAAGGCTTCTTCCTGTGTCCTGTAGGATAGACCCACACAGGTGGCACACAAGTTATCACCATAGTCTGGGTGCTGACTGCCTTTCCAAGATCTTCTCCACCACTCCCCACCCCAACTCTACCCCCTTTGGCCATTTTTTTTTTTTTTTTAAGACAGGGTCTCACTCTTTCACTCAGGCTGGAGTGCAGTGGCGCGATCTCGGCTCACTGCAACCTTCACGTCCCTGATGCAAGCAATTCTCCTGCCTCAAACTCCCAAGTAGCTGGGACTACAGGCATTCCTCACCATGACCGGCAAATGTTTGTATTTTTAGTAGAGATGGGGTTCCACCATGTTGTCCAGGCTGGTCTCAAACTCCTGACTTCAGGTGATCCACCAGCCTCCGCCTTCCAAAGTGCTGGAATCACAAGTGTGAGCCACTGCAACCGACCCCTCTTTGGGTGTCTATATTCCAGCACCAAACCAACTTTTTTTCTTGACTGTGTGGTACCCTTTGTACTTCCATGCCTCGGCTCTTGCTACTCCCTCTTCCTGAAATGCCATCTCCTCTCCATTCTCCACCTTCTGAATTGCTTTTATTCTAGCATCCAGCTTCAGTTAACTAACTAGTGACTCTTTCCTGACCCACTCAGACTGCATGGTCCTCCCAGAACACTTGGTTTATTTCCCTCCTGTATAACTTGATAAGCAGTGTTTTGATTGCTTGCTTACATGTATATTTTCCCCATAAGCTTCAAGTTCCCCGTAGAGTGCAGGGATTGTATCTTATTTGTATTTTATCCCTGGTGCCTAACACAATGTGTGGTTTATAGTAGGTGTTCATTTAACATTAACAAAGATATGAATTTTAATATATAACATGAGTGTGAAGTTGCTATTGTGAGGGCTGTTCTAAGTGCTGTACATGTATTCATCCATGTCAAAAGACAAAATTACCAAAAACAAATAGTTTAAAGATCTTAACTGGCTTTTATTTGAGGTTCTAGAATTGGGTGACACCTCATTCTATAAAATAGAATGAGTCTTCTGATGAGCCGAGCAGAGGAGGTTGATTTATAGACACAAAGGGGCTGAGGAAAGCAGAAGCAGAAAATTAAAAAGCAGATTGATCTTTTCAACATAACTTTTCTTGTAAAGGTGAAAGCAGAGGGGACTTCCTTATCACATCTGCTAAAACTGGTCGGTTGGGGATTTGGCTATTACCTGTCTCTCTCTCCCCACTGATTTCTTGGAAAGTTAGATGAAGACCTTAGTTTTGGCTGGTGTTGGGGAACTTCAGCCTGAGTAATTGCATTTTGGTTTGGTCTGTTGGTTCTAGTGCAGGAGCTCAGTCCAAATCAATGGCCTCCTATACATTTTATTTAACATGCATTTAATTTTCCAAATAACTCTAAGACTAGGACTAATTATTATCCACATTTTGGCCAGGCGTGGTGGCTTACTCCTGTAATCCCAGCACTTTGGGAGGCCAAGGTAGGCAGATCTCTTGAGGTCAGGAGTTCGAGACCAGTCTGGCCAACATGGTTAAACCTCGTCTCTACTAAAAATGGAAGTAGCTGTAATCCCAGCTACTTCAGAGGCTGAGGCAAGAAAATTGCGTGAACCTGGGAGGTGGAGGTTGCAGTGAGCTAAGATCAGGCCACTGCACTCCAGCCTGGGCGACAGAGCGAGACTCCATTTCAAAAAAAAAAAAAAGAAAGAAAAGAAAAAGAAAACAGAAACAAAAAATATCCACATTATATAGATAAGGAGACTTAGGCACAGAGTGGCTAAACAACTTGCCCAAAGTTACTTGGCTGTGACATAGAACATCCAGGATTTAAACTCAGGCTGACTGTACACTTGTATGCTTACTCAATACTGTATACCACATCTCTGTGAAAGACCTGCATCCGTATAGCAGGTATAGCAGAAGGAAGACTCCCCCTACTCCCCCTTCCACACACATTCTACTTTTATGTATGTTTCTTGTAACAGAATGACTCCTACTATTATATTACTGAGTGTAGTCCACTAAGACCTCTGGATCTTTTTCCGTCGTTCTGTTTTTATTTCCTAAATCCCTTAGTCCCTCGCACCTATCCACATTAAACCTGGTACTCTTTGTGTTTGCTCTTTTGCTCTCCTTTTTTTTAAAAAAAAAAAATTTCAGCTTTAATTTCAAACTCTTTTTGTGTGGCAGAAGTTTATTTTTTTAACTGAGGTAAAATACACATAATTTACCATCTTTACCATTTTTAAGTGTACAGTTCAGTGGTCATAAATATATTTCTATTTATATCCTTTTTTTCCCCTTTCATTCACTTCCTGCCCACTTCCCAGCCTCTGGTAACCACCAATCCACTCTGTATCTTCATGAGATCAACTTCTTTAGCTCCCACAAATCAGTGAGAACATGTGAGATTTGTCTTTCCGTACTTGGCTTATTTCACTTAATATAACGGCCTCCAGTTCCCTACATGTTGTTGCAAATGACAGGGTTTTTTTCTTTTTTATGGCTGAATAATATCCCATTGTGTATATGTACCACATTTCCTTTATTCATTCTTCCACTGTTGGCGACTTAGGTTGATTCCGTATTTTGGCTATTGTGAATAGTGCTGCAATAAACATGGGAGTGCAGGCATCTGGTTGTATATTGCTTTCCTTTCTTTTGGAATATATACACACACACACACATGCACACACACGGTAGTGTTATTTTTCGTTTTGTGAGGAACTTCCATACTGTTCTTCATAGTAGCTGTACTAATTTGCATTCCAACCAACAGTGTATGAGTGTTCCGCTTTCTCCACATCCTCACCGGTATGTTATTGCTTGTCTTTTTGATACAAGCCATTTTAACTGGGGTAAGATGATAATGAATTGTGGTTTGGGTTTGCGTTTCTCTGATGATTAGTGACGTTGAAAATTTTTTCATATACCCATTGACCATTTGTATGTCTTCTTTTGAGAAGTGTCTGTTCAGATCTTTTGCCCATTTGAAAATCAGATTATTTGGTTTTCTTTTTCTATTGAGATCTTGAACTATATATTCTGGTTAGTAATCTCTTGTCAGCTGGCTAGTTGGCAAATATTTTCTCCAATTCTGTGGGCTGTCTTTTCACTTTGTTGATTGTTTCCTTTGCTGTGCAAAAGCTTTTTAGTTTGATGTAATCCCAGTTGTCTATTTTTGCTTCGGTTGACCACGCTTTTGATGTCTTACACAAAAAGTCTTTGCTGAGACCAATATCCTAGAGCATTTCCCCAAAGTTTTCTTCCGGTAGTTTCATAGTTTTAGGTCTTTAATCAATTTTGATTTGATTTTTGTGTAGGGTGAGAGATAGGGACCTAGTTTCATTCTTCTGCATATAGATATCCAGTCTCCCCAGCATAATTTATTGAAAGAACTGTCCTTTCTCCATTGTATATTCTTTGCACCTTTGTAGAAAATAAGTTGGTTATAAACACATGGATTTATATCAGAGTTTTCTATGCTGTTTCATTGGGCTATGTGTCTGTTTTTTTATGCCAGTACCATGCTGTTTTAGTTACCATAGTTCTGTATTAAACTTTGAAGTCCAATATGGTAGTATGATGCCTCCAGCTTCGTTGTTGTTTTTAGAATCTGGGTCCCTGTCATCCAGGCTGGAGAGCGGTGGCACAATTATGGATCACTGCAGCCTCAAACTCCTGGGCTCAAGGGATCCTCCCGCCTCAGCCTCTCAAATGGCTAGGATTACAGGCTTGTGCCGCCATGCCTGGGTTTTTTTTTTCTTTTTTGTAGAGAGGGGGGTCTCACTGTGCTGCTCAGGCTGGGCTCAAACTCAAATTCCTGGCCTCAAGTGACCCTCCAGCTTTGACCTTCCAAAGCACTGAGATTACAGACATGAGCCACTGCTCCCGGCCCTGTTCTTTTGCTCAGGATTGCTTTGGCTTTTCAAAATCTTTTGTGGTTCTATAAAAGTTTTAGAATTTTTTTTTTATTTCTATGAAGCATGTCATTAGTATTTTGATAGGGATTACTGTATTTGCCATTTCTTTAATTCCTGACACTTTTTCAGTCTCCAGAAAGTCAGAAATCCACTCTGTTCTTTATTTCTCTCTGTCTTCATCTCTCTCCTCTCTCTCCCTTTCTCTCCCGCATCCCTCCTCCCCACCACCCCTCGCCCCCATTTTTTCTCTCTCTTTCTCTGTAGGTGAGGATCAAATTCACAAAGTAAGGGACCAATTGAGATCTTCAAATCCCCTACATCCTACAGAGGATGTCCCACTTTTCAATTAAAGAGGAATATTCCCATGTCTCTAATGATTTCCATTCAGAGGGAAATGCTTTTGTGTTAAATGCATATATGAAAGGTTTTCCACCTGACATCACTGAGTCTTTATCGCTTTGTTTCTATGTGCTTGTGTGCGTTCCTAGATTTGTTTGTATTCATTGAATATTGGACCTTTCTCCACTATCTGCAGGGATCTCTTGACCCTAAAGTCCCTCATTCCACTGCCTCACATTCATCTTTAGCCTCCACTGCCTCACACTGAGCCCCTGTAAGGGGCTCCTTTTCACTGACTTCTGGATCTCAATTCCTGGCAGTAAAGATGACTCCAAGATCTCCCTGGATTCCCACAGAGAAGCAGAGTCTGCCCTGGGAAAGTCCAGCCTCACTCTAACCTCACTCCCCATCTACACAATGAGATGCATCTAGGTTTTATGGGCATAGAGAGAAGTCACCATTCTGAAAAGTCATGGGAAATACTCCCTCTCTCCTTCCTTCTGTTTGTGTGTCCCTTTCCATTTCTTACGGCTTCTCTTCCATGTCTCTCTCCCCTACCCCCATCCTGCTGCCTGTTTATTCTTTAAGCCTTACCTCCTAAGTCCTGATTGCATAGCTCATAAATATTCAGCATCTCCTAGGAGCAACCTCTGAATGGTATTTCACCACCCAGCGTTGTTCCCTCCTGTAATCAGAAATGGGGCTAGACTTTTCTCAGAGTCACTTGCCTTCAACCCCTGAGCCCTCCACTTATCAGGATGAGGGCTTTATTTTCCTCTTCATGGTCTTAATCATAAAAAGATTTCTCACTGTGACTTTGGAGCCCGGTATAGATTCTAACCTCCATCATCTCAGGGTCCTGTATCTCTAAATGTGAAAACTTCCAAATATTCCATGATAAGACAGTATACCTATTCCAAGGCAATTACACTGGCATTAGAAAAGGAAAAGGAAATAGAAATGGGTCTAGAGTTATAATTCAGGTGGAAAAAGTATAAGCACTGTACCTGGCACATAGAAGATATTCAGTAAATATTTCAATTATGCTGGATGATTTCCAATGTGCCTATGAAAAAGATGGAATGAAAAATAAACCAAAGTATAACCAACAGTGGAATTAGGTGTGAGAGAATGTATACAACTTTTCCATCTTTCCTCCATTTTTGGATATTTTGTCATCCTAATTAATAATGGAAAAATATACAATTATCATTTAGAAAGGGTGAAGTAGAGGAAGGTGGGCAGGCAGATTACGGCCAGCTCTCCTTAGCGCCCCAAACTCCTGCCTCTTTGGGCATCGTAGGACAGCCCAAGGCCGCAGAGGCTAGAGTCTCTTTCCCCCCATTGGTTTGGCACCAGAGCCAGCAAGGCCAGTTGTTTGTATTAGGGTGAAAGAGGGAACAAAGAGGTGGGAATAGGAAGTAAGTGCAGAGAATCAGAGAAGTGTGGTTTCTTTGCAAACATCCTCCCCAAACCTCTCTTCTATGATATTTTAAACAGATGTCGTCCAGGTTTGTCTTGAATCCTTCCAGAGGCAGGGAGCTCAGAACCTGATGGGCAGTGCCTAGGACAAGGTAAGGCAGCTCTCACAAACAGCAGGTCTTCTCTACAGACACCTGCCTCATCTGTCGGGCTGGTCCTGCCTCTAAATAATTGGTTCAGAAATGAATAGGAAGAGAAGCCGGGCACAGTGGCTCATGCCTGTAGTCTCAGCATTTTGGGAGGCTAAGACAGGTGGATCACTTGAGGTCAGGAGTTTGAGACCAGCCTGGGCAACATGGTGAAACCCCATCTCTACCAAAAAACAAACAAACAAAAATTAGCTGGGCATAGTGGTGTGCACCTGTATTCCCAGCTACTTGGGAGGCTGAGGGAGGAGAATCACTTAAACCCAGGAGGCAGAGGTTGCAGTCAGCAGAGATTGCACCACTGCACTCCAGACTAGGTGACAGAGCAAAACTCTGTCTCAAAAAAATAAAATAAAATAAAAAAGCGGATGAGAAGAGAGAGCAGAGATGGAAGTCCAAGATATAAGGAAAAGAATATCTCTTGGCATAAGAGTCACATATTGATTGAGACACTAAAGGCTGAAGGTCGAGCTCATTGTTTAACTTGCCTTGAGCCATTTCTGCTCAAAATCTACAAGAGGACTGAGGTTGGCAGAATTTGGGGGTTGGCTGTGTAGCAATGACTTGGGCCAGTATTCAGAAAAGCAGCTTCATAATCCCCATTTAAATCCTATTTCAGCACAATTTACGTTGGAGATGGGAGTGGGGACTATTCCATGGGGCTATTTCAGAAAGACCAGGGATGCTGTCAATGGAAGCTGTGAAAGTGTCTGTGTGTGGAGGGTGGAGACAGGGCCCATGTGTTTTGGGCTCTATTAACTATCTCCCTCCCATCCATCACAGCCTCCCCCCGGGCCTCCACAGCCCTGGCAGCTGGGTCACCCCGGGGAGGCTGGGCTCGGGGTCCCTAAAGGGAACTAGGCTTCAGGCAGAGCAGTGGAGACACATGTGTGCCGGGCTGGGTTGGGGCCGGCACCTCATTGAGAAGGGGGCTCTCCAAGCTGGGCTTCATTAGGGCAGTGGCACTAATAGGGAGGGGGTCCTGGGGGCTGGGCTGACAGCCAGTTACTTGCTCGTCTGCATTATGGATTAACCCATCTGGGCCTGGGAGATTGGCTCTGAAAGGGGCACAAAAGGCGGGGGGCGTGACCACAATCACACACTGAATTATCCCGTCTGAGCGCAATTGTCCACCAACAAACGGGGCCTCAGGATGGTGACCCCCTTGGGTTCTCTTCATCCCCCATCCCTTGCCCCATAGGAAAAGCCAGAGATAAACTGCTGCCTGGTTAAAAAACAGGGTTTGGGGCAAGGAGGACAAGGATGCCATTCCAGAGAGACGAGGAATTTAGGGGAGAGGAGTGGGATTTGAGGTTCAGCCAGAGAAGCCAGGAGCCAAGCAAAAGTTCTCCCAACATACTTTTTGACTTCAGCTGTCCACCTCAGAAACAAAGAACGATGTAAGAAACACACCTGTCGGGAATACCAGGCAGAATCCAGGAGCAGAGGGGCGCAGTGTAGGGGAAAGGCAAGGGAAGGACCAGAGTCAGGTGTCTCGCATCTCACCTGTCACCCCCTCTGAGGCTAATTGATTCCAGACATGAATAAGGGGCTCTCACTTGGGGTCTTGAAGGACCCCTGCCCTGCTCTGGCATCTCTGATGCTCTCCCAGTGGGAGTGCCCCAACCCCTTCCCCACGTCCTCCTCCAGGAATAAGACCCTGTGCGATGCAGGGTGATGGAGGGAAGAACAGGAGGGGGCGGCAGGCAGGGGGGCCCTCTCCTCTGCCTAATCCTCTCATTACCATCTCATAATCAGAATCACGCTTTCAATGTAAATGGGGATGTTAAATATTGGTTTCTCTAGACACAAGCTCCTTTGGAGAAAATTATTTATGCTCCCCCTTTTGCCAGTACTGGTGGCCCCCACAGTGGAGGGGGGGATGGTGCAAAGCATTACTGAGGGCTGGGGGCTTTAGAGTCAGACTGGTGGGAAGGTGGAAGTGTCTGACTTCCGCGGGGGGAGACTGATTTGTTTTAGGTTGGCCTGGGCAGCCTCAGTTTCCCTGATTCAGCAGAAGAAACTCATCCAGAGGAAATTGGCTCATTTCAAACTCATCAAGACTTGGTAGGAGCTGATTGGCTTCCGGTCTCAAATCATTCTCGACTGGAGAGCGATATGGAGTTGTAGATCCCAAAATCAGATTACTAGGGGAGGGGAAGGGCATTCACGGGAGAGCTCAGGCTCTTTGCCCTGTTGCCCATTGCTAGAAACTCCTGGCATGTCCCAGGGTAGTGACCTGCACTCTCCAACCAAGGACAAAAAGTGGCAATGTCCTTTCACATCCAGAACTTCCTGTTTGCCGTTTCACAGCAGTCCTGCGACACAGGGAGAGCAGCTACCATTCCCAACCGGCAGGATGAGGCTCAGAGTGGATAAGCAACTCACCCAGGCTCACACAGCTGGTAGATGACAGATTCATATGGTAACATGGGTTATCTGAGTCCAAACTCACCCTCATCCCTTCGCACCATGCTCTCTTAAAATTCAGGCTACTACTCCTCTGCCACTTGTAGGAAGATGGGGAACATTTGGTGTGTCCGTCTTTTGACTACAGAAGAGTGTGCATTGAGGGTGTGCGTTGAAGGCGTGGGGGTCACTGCCTGAGGTCAGGCAGAGGTCACTCTCAGCTCTACTGCCGCAGTTAGGACACAAGGATGCGGACTGCTGGAAAAGCCATCACCCTGCCTGCTCTCTCTCTCTGTTCAGTGGCTCCATCCCTCACTGCCTTGTCTCTACTCTGGGTTCAAAACTGGGAATGAATGTGAATCACAAGAGTCTTGAGCTCTTGGCCTCAAGTGATCATCCTGCCTCAGCCTCCCAAGTAGCCGGGATTATAGGCACAAGCCACAGAGCCCGGTAAGTTAATATTAATAGTATTAATAATTGCTTCTTCTCACATTTGCTTAGCATTTTACAGTGTACAAAGTCCCTCTCTGGGCCAGGCACAGTGGCTCATGCCTGTAACCTCAGCACTTTGGGAGGCCAAGGCGGGCAGATCACTTGAGGTCAGGAATTGAAGACCACCCTGACCAACATGGTGAAACCCAGTCTCTACTAAAAATACAAAAAATTAGCTGGGCGTGGTGGTGGCCACCTGTAGTCCCAGCTACTTGGGAAGCTGAGGAAAGAGAATCACTTGAATCCGGGAGACAGACATTGCAGTGAGCCAAGATTGTGCCACTGCACTCCAGCCTGGGCGACAGAGTGAGACTGTGTCTCAAAAACAAAAACAAAGCCCTTCTCTGGATTTGAGGGTATGATTTGATGCTCACACCCGCCTTGAGAACTAGCACCACAGCCTTATGCTAAGGATAGGGCACAGGTTCTGGGATCAGCCTGTGTGTGTTCACTTCCGGCTCCACTGCGTATTAGCTGGGTCAGTCCTGGCAAGTAGCAGTGCGACCTCAGGCAAGTTAAGACCCTGCTCTCTGCCTCAATGTCCTTATCTCTGAAGTAAAGACGATAATAACAGAGCCTACTTCCTAGAGCTGTTGGGAAGAATCAATAAGATTATACACGCCAAGTGCTTAGAGTAGTGTCTGGCACTCACTAAAAGCCATTTTTAGGGCGGGTAAGGAGTGTGAGCCCATCTTACAGACGCAGAAGCTGAGGCTCAAAGGACTAAGTAACTTGTCTAAGGTTACTCGGTTGGCACGGCAGAGCTGATCCTTAATTCGGATCTGGAATGCAATCTGCAGGTGGTCTGGGACCCATGCCCAAAGTTCCCTGAGGAGAAGAAGAAAGTGGCGGTCTCCTGAGGTCCTTTGTTGTGTTTTAGATGGCAAGGCAGGCTCTTTTGCTGTTTAGCCGGGTTAGCCACAAGCGGAGGAGACCGACTTCAGTGCGGCCGGTATGACTTGGGGCGACCCCTCCTCCCCCCCGCCCCTGGCTTGAGGCGGCGAGAGGAGCCTGGGGCACCATGTGGCTTGCGCTAAGCCGCTACTAGAAAGAGAGGGCGGGAGATGCCTTCGGAGGACCCCCTCCAGGGCCTCGGAGAGGCCTTCCGCGGCTCAGCTCCCTGCGTTTAGCTTTCTCCTCATTAACTCCCCGGCCTCATTAATCAGCCCCGATGAAATGCGCCCCCGGGAACGCTGCCCGCCCGCTCCGCCGTTTGGCGCTTTAATTATCCTCCCAGCGGGAGGAGGCGGGGTTGGCGAGGCTGTGTGTGTGTGTGTGTGTGTGTGTGTGTGTGCGCGCGCACACACACACACACACATACACACACGCGCGCGCACACACAAACGCACACATGCATGCACAGGTCCGAGGATGTCCGAGCCAGGCAGAGCCTGGGTCGTGACCCAGCCAGGGCTGCAGACCCGGCTGGCCTCGCAGGATATTACCTCAGCCCCAGCAGCCCTAATATCTCCTGGGCATCTGCCCAGCGAGCCTACTGCCATGCGGTCGTTTGCATCAAGTCCCTTCCCTGCAAGGGAAGGGGGTCCTCTTTCTCTCCAAAACAGTCCACAAACCTTCATCTCTTTTGTTTAATTTCATTGACTAACCAAATCCTTACTGGCCTGCACCTACTTTGTGCATTGGGAACATGGTTGGGAACATGATTTAGGAGATGGAGATACAGACATAGCCCCTGTCAGGCATCAGGAAGCTTCCACACCGGCCAGGAGGGAAACAAGTGAAAAAGCAAACCAAACAAAGAGCAAAACCACCCATCAGTGGCAAGGTCCTCATCTTAAAGTGAGCCAGAATGCTGTGGAAGTGCGGAGTAGGACATGGAATGCAGTCAAGGCTTGCCAAGAAGGCCTTTCCTAAGATCAAAGCCTGGAGTGGGACTTAAGCTAGAAGTGGAAGCCAGCCAGGGAAGCAGTGGATGTTTAAAGGAGTAAACAGCAAATACAGAGAGGACATAACATAGACAAAACTGTGTGCACAGAGCCCTGTGGCTATTCCGTCCAGCTGGAGGACGGAGTTGTGACAAGGAGACAGCATGAGGTAAGGAGCTAGCCATGGCAGAGCCCAGGACATGAGGAGCCTTGTGTGCTGTGCTAATGTTGACTTCGATGTAACCTAAAGGCAATGAGCAGTTAGTGACGGATTTTAAAGCCAGAGAGTGACATGGTTAGACATATGTTTTGGAAAACCTCATTGCGAGTGAGGAGGATGAGTTGGAGGAGGACAGGAATGGAGGAAGGGAGGCTAATTAGCAGGCTAGGTGGCTGATTGGATGTGGGAGGCAAAAGAGGGAGTGGAGTTTGGAATATTCCCAAGTTTCCTCTGCAAGGTGTGTTTGCAAATGGGGAGGAAGGTTATCTTGAAGTGGTCCCAGGTCTCTGGCTCAGCTCAACTTGCAGGTAAGGCAGAAACCAGCTGGTCTTCCCTGTTTGCTTTACCCTCGTCTTGGTAGGCAGCCAGGAGACTTGTCTTCCAGTCTCAGGAAGGTAAGCTACTTCATCAGCTCTCTCATCTATAAGGTGAGAGACTTGGATTGGATCTGCTTTACAGACTTACTCCTGCAGGGCAGGGGGTCCAGGGTCTAAGAAGATCAAAGCATGCCAAGGCAAGAATGAATGCCTACTGAAGGAGGCAGTGCCCCTCAGCCAAAGTCTGCTCTAGTCTTGCTGGAAAAGGACTCAAGGTTGCCAGATATTCTACAACGGAAGCCAGAGGTCAATGTTTTTAATATGACATCTTCTAATTTTAAAATGCCCAATCAAAATATACTTGGTTTGAAACACATGAGATATATTTAAATCCATTTGTTCATAAGTGATTTAAAAAAAATCGTTGGTCACCATTAGGGGAATCTGAGGAATCACCTCATTATTTTGATAAATAATAAGGGAAAGAATCAAGCATTTATCCTGCCTTTCCTATTTGACGTGTACCTCTGCATAAACAAATCATTGATGACAGATTCTCTTTAGAGAAGTATTCAAGCTCATAAATGAAGAGTGAATCATAGAACTAGAATGTCACAACTTGGCAATCCCTAATGAAATAATGGGTCTAGACAATGGTCATCACTGACAAGCAGACATTACTTTGGATCGAATTAAACTATGGTCTATGAATTATTCTTTAAAAAATCCAGCATTAATTGATCAAGCCTCTATATCTAACAACCAATTTACAGGAAATGTAGAGGTAGAAGAACATGTTAAATGGCACCATGGGGATACATTTAACAAAATCCAGACTGTGGAAAATTCTACAGAACAAATGATCTGGTTTATTTAACAAATAAATTTCCAGGAAAAAAAGAGATTAACTGGGGGATTATCCGATTAAAGGAGAGAATGCACTGTGGAGATTCATTTGGATCCCAATTTGAACAATAAAGAAAAATAAGACAATTGGGGAAGTTTGAACATTGACTATATATTTGAGGACAAGGAATTATTGTTTTAGGTGTGATATTGATATTATTATGCTATTTAAAAGAATTCTTATCTTTTAGGACTACTTTTTAGTACTTAAAGAAGAAATGATAGGATTTCTGAGATTTGCTTCAAATTCTGGAGGAGAGTGGGAGAATAGATGAAGGAAGATTGCCTTTGAATAGATTAAGTGCTGGCTGAAACTGGGTGGTGGGACTATGGGGGTTTATTATAGCATTCTCACTAATTTATATATATTTATGATCCACAATATGCTATTATTCATGATGGAAAGTTTAAAAAACACTTTATGGACCAAAATGTGTTGGTGGCCTGGATTTGGTCCACAGGCTGCCAGACTGTGGCCTCTAAATCTGATGACACTTCAGCTTCCATCCAACTGTAAATTGCCCGTGAGTCCAAACCATCAGTGGTAGGACCCCTTACTACTAGACTTTGATTCCCCAAACCTTTTTCTGGTCCCTTGTCAGGTCCTTTCCCAGAGGTTCCCATCCCACAGGGAACGCGGTAGTGTGGCAGAGAGGAGCATTAAACAAAGCCATGACGACCAGCCAGAGTTCCCTGGGACGGAAGATACCAGAGGATTGGGGTGCTTAGGATTGGGGTGCTTGGAGCAGGGCGTCTGGAGCTGTCACAGACTAGCGCTGCTCCTCTATCCAATTCTCTAGCCTCCGTGTTGAAGATACACACTGCATCCGGCCAGACCCACTTTTTACCTGAGCATTCCAGAGCCCAGCCAAGGCAAAGACATCTACTACCCAGGAAAAAAATAATAATAAAAGGCTGAAGGCTCCCCTGCGGAGTTCGGGTTAGAGAAGAGGGTGGTCAGTCTCAGGGAGACAGAGCGATTGGGGCAGAGGAGGGGAGAGAGTGAAAGTCCCCTTGTCCGAAGGCACGTGAGAAGGACAGTGCAGCAGACGGGCACGGAGCTATTTCCGTGCGGTCTCTTGTCTTATTGCATGTCCCCCCGCCCCACGCAGTGAACTACCCTTCCCTTGGCACGTGTCTGCGGCGCTGGCTGCTCATTTAGAAACGAAGGGGCCAGCTCGCAGAGTGCATCGCGCGGGCGGCCGCAGAGGGGACGCACAATAGGCAATCAGCGGCCGCGGGGCGGGAGGGGAAGGCGCGGGGGCGCTGCCGGGGGCGCCCGTAGCCTGCGCGCTCCAAGGGCGCTTCCATCCCTCCCCAGCCCCGGGGCCTTTTATTGTTCGCTGGACCAGCTCCTGTTCGTCGGACTGGCGCTGGCGTGGGAGGTTTGGCGAGAGGCGGTCTAGGCCGTTGCCCAGCCCGGGATCCTGCGTGCAGGCGCGCCCTCCACTCGCCCGCGCTCCCACCCAGGTGTCCGCGTGCGGGGATTAGGCGGCCCGCCGGGCTCCCGCCTCCTCCATCAGCCGCTAATGGGCCGTCCTCGGCCTGGCCCCCGCGCCATTGTGTGCGCGTGGGGGTGACGCCGGGTCTCCGCGGCGCGGTGGAGGGTGACCGCGCGCCGCTGCCACCCCGCTTCACACCTGCTCCCCGCCCCCAGCCCCGGCCGCGCTTCGTGTTCCCTCCCTCCCCGCGGGAGGGGTCTCAGCTGGGGCTGCAGTTGGTAAAGAGGCCGTGGAGAGGCCGGCGGCGGCCCGAGGAGGAGCCATAAATTTGGAGCAGATGCGGCCTGACAGTCACCCAGCCCGGGGAGGTGGGGGAGGGCTCTACGCCCCTCCCAGGCCGCGTCTTCTGGTTTGCAGCTGAGTTAGATGGATTCCAGGCCGAGGTGACCCGGGACTTTGGACACACGGAGCCTGTGCTCCTCACTCCCCCACCTCTGCCGGCCGCCCATTGTGTGCCCACGTGCAGGGAGAAGGAATAGGGGGCAGGGACATGTCTGCATTGGCTTATGATTTTCCCCCTAAAAAATGTCGTTTTCCAGCAGAGACTGTGACAAAGTCGGCCACCCTGGCTCTGAGCTGGCGCTTTTTGACAGCAGCCAGAGAAAAATATGGAAGATAGTAGAAGCAAGCTTCAGCTGTTCATTCTGCACTATTTTTTAAGTGCCTGTTTTGTGCTAGAAAGGTAAGGAGGCACAGGCATACAGGATGGGGAGATGGGAAAAGGTGGCGGAAAAAATACCAAGGACTAATACTTGCCATACTATAAGTATTGTGTGTACTGTAATTCTGCACATTAAATAGTATTTTCCTTTAGAAAGTGGCAGTTCCTCCAGCAGAGGAGGGAGCAGGGTGCAGTGTCTCGGGGGGTTGATGGAGTTCGCTCTCAATCCAGGTATCCCATCCACAAATATATGCGTGTCAGGGGTGCTTTCCGCGGATCTGGAAGGGAGTGAAAAGAGCTGGAGCTGCACCCAGGTGGGGTGGACACAGCCCTATTTATCTTATTTGCTCTGGGTACTGTAGGGATTCTTCTCTAGTGTCGCTTTAATTGAAGACTGAGTCTCCCATCTGAAGATCTTGTGACCAAGGGTGATTGGAGGGTCAGTGTCCACAAAGCTGGTGCTCAGTTGGCAAAAACCTCTGCCACCTCCCTTTGTGGCTGTTCTCTGCTCCCTCTAACACTCTGGGCTGGACTGGGTAACTAGATTGGCTTCTAGGACCCATTGCTTCTCCCCTTAGCTCCCACTCCGACAAGTCTCCCTGGTCTGTGCCCAGAGGATCACCCTAAGACTAGAGCAAGCTTGTGCAACCCACGGCCCATGGGCCGCATGCAGACCAGAACACCTTTGAATGCGGCCCAACACAAATTCATATATGTTCTTAAAACATGATGAGGTTTTTTGCAAAAAAAAAAATTTTTTAGCTAGTGTATTTTATGTGTGGCCCAAGACAATTCTTCTTCCAATGTGGCAGGGAAGCCGAAAGATTGGACACCCCTGGACTAGAGATTCACAGCTTGCATGAAAATCACCTGGAGGCCTTATTAACCCTGCCCTACAGTTTCTGATTCCTTTGATCTGGGGTACGGGCAGAGATATTGCATTTCTGAAAGTTTCCCAGGTGGTGACAGTGGTGATACTGGGGGCCACACTTTGAGAGTACTGGCCTACAAGGAAAGGAAAATAGGGGCAGGTGAAAAAAGGAAGGAGCTGAAGTCTTCAGTGCTGGAGGAGGTTACTGGAAGCTGAAGCTCTCCAGGGTACTTGGGTATCTTCACCCTCTGTGAGGGATCCATAGGCCAAATCCCCAAATAATTGTGGACATATTCCAGAATTCATATTCTAGTATTCGAGTGTGTGTGTGTGTGTGTGTGTGTGTGTGTGTTTCTGAAGACTTAGCACTCCCCCTAATGGCTTCAGATGATTCTGCACTCTCCTCAGCCTTTCAACGGGAAGCAAGAATTACTCTTATTTTCCCAGCCTAACTTGGTTATCCACTCCCATCTCTTTGTCACTGATGGAGCGGGGCATTGTCTTACACATTTGTTTACAAATTGAAGAGCATAGTTTTTTTTTACACAATAGTTTGTGTACTAATGAATGAATTAGTGCTATCTTTCCTCTTTAGGAGAACCTTGTTCTCCTAAAATCTACCTTAAGTCACATTTGAAGTGTTGTAGAACCACCTACCAGTGTTCTAAAACACTTCAAATGTGTTCATAGGGAATGAGTTCCAGATGGTTGCCTAAAAATTCTCCCCAAGGTGTCGGTGCCGTTGTCATCAGTTGGGAACTTTTGGCTGGCGGCAAGCACAACCCGAGTCAGAGGTTAAGGATGGATTTGCAAAGTGGAATTTTTAAGTGTGGTATATGGACAGATCAGATGAGAAAATCAAGTGGCATTTTATTTCTCACCACCAGGTGGCAGACCTAACCTCATTAATGAGAATCATCCCTAGACTTGAAGCCTGGCCTGAATTCTACTTTTTTCATATATGAGCCAGGGCAAAAGAGCT
The DNA here is from genome assembly GCF_000001405.40 of Homo sapiens. NCBI lineage: Eukaryota > Metazoa > Chordata > Mammalia > Primates > Hominidae > Homo > Homo sapiens. Next base: position 124,837,064 of record NC_000011.10, on the reverse strand, counting down.
GTTTCTCTACTTAAATGACTCAGAAATTTGGGGTAGGGAGAACAATGCTTGAAAATATCTTTGTAGGCCGCGGTGGCTCACGCCTGTAATCCCAGCACTTTGGGAGGCCGAGGCGGGTGGATCACGAGGTCAGGAAATCGAGACCATCCTGGCTAACACGGTGAAACCCCGTCTCTACTAAAAATACAAAAAATTAGCCGGGTGTCGTGGCGGGCGCCTGTAGTCCCAGCTACTTGGCAGGCTGAGGCAGGAGAATGGCGTGAACCCGGGAGGCGGAGCTTTGCAGTGAGCCGAGATCGCGCCACTGCACTCCAGTCCGGGCAACAGAGCGAGACCCCGTCTCAAAAAAAAAAAAAAAAAAAAAGAAAATATCTTTGTAACTGCCGCCAATGTACTTGAGTAATCCCTTGAGCTTCCTGATCCGTGAGGAAGGGCTCGCTGATACTTTTTTTTCCTTCTGGAAAGAGGGAAAACATATGGATGTAACAAAATGGGTTACTTAAGAAAAATGTAAGCGATCTAACTTCTAACCAGAGGTTTCTGCCAGGGCATAAACACATGGCAGCCCTAAACAGCTTTGCAGGCACATGGCTTCCTTCACTTCCAGCCCGTCTGGCAGGCACCCTCTTAATTCCTACCAACTTAATTCCTACCACCCGAGTTCTTTGTTCTGTCGCCCATATTGAAGTTTCCTCAAACTAAAAATGAAAGCTTTATTATAATTCTGGAATCTACTCAGGGCCTTCTTAACTAAATTCTAACTTGCAGTATACGGACATGTAGTTGATCTCTCCTTTATCCCAAATGATCTTGACCCTCAGATCATAGTCAACGTATAAATTAAATTCAACCTAAATTATATAACTATAGCAAGGGTTACACACACACAGCAAGAATGCAGGACGGGCGCGGTGGCTCATGACTGTAATCTCAGCACTTTGGGAGGTCAAGGTTGGCGGATCACCTTAGATCAAGAGTTCAAGACCAGCCTGGCCAACATGGCAAAACTCCATCACTACTAAAAATATAAAACTTAGCCAGGTGTGGTGGCGTGTGCCTGTAGCCCCAGTTCTCAAGAGGCTGAGACACGAGAATCTGCTTGGGAACCTGGGAACCTTGAACCTGGAAGGCTGAGATTGTAGTGAGCCAAGACTGCACCACTGCACTCCAGCCTGGGCAACAGAGCGAGACTCTGTCTAGAAAAAATAATAATTATATATATATATATATCTTACAGGAGGGGTCAATGAATGTTTTGGGAGAAGGGCAGTGAAGATTTCTGTTCTACACACCTTTCTCATCTCAGGGCTATATTACAGCAGATTCTGACAGTATAGTAGCTTTCTTCACAATGTCAAGATCAGAGCAGATCTATACCTTACATAGAAGACAGAAAATTGACTATACCAACATCAGGTCCTCCAGCATAGGTGGGACATTACCTTTTCAGCCTGCAGGGCTTAGTACTTCTTTCAGCTGATCGGCTTCAGGCCTCTTCCTCATTTTGGAAAGGGCAAATCTCAGGTGCACACTGAAAATCTTAGACTAAGTAGCCTGGTACAGTGGCTCACGCCTGTAATCCCAGCACTTTGGGAGGCCGAGGAGGGTGGATCACGAGGTCAAGAGATCGAGAACATCCTGGCCAACATGGTGAAACCCTGTCTCTACTAAAAATACAAAAATTAGCCAGGCGTGGTGACATGCACCTGTACTCCCAGCTATTCGGGAGGCTGAGGCAGGAGAATCGCTTGAACCCAGGAGGCGGAAGCTGCAGTGAGCCAAGATCATGCCACTGCACTCCAGCCTGACGGCAGAGCCAGACTCCGTCTCACAAAAAAAAAAAAAGAAAATCTTAGACTAAGTAAAACCCTCCAGCCCAGAGTGCTTCTCTGCATTGGGCAATTCACTCTCACTGCCAGAGCTCCCTTATACACTTTAAATGCTTATAAATACACTAACAGACAGAGCCTATGGGAAACAATATAAGAGGATTGGATAGTAAGTATTTGGTTTTTTCTATGTAGTTTGTTAACAGAATCAGTCAAAATATATTTATGGAATGCCCACAGGCTACATAGCATGGTACTTCACCCTTCATTGAAAATCCATTAAAACAATTACTGGGTCATGCCTGGAAACTTTTTTCACAAAGGAATTTTCTTTAGTTGCTGGGTTGACAGGAACTAATTTGAGATGCAAAACTAACAACCCCATTTGAACTAGCAAGCCCTTATGTAAACCACTACAAGTGATATGTTTGAATTTATTCGCACCTGTGCCTGTATATATGGACTTAAAAGCTAAAGATATCGTGGTATTAATATGCATATAAGGGAAGGAGAGTTTTAAAAGTTAGTGAATCATCTTCCACTAATGCTTGGTAAATGTTTACCAAGAAGGTTGTGCCCTGGTTATAGGCCGGTAATGACCACCAATAAATAAAACTGTTTTCACCTCTATAACAGTTATGGAATGTCATTCCTTCTTGCCTTTCATACCAGGAAAACTAGGCTGAAGAAAAAAATCACTTCTTTTTAATCAAGGCAAAAACAGACTCACCCAACCAAAAACCAACCCTTGGTATTTGAAATTAGTTTATTAACATAGGGAGATTTCATATTTTTTTATTGTTTTCTCCCACCACTAACTTTAAGACTTTAACAACCTTTATTAGAATACACACACAGCTATATATATATATTTGGTTCTGTCTTCTCTAAATCATTTGTTTAACAAGGAATTTTTTTACTTAAGGCACTGGTATAGAAAATGTACCCCATTTCTTGCATATCTTGCATGTTATGGGGTCTTGTTAAGTGTTTCCAAGTTTGGTGGAATCACCACCATTTCTACCCCTGGTCCATATTTTTAGTTCCAGATCTTCTCTGCAACCACTATCCCAGTCCAAAACCCTCTACTGTATTCGCTGTCTTCTTAGTGCGGAGGAGAAAGAAAGAGCAGGGTTGGGCAGAGGGTCTTATTCTGCCTTAAAAGAAGGTTATACTTTCTGTCAAAGGATAGAACTCTGACTGACTTAACGAAAAATACAGTAGTATAAGTTTAGACCCAAGGTCAGATAGTCCTGGGGCTAAAGCTCAGATCCATCACTTAGCAATTATGTGATTTGCTGCAAGTCACCTAACTTCTCTGAGCCAAGGCTGCCCTTCTCACTTGTAAAGTGAAGCTTAAATAAGATAATACATATGAAAGGCTGGGTGTGGCAGTTGCACCTTAGTCCTTGCACTTTGGGAAGCCAAGGCCTGTGGAGCCCTTGAGCTCAGGAGTTCAAGATCAGCCTAAGCAACATGGCAGTAAGCTGTCTCTACAAAAAATACAAAAATATGCTGGCTGTGGTGGCATGTGCCTGTATTCCTAGCTACTTGGGAGGCTGAGGTCAGGAGTTCAAGACTAGCCTGAGCAACATAGTAACAACCCGTCTCTACAAAAAATACAAATATGCTGGTCATGGTAGTGCATGCCTGTAATCCCAGCTATTCAGGAGGCTGAGGTGGGAGGATCGCTTAAGCCCTGCAGATTGAGGCTACAGTGAGCTGTGTTAGTGCCACTGCACTCCAGCCTGGGAGATAGAGTGAGACCCTGTCTCAAAAAGAAAAAAAAAATGCACATGAAATGCTTAATGTCTGCCCTACTACAATGCATCAGAGAATAGAAGTTATTAGTATCTACCGGACCCAAACCTCTGTGAGAATAGAAGCTTGCTTCACTTCTGTTGCTTTGGGCAAAACTTCACCTGTGATCAAGAGAGTATGTGTGTGTGATACTGTGAAATATATATTTGGTCTTCTCCTGTCTCCTGACATATAGCTTCCCAAACCCTTGGAATCTCTAAAGCAACAGGAGTCTTTTGTATGCTAATGAGGTAAATGGTGGCCCAGCCATGATTAGAGGGCTGGGACTTTCAGCCCCACCCTCCAACCTCTGGGGAAGGGAAAGGATCTGAAGTTTGGGTTGGTCACCAGTGGTCAATGATATAATTATTCATGCCTACATAATGAAGCTTCCATGAAAACCCAAAAGGACAGAGTCTGGGGAGCTTCCAGATAGCTGAACACATGGAGGTGCCTGGAGGGTGGTGCCCTGGAGAGGGCATGGGAGCTCCGCACCCCTTCCCTGTGCATCTCTTCCAGCTGGCTCTTGATCTGTGTCCTTTGTAACATCCTTGTAATAAATGGGTAAGTGTAAGTAAAGTGTTTCCCTGAGGTCTATGAGTCACTCTAGCAAATTAATCAAACCCAAGGTGAGGGCCCTGAAAACCTCAATTTATAGTTGCTTGGTCAGAAGCACAGGTTACAGCCTGTGGTTATGACTGGCGTTTGAAGTGGGGCAGCCTTGTGGGACTGAGCCCGCAGCCTGTGGGATGTGACTGAGCCTGTCTCCAGGTGGAAGGTGTTAGAATTGAATTGGAGGATGCACAGCTGGTATCTGCTGGAGTTAGAATTGGAGGACGCATAGCTGGTATCTTCAGTTTTTTTTTTCTTGCCTCTTTAGTATGCATGTGCAAATACAACCGAAAACTCATTGATAGCTAAGCACAGTGGCTAGCACCTGTAATCTCAACACTTCAGGAGACTGAAGCAGGAGGATTGCTTGAGGCTAGGAGATTGAGACCAACCTGAGCAACACAGAGGGAGAGACCCAGTCTCTTTAATTTTTTTTTTAATTAGCCAGGTATGGCAGCGCATGGCTATAGTCCCACTTACTCAGGAGGCTGAGGCAGGAGGATCACTTGAGCCCAGAAATTCCAGTCCGCAATAAGCCATGATCGCACCATTGCACTTCAGCCTGGTGACAGAGCAAGACCCCATCAAAAGAAAGAAAGAGGGTGAGAAAGAGAGAAGGGGGAGTGGAGAGGAAGGGATGAAAGGAAGGAAGGAAAGGAAGAAAGGAAGGGAGGCAGAAAAGAAGGAAAGGAAAGGAAAAGAAGAGAGAGAGAAAGAAAAAGGAAGAAAGGAAGAAAGAAAGGAAAGAAAGAGAGAGAGAGAAAGAAAGAGAGAAAGAAAGAAAGAAAGAAAAAGGAGAAATCTCATTGAACCACCAAATCCAGGATATTGCAGCATAGGACTTTCTTTTCTGGGAAAAAGCTGTGTTTTGAGCAGGATTAAAAGATGACCAAGATCCTTTGCCTTTCTCTAATTGTTGGTCAATTGAGTTGGATCCTTCCAGAGACGGACACTGAGACAAGCTTTTGAGTGCAAGAAGTTTCTCTGGGGAAGATCACCAATAGGAAAATAAAGGTCTGAGAAGGGAAAGAAGCCAATACAGGGTAAATTGTGGATAGCTGGGGCTTAATTCCTTCAGGGAACTCTGGGACAGATGGCTTAGGATGCACCTCAGAGTTTTCCTACCTGAGGGGCAAGGAAGTTGGGATATGTATCTACCAACCCTCTATCCATCGTTTGTTAAGATCCACTTCTGGGAGCATTAACTGTTGCAGGCACGGCCTTGCCACAGAACCCTAGAGGCCAATACTGCAGCTTTCCTAACAGAGCTTGCAAGAGACTCTGTGTGGCCTACATGCCTGCAACAAGCATCTCTAGCACCATGGAATTACCAGGCACATGGCCCAAGCAGAAAGGCCGCTTAAACTGCAGCTAGAACCTGCTGCGAAGTGTAGTCTTGCTCTGGGCCTCCCTCAAAATCCGTAGCCTTCTGAGTCACCCAATACATGCGTGGGAGCAGTATTCAAAGAGGTGTGTTGCTGTCTCCAAAATCCAAAATCCCAGCAGTACCATACCCCTAAGTGGAAGAAAAGCAAGGTACAAGAACTTGTCCTCACCCTGGGATGTCTTGGCATACCCCAGACAAATGGACCCCTAAAAATTTCACTGATATGGGAGGCCCTGAGTCATTTTGGGTTTTATTTTCTCACCTCTGGTGATATAATTGACATAATGTATTAAAATAGGGAAACTGCATGGAGTTCTGGGGTAAATATCAAGAGAAGCAAGGTCTTTCAGGAAATATTTTGAGGCTGCTCTTGGAAAAGGCCTTTAAGATTCTCAGAAGCCGTGACTGCAAGGTTCCTTCAGACATTGCCTTAAATCATTCATAGGTTTTCACAGGGGTTCTTACAACCATACCCTTGATGTGGTTTTTGGCTTTAACTTTCAGGAAGTCCAGGTCTTGCTCTGTTGCCCAGGCTGGAATGCAGTGGCTCAGTCATGGCTCACTGTAGCCTCAAACGCCTGGGCTCATGCAATCCTCCTGCCTCAGCCTCCCGAGTAGTTGGGACTACAGGTACACACCACCACTGACTTTTTTTTTTTTTTTTTTTTTTTTTTTGGAAATGGTGTCTCCCTATGTTGCCCAGTCTTGTCTCAAACTCCTGGCCTCAGGCAACCTTCCTGCCTCAGCCTCCCAAAGCACTGCCATTACAGGCATGAGCCACCACGGCTGGCCAACTTAGACTAATTTTTACCAGCTGGGAAAACAGAGGACAAGAGACAGTTATGTTTTCCAAACTAGCAAATCCCTGGGCTTCTGTAAATCCTCTAAACTTTGCTTATAAGCTGAATGGTTCCTTCCTTTGCTCATCTCTCTTTTCTTGCATGTTATCATACCGAGGAGAAGCCAAGTGGCACTTTCAACATTCTGCCTGGAGATCTCCTTAATCATGTTTTTAAAATGTTATTAGGTACGTTTTTTTTTATCTTTTAAGTTTCCTCAGAAAACATTTTGCCAATTATTCCAATGACGACATAACACAAGTTGCCCTTTCTTCAGCCTGCAGTGACTGTTTTCTCACTGCCTTTCCAGCTCTAGTTGCCCTTTCTTCCGCCTGCAGTGACTGTTTTCTCACTGCCTTTCCAGCTCTAGCAGCTGTTGGTTTGCCATTTCTCCAGCCTCTGCTCACAGCTTACTTGGTGCTTTTCCAGCCTCTAACCACCAACTGGTCTAAGGGCAGAATTCCAAGAGAAGTAGAGTGGAAGCTACAAGCCTCCTAAGGTTAGGCTCTAGAACAACATCACTTCTGCCACACTTTATTGGTCAAAGCAAGACACAGGGCCTCTCCACATTCACGGAGTGGGGAAATTGACCCAACTCTTTATGAAAAGAGTTGTAAAATAATGGAACAGTGTTTTTCAATTTGCATCAGACATCTTTTCACTAAAACATGGATAGATCTATAGAATAAATTCCTAAACGTGAACTTGCTGATTCAAATGCAAATATGTATTTGCAATTTTGTGATGTATTGCCAAGTCACCCTTCACAGAGGCTGTACCAATTTTGAATTTTACTGCCAATGTATGGGCGTGCCAGATGAGGTTTCCCCAGATCTCACAACATGGTGTGTTATCCAGAATACAGAGTTTTTCCTCTGCCCATATGACAGGTAAGAATGGCATCTCCCTGTAGTTTTAAGTTGTCTTTCTCATGTTATGAGTGAGATTGGGCATCTTTTGTTTAATTAAGAGCCAATTACATATTTTTTCTCAAAACTGGCTATTCATAAGTTTGCCATTTTCTATTTATTTTATTGGCTTGTTATCTTTCCGTGCACTCAAGAACTAGCATATGTTAGGAGTGGGCTATCTGGATACCAATTCTGGGACAGGCTCTCTCTAGACTCTGGACTAAATTTTCCTTAAATAACCAATTTTGGTCTTGCTGAGGTCAACAAATTCTCTCTTCCCCCAGGAAAGGCCATCAGTATGAGGAGAATATAGTAGCTTAATTAAATAAAATATGGCCAATTTCACTCATTGTATGCAAAGTTTACTTACTTCAGACCAGCTCGCTACAAAATAGGAGGTTCCCATGATTACTCAGGTTCAATAATTTTCTAGAACGACTCACAGAACTTGGGGCTGACAATTATAGTTTTATTATAATGACAGGATACAAATTAGAACAAGCCAAAGAAAGAGACACATATGGCAGTATCCAGAGCTAAGAGCATCCTCAGGAATGTGTGGCAACCCAAAAAGCTCATCCTAGTTTTGGTGTCCAGACTCTCTATTGAGGCTTCAGTAGATAATAACTCAATTATTACATGGGTATAATTGAGGGTGGCTGGAATTGGCTAAACACAATTTCCCACCACCTTCCCTCCCTGGAGGTCAGGCTGATTTCACTCCTGTAACTCAGGAAATTTCAAGGGATTCGAGGGAAACTTCCAGAAGCAGAAACAAAGCTCAGACTTTTCTTTGCATAGTGGTAATTCTTCACTACACAAATACCAGTAGTTTTTCTTTGTTTTTGTTTTTAAATCTTAATTTAAAATGTATTTTTCTACAAAAATTAGCCCGGTGTGGTAGTGCACCCATAGTCCCAGCTATAATACTTCAGAGACTGAGACACAAGCATCGCTTGAACCTGGGAGGCAGAGATTGCTGTGAGCCGAGATCATGCCACTGCATTCCGGCCTGGGTGACGGAGTGAGACTCTGTCTCAAAAAAATAAAAATAAAAATAAAAATAAGGCCGGGTGTGGTGGCTCACGCCTGTAATTCCAGCACTTTGGAAGGCCGAGGTGGGCGGATCACAAGGTCAGGAGATTGAGACCATCCTAGCTAACACGGTGAAACCCCGTCTCTACCAAAAATACAAAAAATTAGCCGGGTGTGGTGGCAGGTGCCTGTAGTCCCAGCTACTTGGGAGGCTGAGGCAGGAGAATGGCGTGAACCCGGGAGGCGGAGCTTGCAGTGAGCCGAGATCGCGCCACTGCACTCCAGCCTGGGTGACAGAGCGAGACTCCATCTCAAAAGTAGATAGATAAATAAATAAATAAATAAATAAATAAATAAATAAATAAATTAAAATAAAATGTAGTTTTCTTACATAGTAGCATAAAAAAACAGCCGACACTTGCCTTTCACAACTTGTGTGGCCAATCCCATGTACTTTTGATAGGTTTTGGTCCATTTCTGAGTTGTATCTTTTTTCCTTAAAGGACTGGGGCATATATATACCTCCCATGGAAGGTCCCCTTCATTTTCCCTATGCTAATGTGATCTTGTACAAAGTCTTGGAAGGGACAGAGTGTTTTTCATGTCCTCTCCACCTTCCTTTTCTGATATTTCCAGTAACCCAATTGCCTTCCTTGTGCCCCGTGCACTTTGTTCACTGTGCCCAGGTCCTCCGCTCCTGCTTTTATACTCTTAGCCCTTGCTGGGGAGAGCACCGTTCAAAATTTACTAGGTTACCATTTTCACCCTACTGTCTAGTTATCTGCATGAAAAAACAATATAGTGAACTCTTTTTTATTTCTTTTTTTTTTTTTTTTTTTTTTTTTTTTGAGACAGAGTCTTGCTCTGTCGCCCAGGCTGGAGTGCAGTGGCATGATCTCAACTCACTGCAACCTCTGCCTCCCAGGTTCAAGTGATTCTCCTGCCTCAGCCTCCCTAGTAGCTGGGATTACAGGTGCCCATCACCATGCCTGGCTAATTTTTGTATTTTTAGTAGAGATGGGGTTTCACCATGTTAGCCAGGCTGGTCTCGAACTCCTGACCTCAGGTGATCCACCCATCTCAGCCTCCCAAACTGCTGGGATTACAGGCGTGAGCCACCATGCCTGACCCAATATAGTAAACTCTTAATGTTAGGCTATTAATGTCTGATAACAGATTTAGTGTGTTCTCCCTTTCAGGTATATTTGATTTTGAAAAAGAAATTTTTGTAAAGCACATGGGGATGATTCTCTAATTGCAGAATTTCAGGCCAGAGGGGAAGATATACTTAACAGAGGTCCTGATGAGGGAGTGAACCATGTGGATATTTGGGGAAAGGGTGTTCTGGGCAGAGGGAATAGCAAGTGCCAGGGTCTGAGGCAAACGTGTGCTTTATATACTCTAGAATCAACAAGCAGGCCAGGGTGGCTAGAGCAAGGGAGGCAACAATAGGAGATGAGGTCAGAGAGGCAACTGGATTATTCTGATTGTTTGGGTGATAGTAGACTGAAGATGGGGAAGGGGTAGAAGCAGAAAGATCTCTTAGTTGGCTCTCAAAATAATCTAATCAAGAGATAATGGTGGCCAGAGGCGGTGGCTCATGCCTGTAATCCCAACACTTTGGGAGGCCAAGGCAAGTGGATCACCTGAGGTTAGTTAATTCAAGGCCAGTGGGCCAACATGGTGAAACCCCATCTCTACTAAAAATACAAAAATTAGCTGAGTGTGATGGTGGGGCATGCCTGTAATCCCAGCTACTCAGAGGCTAAGGCACAAGAATCACTTGAACCTGGGAGGCAGAGGTTGCAGTGTGCCAATATCAGGCCACTGCACTCCAGCCTGGGTGACAGAGTGAGACTCCATCTCAAAAAAAAAAGAAAAAAAAAGGGTGGGGGTGGAGTGATAATGGTAATGGTGACTTGAAACAGCAGTGGATGCTGTAAGAAATCCAATTTAGAATAAATTTTGAAGGTAGAGCCCCCAGAATTTGCTGACATATTGGACATAGAGTGAGAAAGAGACAATGACAACTCCATGGTTTTTAGTCTGAGCAGCTGGAATGATGAGGAGGACAGGAAGGAGCAGGTTTGGAGGGGAAGACCAGGAGCTGTTTTGTGCAAACAGTTTGAGAAGCCTGCTAGGCAATGTGGAGATGTCCAGGAGGTGGCACATTATATAAGTGTGCAGTTTGGAAGAGAGGCTTGGTCTGGAGATATAAATTTGGAAGCAATTAGCATATGGATGAGTACTGAGAACAGGGAGACTTGTGCCCTCGATGTGGCACCATTTTCTGGGGTGATCAGCCCGCTACTTGGTGGCAGGTTGATTATATTGGACCTTTTCCATCGTGGAAAGGGCAGAGGTTTGTCCTCACCAGAACAGACACTCCAGATATGGGTTTGCCTATCCTGCACACAATGCTTCTGCCAAGACTATCATCTGTGGACTCACGGAATGCCTTATCCACTGTCATGGAATTCCACATAGCATTGCCTCTGACCAAGGCACTCACTTTACAACTAGAGAAGCGTGGCAGTGGGCTCATGCTCATGGAATTCACTGGTCTTACTGTATTCTCCATCATCCCAAAGCAGCTGCATTGACAGAATGAGGGAAAGGCCTTTTGAAGTCACAATTACAATGCCAATGAAGTGACAGTACTTTGCAGGGGTGGGGCAAAGTTCTCCAGAAGGCTATGTATACTCTGAATCACAGTCCAATATATGGTACCGTTTCCCCCATAGCCAGGATTCATGGGTCCAGGAATCAAGGGGTGGAAATGGAAGTGGCATCACTCACCATCACTCCTAGTGACCCTAGCAAAATTTTTTCCTTCCTGTTCCCGTGACATTACATTCTGCTGGCCTAGAGGTCTTTATTCCAGAGGGAGGAATGCTGCCACCAGGAGACACAGCAACGAGTCCATTAAACTGGAAGTTAAGACTGCCACCTGGCCACTTTGGGCTTCTCTTACCTCTAAGTCAACAGACTAAGAAGTAAGTTACAGTGTTGGCTGGGGTGATTGACCTAGACTGTCAGATGAAATCAGTCTACTACTCTACATTGGAGGTAAGGAAGAATATGCATGGAATACAAGAGATCCATTAGGGCGTCTCTTAGTATTATCACACCCTGTGATTAAGGTCAATGGGAAACTACAACAACCCAATCCAGGCAGGACTACAAATGACCCAGACCCTCAGGAGTGAAGGTTTGGGTCACTCCACTGTGTAAAAAACTACAACCTGCTAAGGTGCTTGCTGAAAGCAAAGGGAATACAGAAAGGGAAATAGAAGAAGGTAGTCATCAATACCAGCTACGACCATGTGACCAGTTGCAGAAATGAGGACTGTAATTGTCATGAGTATAGCCTCCTCATTTTAAGAACATATTTGCACATGTATATACTTGTACTAAGAAAATATCTTCATTTTATTTCCTTTCTTTTTCTTTTATCATGTGACATAGATTTATGGACTTCATGTCATCATTTAAGTGTTGTTAACTTTATGTAATAGCATTTAGGTTAAGGATTAGTGCACTTCCAGTTGTATGAAGGATAGCTGTATTATGTTAGGCATAATTATGACCTTATTATTGTCTTTATTTGAAGATTATGTATAATTTCAGGAGATGTGTATGGGTTCAAGTTGGCAAGGGGTGGACTTGTGATGGTTAATATTGAGTGTCAACTTGATTGGATTGAAGGATGCAAAGTATTGTTCCTGAGTGTGTCTGTGAGGGTGTTGCCAAAGGAGGTTAACATTTGAGTCAGTGGACTGGGAGAGTTAGACCCACCTTCAATCTGGGTAGGCACCATCTAATCAGCTGCCAGCATGACTAGAATAAAGCAGGCAGAAGAACATGGAGTGAGAGAGACTTGCTGAGTGTTCCGGCCTTCATCTTTCTCCTGTGTTGGATGCTCTAAGTTCTTCAGCTTTTGCACCCTTGGACTTATACCAGTGATTTGCCAGGGTCTCAGGCCTTCAGCCCCATACTGAAGGTTACACTGTTAGCTTCCCTACTTTTGAGGCTTTGGGACTTGGACTGGCTTCCTTCCTCCTCAGCTTACAGACAGTCTACTGTGGGACTTCACCTTGTGATCATGTGAGCCAATTCTCCTAATAAACTCCCCTTCATATATACATACATCCTATTATTTCTGACCTTTAGAGAACCCTAACTAATACAATATCCATGTTAGTGGTGGCAAATCCATAGGGGTCTACAGCAACCTCAATGTTTGCCTCCTCAGAAGAAAGAATTCAACCAAGAGGCATAAGGCAGAGTGAGAGACCAAAGCAAGTCTTAGATCCAGAGTGAAAGTTTATTTAAAACTATTAGAGTAGGAATGAAAGGAAGTACACTCAGAAGAGGGCCAAGTGGGCGACTTGAGAGATCAAGTGCATGGTTTAACCTTTGACCTGGGGTTTTATACATTGGCATTCCGTGTGTGCGGTGGCCTGCCAGCAGCTGGGAGGGGCCACATGCACAGTATGTTTACTGAAGTTGTGCACGTGCTCACTTGAGGCATTCTTCCCTTACCAGTTGAGTGTTCCTATAACAAAGTCATACACCAGTTAAACTCTGCCATTTTGCCTCTTAGTGAGCAGGCTTGAGCCTACTTGCCCAACTCCTGAGATCTTATCAGGAAGCTGGTCAGCTTCTCAGCAAGTTAACCTGGAATGGCAATGTTTCCAGGTCTTTCTATCTATTGGGAGACTGCCTTTCCCTGGCTCCAGGCAGTGTGACAGTGAGACAGACAGTGTGACAACCACCTGACCATCACATGATGGTCGCCTAGACATTCCTGTTGTGGCTGGTGGGGTGGGTCTCCCCAACGCCGCTCATGTCTGTCTGACTACCTACTGTAACATCAGGATCCCTCCCCTGAAGCTTTTAAACAAATATATGGCCAGATAAGTGAGTATGGTGTGTGTTTAACAAGCATCTGGGTAAACAAAGGTGCATAAAGCATGGGAACATAAAATGGGAAAGGGAAGGGAGTGGAGAATCACAGCGCATTTCAAGGCTGTATTTCAAGATGAAAGGAAACACATATGCAGTTTGTCTCAAAGTTATATCTTCAGATTGGGGAGAAAGGAGGAAAGGAAACAAAGTTTTAACATGCAATTTGAAGCCAAGCTGCTCAGTTACAAGATCATCAAGGAAGTAAGTGTAAACCAAAAATAAAATTCTAAGGCCTCTCAACCATCTGAATGGACTTTCCCCTCAGCCAGGGCATTCTTAAAACTTAACCAGAGAGACTGGTTCAGGACATGATGGAAAGTGGGGGCCGGACATGCCTCATTATACCTCTTCGACATTAATATCAATACTGACCTTTGAGTCTGATAAAAAGCATTTATAATCTATTCTGTCTGCAGCCTGCTACCTGGAGGGTTTATCTGCACGATTAAACTTCAGTCTCCACTACCTCTTATTGCAACCCAGACATTTCCTTTCTATTGATCCCAGGTCTTTAGATAAACTCAACCAGTTGTCAACCAGAAAATTTTAAATCTACCTATAACCTGAAAGATCCCCCACCCAACATCCCCCGACTCCTGCCACCCTACCCAGCTTTAAGTTGTCCTGCCTTTCTGGACCAAACCAATGTATTTCTTAAACATATTTTATTGCAGTTTCACGTTTCCCTAAAATACATGAAACCAAACTGTACCCCAACTATGTTGGACACGTGTTCTCAGGACTTCTTCAGAGCTGTGTCATGGGCCATGGTTATGCATATTTGGCTCAGAATAAATCTCTTCAAATATTTTACAGAGTTTGACTCTTTTGGTTGAAATAAATGTAGTTAAAAAGAAGAGATCGAAGGACAGGTTCTGAGGCACCAGCAAAGGAGACTAAGAAGTAAAATGATATATTGATAGAAGTAAAGCTAGGAACTAGGAGAGCATAGTGTCCTGAAAACAAAGTGAAGACAGTGTGTCAAAGAGAAAGGTGAGACCACGCATGTCAAATACTGCTGGCTGGTCAGATAAGATGAAAATGAGACTTGACTATTGGATTTAGCCATGTGGAAGGCATTGGTGACCTTGATGGGAGCACTAGGGTTCATGGAGGGTTAAAGCCTGATGGGCGGTGTTGACTCAAAAAAGAATTTGCGGGTGGGGAGGAGACAGGAATTGAGCATAAAGTACTAATCAGGCTTTCAAGAAGTTTTGGTTAAAAGAGAAGAATAATCATTTCTGGAAAGGCAATGTTGTTGTAGGACTTTCTCCTTAGTTCAGGTAAAAACGGGGTCCTTGTCACACGACCATGAAATATATTAGGCTCACAGACATTTTGAAGGGTGAGAAGGGCAGGGTTTATTGGGTGAAAAGGAAAAAAAAGGAAACAGGGACTTGGCAGAGCAAGTGTCCTGCTAGTAGTCTTCCCACCTCACAGATTGAATCCCAGGTTCCACCCAGAACAGGAGAGGCCAGGCTCCTTCCCTCTGCAAACTGAGTGAACTTCCCAAGGCTCCACCCCAGTGAGCACTCCTGCCAGTGCCCAGATCAGTTGGAGGTTCTCTGGTGACCCCTTTATACTCGGCTGTCTCAATGTGAGGAGCTCAAAGACCCTCTCCCCAACAAAACAACTGTAACTGGTGAAATTATTTTTAAAAATAACAACCTTTTAAAGTCCCTGGAAATTGTCCTAAGGGCATGCAGTAAATGAAGAAACATTTATTCAAGAAACTCTACTAAATCTTGGTAAGAACAGGAAGAGTCTGTGGCACTTAAGCTACTATCTGCTCCCTCTCTTGCCCACTTCCCCCAGCTCAGCAGCATAGATGCTCCACTCTGGGTAGCTGCAGCCATGAAGACAGGGCTCCCAGCCAAGCACTGTGCTATCTCCCTGTTAGGGGCATTTCTCATACCCCCAAACTCTATGTTGCAGAGGCTAAATTCCAGGGAGGTGCTCCCAAGAGGTTAGGAACTCTCTTTCTTCATCCAGATCCCATTTTAGGTCAGAGGCTCTATCCAGGAGTAGCAAGCCAATAATGAAACCGCCTTTGCAAAAATTTTATCAATGAGAAAATCATGAGAGTGAAAGAGATCTGAGCTAGCCCACCCTGGATCTTGTCTATCCATTAACCATTCCTGGGCTATTGGGTGGAGCTAACTTTGGAAAACATTTAGGGTATTGTTTAGATGATAATAGGCATTGCCCAAAACTCAGCAGCTTTTATAAAGCTCATGGGAGGCCATCAGGCTGCAGGGAGGAGCCTAAATCCTGCTAAGGGGCAGACAGAAGCGATTGCCAGCCATTACTCCAGAGGTTATAAGATATGCAACTTCCCCAATTATGCCTGCAGATAACACCACTATTGTAGGTTGGCCTTTTGGAATATCTTTTCAGGTTTTTCACATGTTTAACACCCATGGCTCGACCTGGACCCACCAACCCCATTCCTGCAGCCCCACCCAGAAGTAATTCAGCCCACAGGAGGATGGCTTCAATCCCCTTGATTTCATCTGCGGCCCAATAATTCAGCAGCAAGCCTAGCCACCCCCACCCCTTTCCCCTAAACTGCTTCTGAAAAACCCCTAACCTACCAGTTTTGGATGAGATTATTTGAGCACAAACTCCTTCTCCCAGGTGGTGTGGCTGACCTTGTGTCTACTAAACTTTTTCTTTACTGCAATGCCGTGGTCTTTTTTTTTTTTTTTTTTTTTTTGAGACAGAGTCTTGCTCTGTCACCCAGGCTGGAGTGCAGTGGCACGATCTCGGCCCACTGCAACCTCCACCTCCTGGGTTCAAGTGATTCTCCTGCCTCAGCCTCCTGAGTAACTGGGACTACAGGCGTGCGCCACCATGCCCGGCTAATTTTTGTATTTTTAGTACAGATGGGGTTTCACCATGTTGGCCAGGATGGTCTCTATCTCCTGACCTCATGATCCACCCGCCTTGGCCTCCCAAAGTGTTGGGATTACAGGCATGAGCCACTGCACCTGGCCGCTGTGGTCTTTATGCTGCCAGCAGGAAGAACCCCTTGGGTGGTTATAGTAATACTGGGGCCCCAATCGCCCTAACCCTAGTTCACTCAGAGGGCAGAGGTTCCACATGAGGAAAGGCGAGACAAAAAGACCAGAGGCTGACCACCTCCATGACGTGCCCTGCAGGTCACTCTGAAACAAGCAGGCCACTGTCCCTGCCACCAACTTGGAAGCAGTAGTACCGAGATTTTGCACAGAAGAAAAGTAGGCCATAAGAGCAAAGAGCACCTATGCTTTCCCCAAGGGAACTGACTTTATTTGGAACCAAGTGTAGGGAAGTTCAAGCCTAGGGGCACTTTTTCAAAACAACGAAGATGCTGGTGGTAAGCTATTAAAAGAAGGCTGGTAGCTCTATGAGAACAATAAGCTAAACTGTAGGCTGACTAGTGTACCAGAGAGAACCAGGGGAAAAGACAGCAAAGAACAGCCTTCCTGGGGTCAAGACAAACCTCAAAGAGTGTCTTTCAAAACTACCCCTGCAAAGGGGCCCAAATTTAGTGGATTAGATTACCGAGCAATTTACACCCCAGGTTATAGCATAAGACAGTAGAGCAATTTGTTGGCAATTAGTGGAACCTAACAGTTGAGTGCAAATAGAGATGTAAAAATCCTCAACAAAATACTAGCAAGCTGAATCCAGCAACATATAAAAGGGATTATATGCCATGACCAAGTGGAATTTATCCCAAAAATGCAAGGTCGTTTTAACATATGAAAGTCATTTAATGTAATCCATCCACTATACAATATTAATAGAAAAGAGGACAAAAATCACATGATCATCTTAATAGAGGTTGAAAAAGCATTTGAAAAACCAACACCCCAATGTCCCTTAGCAATAAAAATACGCAGCAAACTAGGCATAGTAGGGAAATTCCTAAACCTGATAAAGGACATCTACTAACAAAATCCACAGCTGACATCATTCTTAATGGCAAAATACTGAATGCTTTCTCTCTAAGATCAGAAATAAGACAAGGATATCTGCTCTTGCCACTGCTATTCAACATTGTATTCTAGGATCTAGTCCGGGAATTTAAGCAGTGCAGTGAAGTAAAGAATAACCAGATTGGAAAGAAATAATAAAACTCTCTCTATTTCTTAGATGGCATGATCTTGTATATAGAAAATCATAAGGAATTCACTGAAAATATTAGCATTAATAAACAAGTTCAACTAGGTCACAGGCTACAAGATCAATTACACACATCAATAGTATTTCCATACACTAGCAATGAACAATCTGAAAGTGAAATTAAGACAATAATTCCATTTAGAGTAACATCAAAAAGAATCAAATACTTAAGAATATATTTGACAAATGAAGTTCAAGATTGCCACATACATTATTAAAAGGAATTAAGAAGACCTCCATATATCAAAAGATATTTTATGTTCACTGATAGGAAGACTTAATATTGTTAAGATGGTATCTTAGTCTGTATGTGCTGCTATAAGCAAATACCACAGACTGGGCAATTAGAATATACATTTATTTCTTACAGTTCTGGAGGGTGGGGAAATTCAAGATCAAGACACCAGCAGGTTCGGTGTCTCATGAGGGCTGCTGTCTGCTTCCAAGATGGTGCCTTGTTGCTGCATCCTCACAAGACAGAGAGAGTGACTGCTCTGTCCTCACACGGCAAAGGTGGAAAGGCAAAAGCATCTAGTAGTTCCCTCCAGCCTTTGTATAGGGGTACTAATCCCACTGCTTTTGTGACTTAATGACCTCCTAAAGGCTCCAGTGTTGCAGGTTAAGACTGGCTAGGGCTGGTGTCACAGGTGATAATAGAATTTACCTAGACAGTTGTGGGTAAAGGAAAGCAGATTTTGGGCCAGGCACGGTGGCTTACTCCTGTAATCCCAGCACTTTGGGAGGTGAAGGCAGGTGGATCATGAGGTCAGGAGTTTGAGACCAGCCTGGCCAACATGGTGAAACCCTGTCTCTACTAAAAATACAAAAATTAGCCAGGCATGGTGGCGCATGCCTGTAATCCCAGCTACTTGGGAGGCTGAGGCAGGAGAATCGCTTGAAACCAGAAGGCAGAGGTTGCAGTGAGCTGAGATTGTGCCACTGCACTCCAGCCTGGGCGACAGAGCAAGACTCCATCTCAAAAAAAAAAAAAAAAGGAAGGCAGATTTTTTAGAGAAAGTATGAAGATACATTACAAGAGTGCAGCAGGCAGCACAGCAGAGAAGGTGGCAGACATCTTTGGGAACAGACCGATATACTGTTTGCAGCATTTGAAGGTGAAACAGCTGAATTCTAGAAGACACAAACTTGACTAGTAAGTTGAGATGCAAATGCTGAAAGGAAGGAGAAGGGCTCCTCATAATGAGGAGGCACCGAAAAATGACATCCGAGGTTGAGATGTCGGGGAAGGTGAGGGAGAAGGAGCAGATGGAGTAAGTGTAATTGAACATAAAAGTGGTTTTTCAGGGGAAGCATGTGTGGCCTCCATCAGTCCACCGGGTTGGACAGAATGGAAGAGAGTAAAGGAAGGGTGGTTTAGAATGTCAGAAGAGTCAGTGGGGCCAGAGAATTTGGCCAGGCATATCTGACAGGTTCGGCAGAGATTGGGATCCCGAGAGACAGTCAGGAAAGCCTGGACATAAAGAACTTGAGACCACGTAGAGAAATTATGTCAGAAGAGGTCAAGCTGTAAAACAGTATTGGAGACAAGAGTTCCACCCAGAGGCCAAGCCTCCTGGTCTGGAAATTTATAAAGTGGCCATTTTGTTATTACATGAGAAAATTAGATGTTTCTTTTTGAGAGTCTGCGGGTCAAATTTATCCCAATGCTTTAAAATGCAGCCCAGGGGTGAGTCTGAGGGAATGGAAGGGCTTTGTCCCATCGTGGGTCCAGGAAAGAATCTCTGCTGGGGACACGAACCACAGTTTTCTTGGGGGCATCTCACTGAGAGAAAAGGGCTCCCCTCACGTTCACTGAAGGACTCTGAGGTGCACTTTCCAAAGGGGCAGCCCCCCTACTGCAAAGGGTCTCCTGGCACTAGGACCTCGTGTTAGATGAACACTGGATGAGCAACCCCAGGTCAGTGCAGGTACAAATTAGACTGAGTGCTCAATCCAGGTACGAGGGGAAAAGACTGAAAGAAAACTCACCATCCCAGTGCTGTTTGGGTGATGGTGAAAGAAAACTCACCATCCCAGCGCTCACCTGGCTTAACATGTCTGGAGCTGGCTGGTGGCTGTCTTCATGGAAGAATTTAGGGTGAGAAAGAGGGGGTTTGAGTTCCCCAAAACATGTGTGGATTCATCCTGGTCAAGCTGCCACCACCAATTATGCCCCGCATAGGGATAGGGGACTTCTGACCAGAAAGGATAGGAGAGAGCCTTCCTCCCTTTCAGGCAAGGCAGCCAAACCTGTTCACCCCCTGGACTTTAGGCTACACCAGGGAGTTGCCCTGGCCAGTTGCCATCACTTGCCAGAGGGATACTAGAGATTGTCAGCTAGAAGACTGAAAAGAAAAGTAAACTCTAAACTCTCATCCAACTGGGCAGCGGTCAAATGTCTTTCCACCAGGACCTTCTGCTCTGCCAGGGAGTGGCCCCGGCTAGGACTGTCAGTTGTCTCCAGGCCCCAACACTGTTTGCCAAGAGGTTGGGGTTGAAGGGGGAGAAGGGGAGAGTTCCCCATATGGGCCACCAAAATATCACGGGTTGCGGCTGGCTGGGGCTGGAATCCAAGGTGATAAAAGAATTTACCAAGACAGTTGTGAGTAAAGGAAGGCAGATTTATTAGAGAAAGCATGAAGATACATTGAAAGAGTGCAATGGGCAGCACAGCAGAGAAGGGGCTATCCGCCAAGAGGCAGTTTTAAAGGGTCGTGCTGGAGGGGACTACATGTGGATAAGGTGTGCAGATAAGGTCGTGCTGCCAGGGCTATATGTGGAGCAAGATATTTGGGAACAGAATGTTGTACCAGTGGGTTGTTTGCAGTTAGCCATTTCTCAGAACAATTACTCTCCCCAACCTGGGGCCCTTTCCTCATTGTTGCTTACTTATCAGGACTCCACGTCCACCTCTTTTGTTTGTTTGTTTTTGTTTGTCCGTTTGTTTGTTTAGAGACGGAGTCTCGCTCTGTTTCCCAGACTGGAGTGCAGTGGTGCGATCTTGGCTCACTGCAACCTCTGCCTCCTGGGTTCAAGAAATTCTCCTGCCTCAGACTCCACAGCAGCTGGGACTACAGGTGCATGCTGCCACACCTGGCTAATTTTTTGTATTTTATTTTATTTTATTTATTTATTTTTTGAGATAGAGTCTCACTCTGTCACCAGGCTGGAGTGCAGTGGCGTGATCTCGGCTCACTGCAACCTCTGCCTCCTGGGTTCAAGTGATTCTCCTGTCTCAGCCTCCTGAGTAGCTGGGACTACGGGTGTGCGCCACAACGCCTAGCTAATTTTTGTATTTTTAGTAGAGATGGGGTTTCACCATGTTGGCCATGATGGTCTCGATCTCTTGACCTTGTGATCCGCCCTCCTTGGCCTCCCAAAGTGCTGGGATTATAGGCGTGAGCCACCGCGCCTGGCCAATTCTTTGTATTTCAGTAGAGACGGGGTTTCACCATGTTGCCCAGGCTGGTCTCGAACTCCTGAGCTCAGGAAATCCACCCACTTCGGCCTCCCAAAGTGCTAGCATTACAGGTGTGAGTCACTGCGCCCGGCCTTTTTTTTCCTTTTCTTTTCTTTTCTTTCTTTTTTTTTTTTTTTTAGACAGAGTTTCACTCTCGTTGCCCAGGCTGGAATGATGCAATGGTGCAATCTCAACTCACTGCAACCTCCACCTCCTGGGTTCAAGCAATTCTCCTGCCTCAGCCTCCCAAGTAGCTGGGGTTACAGGAGCCCACCACCATGCCTGGCTAATTTTTCTGGTACTATTAGTAGAGATGAGGTTTCACTATGTTGGCCAGCCTGGTCTGGAACTCTTGACCTCAGATGATCCACCCGCCTTGGCCTCCCAAAGTGCTGGGATTACAGGTGTGAGCCACCATGCCCGGCCATCAACCTCTTGATGTAATCACATTGGATCTTAGGTTCTATTATATGAATTTTAGGAAACACACATATTCAAACCATAGCAGATGTCAGTACTCCCCTTCTACAAACTGATCTACAGATTCAATGCAATCCCATCAATATCCTAGCTTTTGGCTTTTTTTTTTTTGCACAAATTAATAAGCTGATGCTAAAATATCTATGGAAATGCAAGGGACCCAGAATAGCCAAAACAGTCTTGAAAAAGAGCAAAGTTGGATAACTCATTCTTCATAATTTTAAAACTTACTATAAAGCTATAGTAATGAAGATAGTGTAGTACTGGCATAGGGATAGATATATATTGATGGACCAGATGAGAGTCTAGAAGTAAATCCTCACGTTTACAATGAATTGACAAGGGGGTCAATTCAATTGAGTAAGAATAGTCCTTTTCATGAACAGTGATGGATCAACTGGATATCCAAATGCAAAAAAAAAAAAAAAAAGAAAAAGAAAAAGAAAGTTGGATCTCTCCCTCATACCGTACACAAATATTAACCCAAAATGAATTATAAACCTAAGTGTAAGAGCTAAAATTCTCAAAGTCTTCAAAGAAAATATAGGAGTAAGTCTTTGTGACTTTGGGTTAGTCATAGACTTCTAAGATTTGACAGCAAAGGCACAAATGACAAATTAAATAATTAGGTGACTCATCAAAATTTAAAACTTATGCTTCAAGTGATGTTATCAAGAAAGTGAAAGACAGCCAGGCATGGTGGCTCACCCCTGTAATTCCAGCAACTCAGGGAGGCTGGGGTGGGAGAATCTCTTGAGGCCAGGAGTTTGAGACCAGTCTGGACAACATAATGAGACCCTGTTTCTACAAAAAAATTTAAAAATTAGCTGGGTGTGGTAGCCTGTGCCTGTAGTCTTGGCTACTCAGGAGACTGAGGTGGGAGGATAGCTTGAGCCTAGGAGTTGGTTGGTTGCAGTGAGCTATGACCATGCCACTGAACTCCAGCATGGGCAACAGAGTCTCAAAAAATTTTTCTTCTACATGAATATGCATAGCAATATTATTCATAATAGCCAAAAAGAAGAAACAACCCAAATGGCCATCAACTGATGAACAGATAAAATGTGGTTTGTCCATACAATGGAGTATTCGTTGGCAATAAAAAAGGATGAATTACTAATTTATGCTACAATATGGATGATCCTTGAAAACGTTAAGCTAAATAAAAGAAGCCAGTCACAATAACCAACATATTATATGATTCCATTCACATTAAACATTCAGGATTGACAAATTTATAGGAAGAGCAAATGTATTAGTTGTTGCTTAAGGCTGGGGTGGTGGGAGGAAATGGGGAGTGATAGCTAATGGGTATGGCATTTCTTTGGGTGATGATGAAAATATTCTAAAGTTGATCACGGTGATGGTTGCATAACTCTGTGAAGGTATTAAAAATCATCAAAATGTACACTTTAAGTTGGCCAATTATATGGTTTAATAAAGAAAAAATAAAATATTAAAAAATTTAATAAAGTAGCTATATCTTTTTTTTTCTTTAGATGGAGTCTCACTCTGTCGCCCAGGCTGGAGTGCAGTGGCACAAATCTTGGCTCACTGCAACCTCCGCTTCTCAGGTTCAAGCAATTCTCCTGCCTCAGCCTACCAAGTAGCTAGGATTACAGGCACGTGCCACCACGCCCAGCTCATTTTTGTATTTTTAGTAGAGACGGGGTTTCGCCATGTTGGCCAGGCTGGTCTCCAACTCCTGACCTCAGGTGATCCTCCAGCCTTGGCCTCCCAAAGTGCTGGGATTACAGGCATGAGCCACCGTGCCTGGCTGTGCTCTATCTCTTTTTAAAGGGAGAGAAATTGGACAGTAGCTGGAGGAAGAGGGTAGGTTTTGAGATTTTTTTTAATGAGACAAAAATAATGAAAGCATGATATACTGATAAGAATGATCCAATACAAGGGGAAAACAACTGCTGCTGAAGGAGTTAGAAGAGAAACTTTCTGGAACAATGTCCTTGTAGGTAGAGATGATAGCATTTAGTGCTTAGGCAGAGGCATTGATCTTAGCTAAAAGTACAGACTAATTAGCACTAACTAGAGGTACACCATGTAGGTAAGTAAATGTGTTGGGAGCTTTGATTCTAATCCTTTCCATTTCTTTTTCAGTGAAACAGGAAGAAAGACGATGAGCTAAGAACGAAGATTGGAGAAAGAGATTTTCAGTTTGAGGTGGCCAAAGGCATAACATAGTTCTATAGGAGAGTGAGAGAATGAATTAATACGAGAAACGAAATGGTTGCTGAGCCACATTAAGAGCTCACTTGAAATCTGTGGTCACATCTAATTGAAAGGAAGACCAGTTGGCATAGTTTTGTGGGTTTTTTCTAGCCATAAGCAGTTACATGGTGCAGGTGTGACATAGGGAGACAGCTGGATTTAAACAGGATTGTGGTTTTGCCAAATGGATACTACAAAGAAAGGAAGGAACCAGTGAGCTGAGAAGTAATAGCCCTCACTTACAAGGGCTGAGGGGGAAATGAGACAGCCAAGTTTGAGTAAGAGCCAGAAAGTGTAAAGAATGATCAGATAAGAGATTGAGGACATAGGGATTTTTTTTTTTTTAATCGCCTACCCTGAATACCAGAGGATTTTGGAAGGGGTGAGTAACAGAGTTGGAAAAGAGAATTTACAGAGTCTCTTGGTTACTAAATTCCAGAACATTTAGAGTGTCCTCAGATTCTTGGGCTTCTCATGGTGAGTCTCTTCAATGGGTAAAAGGGCATGATGAGATTGCTACTGGTGGTTCCAAGTTATATAGTGTGACAAGGCTGTCAGTGTTAGATAGGAGTGGGTTTGGGGATGGGAGCCCTTCCATGCAGATGAGAGGAAACAGCATCAGTGATCTTTCATTGTGTTTAGCAGTACCAGGCTCCATGCAAAGTACCCTTCATGAATTACCTTATTTATGCCTCATTCTTTCCCATGAGGTAGGCATTATGTCCCCACTGGGCAACAAATGTGACACAGACTACCTTCAGTGTTACAGTGGCCCAGGGTGGGCTGCACCATGGAAGGGAGGAAACACTATTGCATCATTTCTTCCAATACTTCTTTTTTGAACAACTGATTTTCCTTTCTTAAAAATCACAAGACCATCACTTCTTTCTCGGTAAGAAAACAAAGACAAACAACAACAAAACAAAAAACCAGCATTCAGTCTAGCCAGTACTAAACCAGTTGCATATTTGTTTCAGCCCTTTTTCGAATTAACAAATGTAGGGCTATTTAAAAAAACATTTTAATAAGCTTTATTTCTTAGAGCAGTTTTGAATTCATAGAAAAATTGAGCAGCAGTAGAGTCCCTCCCCGACACCCCCCACCCGGCACCCCACAGTTTCCCCTATTATTAACATCTTGCTTTAGTGTATAGTACCTTTGTTACAATTGATGAACTAATATTGATACATTAGTATTAACTAAGATCCATCATTTACATTAGGGTTCACTTTTTGGGTTGTATAGTTCTATGCTATGGGGTTTAACAAATGCATAATGTTACATATCCGCCATTACAGTATCATACAGAAGAGTTTTACTGTCCTAAAATTCCCGTGCTCTATCCCTTAATCCCTCTCCTCCTCCCCCATGGTAACCACTGGTCTTTTTACTGTCCTTATAGTTTTACCTCTTCCGGAATGTCATCTAGCAGGAAACATAGTCTTTCAGACTGGCTTCTCTCACTTAGGAATATGTATTTAAGTTTCTCTCATGTTTTCTCACGGCTTGTTAGTTCATTTCTTTTTACCAAATACTATTCCATTGTGTGAGTATACCACAGTTTGTTTATCCACTCTTCTATTAAGGGACATCTTCCTTCCTTTCTGGTTTTGGTAACTACGAGTAAAGTTGTTTTGAAAATTCATGTTCAAGTTTTTGTGTGGACATAAGCACTATTGCTGGATCACGTGGTAAGACCATGTTAGCTTTGTGACTGTACATTTTGCATTTCTACCAGCCATGAATGAGAGCTCCTGTTGCTCCACATCCTCGCCAGCATTGGGTGTTGTCAGTGCAAAATGAGTAAAATGTAAAGCGTTGGGTGTTGTCAGCGTTGGGTGTTGTCAAATGCAAAATGAGTAAAATGTTTTGCATTTTACTCATTTTAATAGGCGTATAGTGGTAATTCATTGTTGTTTCAGTATACCAATCCCTAATGACATCTTTCCATGTTCATAGTTTTCATCTGTTTATCATCTTTGTATAGATCTTTTGCTTATATTAGGAAATTGAATTATTTGTAATTCTTATTGTTGAGTTTTAAGAGTTCATTGTGTATTTTAGATGCAAGTCCTTTATCAGATTTGTATTTTGCATATATTTTCTCCCAGTCTGTGGCTTGTCTTTTCATTCTTTTAACAAGCCTATTATTGGCTGGGCGTGGTGGCTCATGCTTGTAATCCCAGCACTTTGGGAGGCCGAGGTGGGTGGATCACGAGGTCAGGAGTTCAAGAACAGCCTGACCAACAGGGTGAAACCTCGCCTCTACTAAAAATACAAAAAATTAGCCGGGCGTGGTGGTGGCGCAAGCCTGTAATCCCAGCAACTCAGGAGGCTGAGGCAGGAGAATCGCTTGAACCCAGGAGGCAGAGGTTGCAGTGAGCCGAGATAGTGCCACTGCACTCCAGTCTGAGCAACAGAGCGAGACTCCGTCTCAAAAAAAAGCAAGCCTATTATTATTATTATTATTATTATTATTATTATTATTATTTAGGAACATGGTCTCACTACGTTGCCCAGTCTGGCCTCCCGAATAGCTGAGACTACAGACTACAACTGGCTTAAACAAACCTGTTATTTTGAACTAAGTTAGTTCATTTACTATACCATTTTTTATGTCAGAATAGTATTTCATGGAATGAATACAGCAGTGTTTATTAACCAGTCTCTTACTGCTGGCTTTGTAGGTCAATTCTAATTTTTGACATCATCAACAGTATCGTGCTGAACAATCTAGTGACTAAATCTTTGTGTGCAGTCTTGTTTTCTTAGCATACATTTCTAGAAGTGGGACAGTTGGATCAAAGGGCTTTCATGTTGTTGAAGCTTTTGATATTTATTAAAATTGTCCAACAGAAAATTTCTCCCAGTTTACATCTTATTAGTAGAGTGAGAGAGAGCACCTATTTTCCCAATCTCTTGTCAAGTAGGTACGATAAAATGCTCTATTTATTTATTTATTGAGATGGAGTCTTGCTCTGTTGCCCAGGCTGCTCTGCAGTGGTGGCATCAAGGCTACTACAACTTCTGACCCCTTGGGTTCAAGTGATTCTCGTGTCTCACCTTCCCAAGTAGCTGGGATTACAGGTGCACGCCACCATGCCTGTAGAGATGGGGTTTCACCATGTTAGCCAGGCTGGTTTTGAACTCCTGACCTCAAGTGATCCACCCACCTCCGCCTCCCAAAGTGCTGGGATTACAGGCGTGAGTCACCATGCCCAGCCATCACATGCTTTAGAAATGGAAATGGCTTCTTTTGTTCTTCCAAATATAAAATAACATGCTTATTCTATCATTTAAAATTATTTGCAAACTGAAAGGTTAAAAACAGTATTTCATTATTTTAATTTGTATTTTTAAATTGCTAATGAAGTTAAACATTTTGTCAGAAAAAATATATTATCTTTAGTGTCACTTAAATGACATGAATTTGATGGATATGTAACAGATGATAACATTCTTTTTTTTTTTTTTTTTTGAGATGCAGTTTTGCTCGTTTACCAGGCTGGAGTGCAATGGTGCTATCTCAGTTCACTGCGACCTCCACCTCCCGGGTTCAAGTGATTCTCTTACCTCAGCCTCCCAAGTAGCTGGGATTACAGGCATGTGCTACCATGCCCAGCTAATTTTTTGTATTTTTAGTAGAGACAGGGTTTCACCATGTTGGCCAGGCTGGTCTCAAACTCCTGACCTCAGGTGATCCACCCACCTCGGCCTCCCAAAGTGCTGGGATTACAGGCATAAGCCACCAGGCTTGACTGATAACATTCTTAAAATAGCATTTATTGAGCACTTACTCCAGCATGGTATTTTGCCAGGTATTACATAAACATGTACAGAATAATCAATCCCTAACTGCTAACAAGTCACAGTCCAAGAAAGTCAACGACTAGTTTACAAATGTTTATTGAGTGTCTAGTATTGCCTGGAACTACTTTTTATAATAACTTTATTAAGGCATAATTAATATACAACAAAGTGTACATACTTAAAGTGTACAATTTGATAGCTTCTAACATAGGCATACAACTGTAAAACTATCACCACACTCAAGATATCCACCACCCTCAAAAGTTTCCTTGTGCATCTTTGTAATCCTGGCTGATTCTGGCCCCTCTGTCCTCTCACCATTTCCAGGCAATCACTTTTTGTTATCATATATTAATTTGCATTTTATAGAATTGTACAGAAATTGAATCATGAAGTATATACTCTTAGGGAGCATGGTCTGACTTCTTTGACTTACCATAATTATTTTGAGAGTAATCTTTATTATATGTATCAATAATTCATTTCCTCTTCTTTTTTAATCCAGCTTGTGTGTGTCAGAGGTTTATTTCTTTCAACTGCTAGGTAGTAAATATACCACAATTTGTTTATCCATTCTTTTGTTGCTGGACATTTGGGCTGTTTCCAGTTTTTGGCTGTTACAAATAAAGCTGCAATGAATATGCATGTGTATCTCTGAATGAACATATGCTTTCATTTTCCTTGAGAAATGTCTAAAAATTGTATGGCTGGGGCATAAGGCAGATGTATGTTTAACTTTTTAAAAAACTACCAAACTGTTCCAAAGTGGTTGTGCATTTATCTATCAGCAGGGTTTGAGAGTTCCAGTTGCTCCAAATCCTCATCAGTTAGTATGATTAGTCTTCTCAATATTAGACATTCTAATAGGTGTGTAATGGTATCTCATTTTGTTTTAATTTGCATTTTCCCAATGGTCAATAATATTCAATATCTTTTTGTGGGCTTATTTGCTATCTATATATCCTCTTTTGTAAAATGTATGTTAAAATAATTTCTTAAATTGGATTGTTTTCTTATTATTGAGTTTTGAGATTCTTGTGCATATTTTGGGTACAAGTACTTTATCAGATATGTAATTTACAATTACTTTTTTTCCAAGTTTGTGGCTTATCTTCTTATTCTCTTAACATTATTTTTCAAGGAGAAAACATTCTTAATTTTAATGAAGTCCAATGTATCCATCCTTTTTCTTCTATGGATTGTACTTTTGGTATCAGACCTAATATCTTTGCCAGTCTGAGAGATATGTCAGAGAGCTGAGCAGCCATGACAGCCTATTTCAATGAACAGGACTGCAAGCTCTTGAACCCCAAGCAGGAGACCCTAACCCACATGCTGCTGGAGCTCACCAGATCACTTTTCAATAGGATGGATTTTGAAGACTCGGGGATGGCAGTAAATTGGAATCACCACCTGCCTCCACCAGCTGCCAAGACAGTGTGGTTGGGAACCTCCCCAGGACAGTCATCAGGAGCTCTCAGGCTGAGAGGCACACACAAGTGCCCCATGTGCTTGAGGAGGAGGAGGCTGTTGTTGGGATGCCTTGCCATTAGCTTTTCCATTCTAACTGCATTTTGCCCCGGCTAAGCAAGACAAATCCCTGTCCCTTGTGCTGCCAGGAGCTGCCCGCTGTTAACGACACTTGTGAGGAGCACAGAGGAGATAAGGCTCGAAACAGCAGCAGCAGCACTGTCTGGAGAACCTCTACAGAGCCATGTGCATATGAGGAGGCTGGGGCTAAGCGCTGGCTCTCTACAAGGTCCTCCTCTTACACCTTGAACCCTCATTAAAGGTTTCTTTACCCACAAACACAAGAAAATATCTTTGCCTAATCCAAGACCACAAAGATTTTATCCCATTTTTTTCCTGAGAAATTTTAGAGTTTCAGGTTGTTACATTTAGGTCTAGGACCTATACCTATTTTGAGTCAATTTTTGCATATGGTGCAAAGCGTGGATCCGAGTTCATTTTATGGATATCCAATTGTTCCTGCACCATTTGTTGAAGAGATTATTTTTTCTGCGCTGACTTGCATTTGTACCACTGTTGAAAATCACTGATCATATATGTATGAGTCTATTTCTGGGACAAAACCCTTTTGTGGATTGTGTAGCACGGTGACTCATTAATCCTCTCTAACAATTGTGCCTCAATATTCTCTGCTATTTCATCCATTCTTCTAGTTATGGTGTTAGCTGAAAGAGGAACATGTGCCACCTTTTGAACAGCAGCCTCTCCTAAAAGTTCATGACAAATGTCCTTAGCAGCAGGCAGGATCAACTCTTCACCAATACTAAAGGGCTTCTTAGCCTAATAACGTGGTTAGCCACTAGGAACGATGCTCTCAGTACAGACACACTTAATGAAGTAGTGGCCTTCAATAATTACTTCTGTTCTCTGTGTTCATGTTTTTTCTTTAGAAAAACTCCAAAGGCTTGTCTTTTAATGCAGGGTGCTTGGTCTCCAGGTGGTGAAGCAGTTTTGAAGTTTTCATGGCTTCCTTGAATAGTGGGTCAGCACATAATATACAAAGTGGGCTTAGAGAATGTGAATCACCTGTTGCAATTAACCCATAACTTAAGTAGAACTTTTGGCATTTTCTTTTTTTTTTTTCTGAGACAGAGTCTTGGTCTGGCACCCAGGCTGGAGTGGAGTGCAGTGGCACAGTCTCAGCTCACTGCAACCTCTGCCTCCTGGGTTCAAGAGATTCTCCTGCCTCAGCCTCCTGAGTAGCTCAGATTACAGGCACGCACCACCATTCCCGGCTAATTTTTTTTTTTTTTTTTTTTAGAAACATGGGTTTCACCATGTTGGCTTGGCTGGTCTCAAACTCCTGGCCTCAAGGGATCCACCTGCTTCAGCCTCCCAAAGTGCTAGGATTACAGGTGTGAGCCACCACGCCCAGTCTGGTATTTTCTTTTAAGTGCAGCTTTCTTTTTGTTGGCAGTCTTAAGAGTCTTCTGCTGTCTCATCATTGGGTCTCTCTGACTTTTCAAAGAAGCTCTCCAGTGTCGTTTGCTTTTTACTCATTTTAGCTAGGGTTAGCTTGTGGGCTTACCAAAACTGTGACTGAGACAAGTGTTCAGTGCAGCAAAGAGGCACAGACAGAAGTGGTAAATAAAATAATGGGCAGGCCATGCACAGACTAAATTAAGTGTCAGATTCTGACTTAAAACTTGCCACCAGATAGAGCTGTGCAATTGAAATACATTGACTCACTTGCCTCTATAAAGTCTGCCACCAGATGCAGCTTAATTGTCACTTGCCACTCACTGATAGGGTTTTGATATGAGTCCCCAGCAACAAAATACCTACCTCCTAGCTATGCTGCCTCAGCTGCACCTCAGATCATCAGGCATTAGATTCTCATAAACAGTGCACAACCTAGATCCCTTGCATGTGCAGTTCACAGTAGGGTTCACACTCCTATGAGAATCTAATGCTGCTGCTGATCTGAGAGGAGGTGGAGCTCAGGTGGTAATGCAAGTGATGGGGAGTGATGGGGAGTAATGCAAGTGATGGGAGCTATAAATACAGATGAAGGTTTGCTGGCTAGCCTGCCGCTCACCTCCTGCTGTGCAGCCCAGTTCCTAACAGGCCATGAACAGTACTGGTCAGTGCCCCTGGAGGTTGGGGACCCCTGCTCTACCTAATGCCTGTTATCTATGGGGTCTTCCAATTTGGCTGGTGAGAACTGAAATTATTCCTGGTTTGTATATGCTCCAAGTATTCTTCTCTTCATACTTTCAGGTGATTCTTCCCCTGGCCTTGGGGTGCTTTGTCACATGCATGTACTGATAGGTGCACAGCTGAAGAGCTGAGATCTTTTGCAGATCTCTGAGGTTCTCTCTGTGCATCTATTTTCTTTCTGGTACTCTGCTCTACAAACTCCAGCTGCCTTGACCACTCTGGAATTTCAACTTTGTCTCCTCAACTCAGGGACACCACAGAACCTCAAAGGATCCTCCTCCCTCTGCCATGGTCGGGAAACTCTTTCCAGCTAGTAATGTTGGGCAATTGCAGTACTCACCTTGTTTGTTTCCCATCTCAGTGTTTACTGTCCTTGATTGTCTGATGTCCTATGTCTTGAAAACCAGCGTTTCATAAACTTTGTCTGGGTTTCCAATTATTGAAGATAGAAGGGTATGTCTTTTCCCTGTTATTCCATCTTGGTTGGTGGGGAAAGCCTGCCTGGCATTCTTCTAAGTGCTGAATCTATTGGGAGTGAACAAAACAGACAAAGTCCTCGGCTTCAAACAGCTTACATGCTAGAAAGAAAATGCAGACAATAAATACATGAAAAAAATTAATATGCATAAACAAGTGTTTTCTGAAAATAAGTGCTGTTGACAAAAAGGTAACAGGCCTCTCTGGGGAGGTGACATTTGAGGAGATGAATTACAAGAAGGGGATTGTCACTGGAAGAGCTAAGATAAGAGTGTTCTAAGATAAGGAGATATGACAACTCCAAATGCTCCAAAACAGAAATAAGTTTGGCTCGCTTGATGGGGCAGATGAGGTCAGGGTGGCTGGGGCGTATTTGAGGTGGTAGATGAAGTTTGCACAGTAGGTTAAGCTCAGAGTAAAAAGGGCCTTACAGATTGTTGTTCCAAATACCCATTGCTACGTACAAATACCCCAGAATTCAGTGGGTTAGAACATACAACAATAATTCATTTTGCTCACAAGTCTGGGGGGTGCCTGGGGTCAGCTAGGCAGCTCTCAGGATCTCCGGTATGGTTGTCGTCAGCTGGTGGCTGGAGCTGGGGTCACCTCAACACTTCTCCATTCACAAGTCTGGAGCCTGGATTAGGCAGAAAACCAACTGGAGGCTGGAATCTTTCTGGTTCACTGGCTATCTTTCTCGTTCTCTTTGTGGTCTCTCCGTGTACACTTAGGATAGCCTAACTTCTTACATGGTGGATGAAATGCTTCTGAGCAAGTATCTCAAGAGAAACTGCCAGAAGCTGCAGGGTATTTTCAAATCTAGCCTTGAAAGTCACAGTGTCACTTGTATCGCATTCGGTTTATCAAGGTAGTCACCAAGACCCACCCACATTCAAGGGGAGGAGATATAGACTCGATTAATTTCTTCCTGGGAGAATGTCAAACAATGTGCAGACATGTTTTAAAACCACCATAGGCATGGCAAAGAGTTTGGATTATATCATTCCAAGGGAAAGTCATTGGTGGATTTTTTTGTTTGTTTTTGAAACAGGGTCTTGCTCTGTCACCCAAGCTGGAGTGTACTGGCTCGATCATGGCTCACTGCAGCTTCAACCTCCCAGGCTCAAGCAATCCTCCCACCTCAGCCTACCGAGTAGTTGCAAGTACAGATGTGCACCACCATGCCCAGCTAATTAAAAAAAAAAAAACTTTTTGTAGAGACAGGGTCTCACTAGGCTTGGATTTTTAAAAAGAGAATGACGTGCAATGATATACAATTTTAATCAACTGCTCCATCAGGATTACTAGATACAAAATAAGATAATCAATTAGTATTTTTATATACCAGCAAAAAAATTAGAAATTAGCCAGATGTGTTGGTGCATGCCTGTAGACCCAGCTACTTGGGAGGTTGCAGCAGGAGGTTTGCTTGAGCCCCGGAGGTTGAGGCTGCAGTGAGCCATGTTTACACCACTGCACTCCAGCCTGGGTGACAGGGCAAGACCCTGTCTCAAAAGAAAAAAAATAGAAAATAAAATTTAAAAATGATACCACTTACAAAAACATTTTAAAAAATCAACTACCTAGGAACAAACTGAACAAAAATGTGTAAGACCTTTATGAAGTAAATAACGTAATTTTATTGAGAGACTAAAGGTTTATACCATTTCCAAGGACTCTACGGGTGATTACTGTACAAATGTCAGTTCTCAAATTGGTCCACAGATTCAATGCAATACCATTCAAAATAACCGCAGTTTTTTTCTGTAGAATTTGACAAATGAATTCTAAAATGTATAGGAGAATGCAAAAGATTAAGAATAGCAAGCTACTCTTGGAAGAGGAGGAGGAAAAGCAAGAGGGTGAGGAGGCACTTGCTGTATTCGACATAAGACTTACTATAAACTCACAGTAATTAAAGCAGTGTGATATTATTACAAGCAACACAAATAGAAAAATGGATAGACAAACAGATGAATGTAATAGAAGAGCCCAGAAACACACCCATGCATATAGGGACACTTGTTTTTGTTTTGTTTGTTTGTTTGGAGACGGAGTTTCGCTCTTGTTGCCCAGGCTGGAGTACAATGGTGCCATCTCGGATCACCGCAGCCTCTGCCTCCCAGATTCAAGCGATTCTCCTGCCTGTGGCCCTTTGGGGAGTCCAGACCTAGGAGCTCCCCGAACCAGGGCTCTTACACCCTCTTTGGGACTCTGCAGTTCCTGGTGTCGCCAAGCTTCTGGGAGCCACCACATTCCCTGGTACCATCAGCAGAAGCTGCTCGTGGTATGCCTGGTCCAGCCGCAACCTCACAGGGAGCCAGTGCCCATGCTGGCTCCTGGAGCTGCCCAACCTGCCATAGCTGATGTGCCTGGCTGTGGGCAGTGGCCAGACCCCACACTTGCTCGCTCATGCACCCCTTGCTGCTCTGTGCCTGGCTTACCCTTGGCAGGTGTGGGATCTGGGCTGGTAGCATGAGCTGAGTGCAGCCTGCCAGGCTGAGTGGGCAGAAGGAACCTAGTGGGCCCAAGCAAAACTTGGGCAAAGGCACCACCAGCCACAGAGATTTCTGGCTGGCAAAGCCACATCCCGAGGATCCCATGATAATAGGAGGAGGGGTTTTTGTTGTTGTTGTTTTTCAGACTTGTGGGACAATGACAGAAGGTTAAAGTGGTAATTTAAAAACTCTTTGGAGGGCTGGGTGCAGTGGCTCATGCCTGTAATCCCAGCACTTTGGGAGGCAAAGGTGGAGGATCACTTGAGCCCAGGAGTTTGAGACCAGCCTAGGCAACATGGTGAAACCCCATCTCTACAAAAAATACATAAATTAGCCGGGAGTGGTGGCACATACCTGTGGTCCCAGCTACTTGGAAGGCTGAGGTGGGAGGATCGCTTGAGCCTGGGACCAGAGGTTGCAGTGAGCTGAGATCACACCACTGCACTCCAGCCTCAGTGACAGAGTGAGACCCTGTCTCCCACACACACACACACACACACACACACACACACACACCCCTCTTTGGAATCTCTGATTTAGTATATGATTTAGGCACAACTCTCCCTTTCATACACACCAAATACCTTATGACATTAAAACATTTATCACTGGGCTGAATGAGAGTTAATTTTGTTTTGATAGATGTTTCAGATTCTTTTACAGTCCTCACACAATGTTTACTGTGAACCAGGCACCGTTCTAAGGACTTTACCTGTATTAATTCTCTCAACAATGCTGTGACGTCATCCTCATTTTACAGATGAAGAAAACAAGGCACTGAGAGCTTGGTTAAGTAACTTTGCTGAGGTCGCAGAACTGGAATTTGAAGCCTGGCAGTCTGACTTTAGAGTCCATATTCTTAACTGAGGTGCTAGACTGCATCTTTCTTTGGAAAAAAGGGAAGAGGATATCATAAATTCGGGAACTTCCTCAGGCTTCTTCTGTTAGCTTACAAACTATGGTTAGCATTTTCATATGACATACGAGAACAATTATCTCCTCCTCTACTTTATCCCTATTGCTTAATCCTTTGGCTTTTCAGTAACACCCAAAGACAACCAGTCATTCTCTCCAGTGAGTCTCAGAGTTAAAAATTTAGCTGTCTTCAATAAGAATGATACATTGGACTTTGGGGACTCGGGAGCTCAGGGGTAAGGGGAAGGCTAATGAGGGACAAAAGACTACACATTGGATACAGTGTACATTGCTCGGACGCACCAAAATCTCAGAAATCACCACTAAAAACCTTATTCATGTAACCAAACGCCACCTGTTACCCCCAAAAATCGATTGAAATAAAACAATAATTTAAAAAAGCACATACCCCCCAAAACATAGTTGACCTCAGCTTAAAAAAAACTAACATACATTTGTTATTTTAAAAAATATTGCATAGTTTATTTGCATTCATTGGTCAGCATCCTCAGTTATGTCTGCTTTGAAAGAAAAATCCGCTGAGGTTTTAAGTTAATGATCCAAGATATCCAATTAAGATTTTCAGCTTTGAAAAATATGGAAATACGGTACAGCTGTGTACTGGATGTGCTGTGCTACTGTTAAGTTCCAGCACTTTAAGGAACGTTTCAGGAGTGACTAATACACTAATTCATTACCAGAGGTCACAGAGCTGTCATAATTGACAGTGTTCTTTGAGTACGAAAAACCGGAAAACGATGCAACTTCCAAAGCACGGAGGATGGAGACTGGTATTGGAAAG
This sequence comes from Homo sapiens, assembly GCF_000001405.40. NCBI lineage: Eukaryota > Metazoa > Chordata > Mammalia > Primates > Hominidae > Homo > Homo sapiens. The sequence goes on along the minus strand of NC_000011.10, from coordinate 124,801,152 downwards.
TAACTTTTCTGCTGGGCTCAGGAGTTTTTATATGCTCAAGCTATAGACAACTGTACCAACGCAATAGACTAATGTAATCTAACTATTCTACAAACGGCCACACCTACCCAGACTAACTGGAAAACAATAGTTTATAACTGGAATTAAATAGTTGCTGTTCTTTAATTAATGAGATCGGTGTTCTTGAAAAGCTACAGCGTACGAACTCTACCCTGGTCCATATCTGCTTTTTAAAGCCTTCCCCAGAACCGCTCTCACTTCAGCCTTGGTGCCTTCCCGGATATACCCTCCAGAGGCTTCCCCGGTCCCCATCCTGGACGTCAGCCTCTGCACCTAGAGGCCGGCTTAGAGGGAAGACGGGCAGAGGCGGGGGAGACAGGAGAGAGAGAAACGGTCTATTCCTCCTTAACTCCGGGCCCCCTCGAGGGCCTCACCCCTCCTCCCGGGGGCTGAGATTGGAGAGGAAGTGGGAAGGCTCCAATCTGTTCCTCACTCCAGCGCCCTCATGCCCCCACCCTTCTCTTCAGCTCGGGGCTTCGGCGCGCCTCGTCCCCGCCCTTCGCCCCGGGAGAGGAGCGGGCGGCGTGGGAGGGCTCGCGGAGAAAGGCCCAGGGGAGTGGACGACCTCCGCCCGGCAGCCACATCCTCAGCAGCAGAGACCCGGAGCCATCCGCCCGCGGGCGAGCCAGGCCCGAGGGCAGCCCCGGAGACCGCGGTGGCCGGATGCGCGGGCGCGTCACTTCCGGGCGGTGCAGCGGCGGCCGCTTGGAAGATGGCTGCGCCCTGTGGCTCGGAGCTGCCCGCCAACTCGCCGCTAAAAATTCCGAAGATGGAGGTGCTTTCCCCGGCTTCTCCTGGTGGCCTGAGCGACGGAAATCCATCGCTGTCCGACCCTTCCACGCCTCGGGGTGCCTCCCCGCTCGGGCCGGGCAGTGCGGCGGGCTCGGGGGCAGCGGCGTCCGGGGGTCTCGGGCTGGGGCTGGGGGGCCGCAGCGCCGCCTCGTCCTCGGTCTCCTTCTCCCCTGGTGGCGGCGGTGGCGGGGCTGCGGCAGCCGCCGCCGCCGCCTGCCGGGGCATGTCGTGGACGCCAGCCGAGACGAACGCGCTCATCGCAGTGTGGGGCAACGAGCGGCTGGTGGAGGCGCGGTACCAGCAGCTGGAGGGAGCCGGCACGGTGTTCGGCAGCAAGGCCCCCGGGCCAGCCATGTACGAGCGCGTGTCCCGGGCCCTGGCCGAGCTGGGCTACGAGCGGACCCCGTCCCAGTGCCGGGAGCGCATCAAGGTAACCGGCCGCCCGGCCTGGGGCAGCGAACCAGAGGCAGAGAGAAGGCGGGGAAGCGGGCCTCGGGGGCGGGGGCCGGTCTGAGGGCAGGGCTCTCCTCCGGGGCCCGGTGGGCGATTCGCATCTCCTCCGCCTTTTTCTTCTCTCCCTGGGAAGGGGGCTTTTTCCCAGATGGCCGCCAGCCCGTAGGTTTCCTGAGTTTGAAGTTGGGCGTGCCTGCCGCCGCCCCTCTTTCTTGCCAATTGAGATGTTCCTGCGCTCTGAAGTTGGTAGTTTCTCATTGTGCGCCGTGCGGCAGTCCCCGTGCCGCTGGCGCCTCTTGCCCCCACCGCCGGGGCCCCTCGCTTTGTTCCAGGCGGAGGGGCTCCCAGGCAGAGGCTTACCGGCCGGGGCAGGATTGAGGAAGGGCAGAAGGGGGGGGCATTGAGCCCCTAGTTTAGGAATAGTTAATAAGTGGCCGTAGCGGAGCCATAGAAAAAGCGCCTTGGGACGACTGGCCTTTGTGTCAGTCGCTTTGCTTCTATCTTGAGCTACGAAGGACGAGTAAGACTAGAGATGCTTTGGAGAATTGGAAAGGCTTGATTGTAGCCAGATTGTGTATTGTTACCGCGGAGTTAGTGTACACCATAAAAGTTAGCTTGGCCAAGAGTTGGTCTGGAATTTGGATTGTCGATGCCTCCAGAGTTAGATTGGCTTGAGGCCCTGCGGTTTCTTAGGAAGCTCCTTCAGGAAAGCCAGTTTTTCCCTGCTTCAGTTTCTGTGCCGGATGTGGTGACAAGTAGAACTCTCAGTGTGCATCTGGCCGTCCTTGTGTACCTGCATGTTTAAATGCAGAGGCTTAATTTGGGCTAGAAATCTTAGCCAGGTTAAGATTTTGCTACTAGAACTGACTCTAGGCTTTCATATTTGTATTATTGGCAGATAAGGAGTTGTATTTTAGTTAAGCTCATTTCCTCATCGTAGTGGCTGCTAAAAAGATTGTGATAGGATTCTCCCAGTTTTTACTGAACTACTTATCCTATTATCTGTGCACTTCTTTTCTGATACAGCTGGCACTTTTTCTGGGAACTTCTTGAGGGGGGATAAAAACCACCAAGAACAATTATAAAATAAGAATGATCACACTAAAGAGCAATAATAAAGTCTAATAGGCGCAATCATGAGTTAGAGTAAGCTAAAGGAGGGAAATTGCACCAAAGTTCTCCAGGTCTTGGCTCCAGTAGTATTTCTTTGGGGATGTTGTTGCTTAGAAAACTGGGTCCACAAACTAAGATATTTAAAACCTACTATTGTTCAAGGAATTTGCCACCCATTAATTACTCCATTACAAATTTAAATTAGTGTATTTGATAACATTTATCTTTGGGACTTCTTAAGCTTTCTCTTTTTTTAACAAAGACATTAAAGTAGTAGCTAATAGGACAAAGCTACTCTTCTCTGAATCTCATTTGTTCTATTCAACGTCATTAAGGTTAAATTTTAATTTTTATTTATTTATATTTAGAGAGAGGATCTCCCTCTCTTGCCCAACCTGAAGAACTCCTGGGCTCAAACAATCCTCCCCAGTAGCTAGGACTGCAGGCATGCCCCACCACACCTGGCTCATTAAATTTTTTTTTTTTTTTTTTTTTTTTTTAAGAGACAGGGTCTTCTACGTTGCTCAGGCTGGTTTTAGCTCCCTGGTCTCAAGCTGTCCTGCCTCAGTCTCCCAAAGCACTAGGATTACAGGCGTGAGCCACCGTGCCCAGCCAAGGTTAAATTTTTGGGAGACTTTTTGTACTGTCTTGGCTAGCGTCTATCCATGACCTCTTCTTGAGTTTAGAAGTGCATTTTAGGCATTTTAAACTGTTTCAGCTTGATTGATTTCTGTCTGTAGAAACTTCCCAATCACGCAGAAAAAGTGTGTTGTCAAAACCTCACTGAATATAAATCTCTCCATAAAATTGTTTCTCAACCAGGGAGTATCTAATTGGGTTGTTTCATTGTCCAGTTATGAGAAGGATAACTTAAAGCAAGAAAAGGAGATTTATTTGAATAATTTTTAGAAGAGGATTGGTTTACCTGTGTCCAGACAGGTAAAACCAAGTTGACCTCAAGCTCTTAGGGTATTTTGGGAATGTGCTGATGAGTATGGGTTCTCTGATCCATAGTAGCTGTTAACAAGGAGGGCAGATAACTGTTTTGTGTTTTAAAGTGCTCTACTCTTTATGTGATTTCAATCAAAGAACCCAGACTTTTTCATTAGTAATGTTGAGTGTTCCTGCCAGAATGATAAGCTCTCTAAGGACAGGTTCTGGTCTCTCTTACTCACTGCTGTACTAGCATATAGTAGACACTACATTTTTTTTAATTTGTTTTATGTTTATTTTTAATGGAGGCAGGGTTTTGCTCTGTTGCCTAAGCTGGAGTGCAGTAACGTGATCATAGCTCACTGCAGCCTTGAACTCCTGGACCTAAGTGATGCTCCCACCTCAGCTTCCTGAGTAGCTAGGACTACAGGCATTTACTACCACGCCCAGCTAATTTTTAAATTTTGTATTTTTGTTTTTTTAGAAGCAGGGTCTCACTGTGTTGCCTAGACTGGTCTCAAACTCCTAGAATCAAGCGATCCGCCTGCCTTGGCCTCCCAAAGTGCTGGGATTATAGGCGAGAGCCACCACATCCGGCCTTATTTAATTAATTCACCAAATAAAGTCTAGAAAGAGAATATTGGAAAATATAAAAATCTGCAGCAGTATTATTCAATAATACTGCTGTTTAACGAAAAAACAGACTTTGGAACCCAGTCTGAAGAATACTGCATTTAAGGAGATTTAGTGTGAATGTAATCTTCAGCACAGAAGCAAATGTGGTCACTGAAATCATATTCCTACACAATTATGAAGTGGATGTTCAAGTAACTCAGATTATGCTTATGAAAATAAAACTGCTATCTTAAAATCTCAGAGAATCTCAAACCTCTGAAAAGAAGTCATTAGATCCCAGTTTCAGAAATGCAGATTTAAAACAAGTAGTTCAAAAATCTCTTTCACTTTGTGTTGATGAGAACTACAAAAAGAAACTTAGTAATACTTTTTGCTTTAGATTTTACAAAATAGAAGCAAAGTAGTAAGATGTGGAAAAGGAAAAGGAGGAACTTCTTACGCAGACTAAAGTACATGTGAACTCAATGTCAGAGGCTCACAGAGAAGGAATATGTGTGAGTCAATTACATTTCTGGGCTAATATATTTGAAATTCCTGTCAAAAATTCAATTATGAGCCGGGTACAGTAGCGCTTCCCTGTTGTCCCAGCTACTTTAGAGGGTGAGGTGGGAGGATCGCTTGAGCTCATGAATTTGAGGCTGCAGTGTGCCATGATCATAGCACCTGTAAATAGCCACTGTACTCCAGCTTGGGCAACATAGTGAGACCTGGTCTCTTAAAAAAAAAGAATTCAACTATGAAAACCCAGTAAATAATTTCTTCTAACTTTAAAAGGAAGAGCTATATAGCAACTTTAATTTTTCCATGCAAACCTTCCTTTAGTCAGATAATTTCTGATTAGCAGCCTTCCTCACATTGTATAAAGGATCAGAAAGCTGAGCCTTATTGCACCCTTTTCTGACCACCTTCCTGAATCACCTTAAAGCATGTCACTTACCTTCTTTGGACTGTGCCTTGGTCCTCTTATCTATACAGTAAAAATACTAAAATTATAAGTATTGAAATTGAATTAATAATTTAACTCTTGGATTTTGAGACTAACATCCTACTTTTTAATACTGTCTAAATGAACATGTTTCTAAGCACACAAGATTTTAATTTACAGTCAGATATGAAAATTTGTTTATTGCTGCAAAGTTTGATTTTGATGTCTGTCATCTTATTGGTATTTGTTCTGTCGTTTGGGTAAAACGGATGTGTTTGACACTGCCTTACTACATAGATTGTTTATCTTGAAGTTTTGTTGCATTTTTGTTTGTTTGCCAGAAGAAAATTTGTCTACTAACAATTCCAGCCCAATTTTGGAGTCAGATACACAAATCTAGGTAGTTTTTTATCTAGTGATTGCATGATTTTTCTCTTTTACTGTAGGCCTTTTCATATCTCCAGTCACCAAATACTTAAGTGCTTACTATGTGGAGGGCTGTCTGCTAGGTGTTAGGATGAATAAAAGAACTGTAGTTTTAAAAATAAAAATAAAAATAAAAGTATAATATACACTCCTGTAGTCCAAGAGCATAAAATCCAATTGAAGCTTGTGTACATACATCAATGAGTTAAAAAGCTGGTCAAGACAACACAAGGGATGGAATGCAAGGCGGTACTTGATTTAGTGTTATTTGCCTAAAGCAGACTATAAGTGTGATGACTTCAAAGGAGTGACCAGTCTCATCGCTGGCCATACTGTAGTAGTTGAAAGACCTATCTAGACTTGGAATTCATGAAAGCATTCACTCTGAGCCAGATGCTGCATTCACACTTCAGTCAGTTAATCTGATGCACTGCAAAACTCATTCTCAAGTCCCATATTTTTGGGTGTTCTCCAAAAATTTGCCTCTTGAGAGTTGGCTTTATGTCTTTGAAACAGATGTGTACTTCTAGCTGTGCCTCAAGATGAAATGCAAGGTGATTGAATGTGACCTAAAAGACTTGCCTTTTCTGAATCAGTGCTGGTCGCTCATCAGACAAATTTAAAAATGGTAAAAGAGGCCGGGCATGGTGGTTCATGCCTGTAATCGCAATACTTTGGGAGGCTGAGGCGGGCATATCACGTGAGCTCAGGAGTTGGAGACCAGCGTGGACAACGTGGTGACACCTGTCTCTACCAAAAATACAAAAAATTAGCCGGGCGTGGTGGCACACACTTGTAGTTACAGCTCCTCAGGAGGCTGAAGCGGGAGGATCGCTTGAGGTTGGGAGGTGGAGTTTGCAGTGAGCTGAGATTGAGCCACTGAACTTCAGCTTGGGTGACAGAGTGAGACCCTGTCTCAAAATAAATAAATAATAAATAAAAGATAAAAGAGTCTTCTGCCCAGAGAACAAAATGATTAATTTTCTGGGGACATTGCTTAGATTTATTCATCAGTAATTGTCATCATCTTTGGAACAAATTTTGTACTCTAACAGGAAAATCACCATATAGTATATTTGGTCTTTCATTTTAGCTCTGAAGCCTTGCAATTATTTATAAGAACCAACAGGGCAAAGATAACTAACTTGGAGCAAAAAGCTCTCATTGTCCCTGATAAGCATTTTAATAGACTCTGCCCATCTCTGAGGACTTCTCTTTGGCGTTTGCAGACAAGACATTTCTTCTATCTTCTCATTGAAAGATTTCTAAGAAATATGATAAGCTACTCAAATAGGTTTAGATTTATTTCCTGTTATTTTTTATATATTTAGTCTCTGTTGTTACCATCCCAATGTTACCTGAAATCTTGTGCCTTCCAGTTTGCTTATCTGCTTATGAATTTGACAGATGCTTGATGTGTATCCTCTAAGAATAGACCATCTTTGACTACCAATCATACACTTATATTTAAGATTTCAGTTTTAGAAGGAAAGGAGCTAAGAAGCACATGTTAAAACTGAATGAGTAGAATTCTGGGTTTATTTTCTGGCATTTTGGAAATACAGTGAAGGGTGGAGTTAAATATTCTGGTTACTTCATTAAGAGGACATGTTAAAGGAAAAAATAATTTAGAAAGCATGTAGTACAAATAGTACTGTTCCATAAAATTTTGTGATGATGGAAATATTCTCTATCTACCTCAGTTCAGTATGATAGCCACTGGTCACATGTGTCTGTTCAGCCCTTAAAATGTGTGGCATTGTGCCTGAGAAACAGAAATTTTAAATTATATTTAATTAATTCAGTTTTAAGTTATAAATAGGCATATGTGAGTAGTGGCTACCATATTGAACAGTTTCAGGTAAAAAGTTGTTATTCACAGTATTAAATTCATCTTTGTAAAAGGATTCTCCTGGCCACACACTCAAACCTCTAGGGGGAGCTCAAAGTTCCTTCTTGACCTTTCTGTCACTTTACCCCTGTGTAGGAGGAATCTTGATAAAAGTAAAAAAAAAAAATGGCCTGCCATTCCAGGAGGTGGTGCCAGGAATAAAAGTCTTATAACTTCAACTCACTGGGGCAAACAGTGCATATTCTAGGTTCCCTAGGACAGCCCTGTCCAATAGAATTTATTGTGATGATGGAAGTGTTCTGAATTTGCACTGTCCAGTACGGCATTACTAGCCACAGGTGGCTCTTGAGGACCTGAAATGTGGCTAGCGTGACTGCAAAATTGAATTTTTAATTTTATCTAATTTACATTTAAATAGTCACCTGTGGCTAGTGACTGTTTTGTTGGCCAGAACAGCTTTTGAATAATGGGTGTTCAGACTTTTTGCTTGTGTACTCCCAAAAGGCTTTGAAACCCATGTATCCTCTGGAAGATTTTTAAGCTGACATTAAAATTTTTCATGATGTGTTTGGAAATTTATACGAGGTTAGCAGGACATAGAAAATGTTAAGTCTGGTATGAGATGAATATGATGAGAGTTGGCGATAAAATGTACTGAATAACAAACTGAATCTGAAAAATACACATTAAATCATTATTTGTGAGTTTTATCAACTGTCTCTTGAAATTTTTGCTGTTTAGGAAATATTCAAGTTACATTTAAAAGAAACAGTATCACTGGCCTATATTGTTTTTGTTATTCTAAATTCAGGGGCCAGGATTGATAACTTAAACAATATAAATAAGAGGGGGAATGACAGGAATCCCTAAGGTTTCAAGTTGCCTCCATCAATTATTAAAGGAGACTACCCCAGTTAAAGACTGCTGCTTTAGAACTCAGTATCTTTTTGATATCTTTCTTGGCTGATGTAGTGGTGCTGGGCTCCTGAATTCCCTTGCCATTAGAAAGCCAGAGGGAAACAGGGAAAGGTTACAGGGGAAAAGTGTGGAGCTTAACTTTTGGCTAAAGTTCAGGTATCTGGAGGGGGGGAGGGGATTTAGATATTTTGCTCATTCCCTGTCATCAGATTCAACTGACAGATTCATCACAAGATTTCTTTAAATGCTAAGGTCTGAAATAAGGTCTTTATTTTTTTCATTATTCATCAACAGATAGTGCCTACTGCAGTAGGTCTGAGAGTTACGGTAGTATACCATCACCTTCAAGATGTCCATCTTGTAATAAAGGAGTCAGATTACTAAGGAACCAATTACAATATTGTGAACAAGGTCTTGTGTGTCATGTTAATGTTATGCTTATGGTGCTACAGGAGCACACACATCCTAGGCTTTCAAAAGGTGGATCCTGAAGGGTGAAGGTGGACTCAAAGGTAGATGAATAGTTAGTGTAAAAGCTCAGAGGCAGCATAACCTAGAATAGTGCCAACTGCAAATATAATGAGATATACTTACCAAAGAATGCAAAACTGGAAGCATCCAAACAGTGTTCAGCTGTTTAAAAAGTCATGCTTTTTAATTGAAGAATAATTTGCCAGTAGTGCATGGCATGTGGTGAAAGAGTGATGTGGGAGCCGTAAATGATGCCTTAGTGGTGTCATAATCACGTAGAATGGTGGAGCCAGTAGTTTTGGGATGACATTATAGTGAACATACCAATTCCAGGTCATTTATATGTTGTGATGAGTAACAACTTTTTTATGGTGTTGAATTGCAGTTGCGCAAATATCCATTACATATCTCATTTCTTAATTTGTATACTGGAAAGTAAAACCAAAACAGTGCATCTTTTTTTGACCACAACTCACAGGAAGAAGAAATATATTTTACCCTGGGACCTAGTAGTTTCATGACATATATGTATAACTGAAACAGATTTCACAAAACAGTGATTATAGCCAACACATAGTATTTTCTATGTGCCATGCACTATTCTAAGTGCTTTGTAAATATTAACTTAATCCACATAATGACACTATACTGAACTACATGTAATATACTCTGATATGTTCTGTTCTAATTGAAGGCAGACACTCCAGCTGTAGAGCCTCTTTCATAACAGTATACACAGTGAATGCACCTAACACAATACCTGCCCCTGGCGGGGGATCTTTCTCTGCCCCACATCCTCCTCCTCCCCAGTGCTTGTCAGCATTGGCTCCCCTTTTCACCCCAGTCTCTGTGGTACCTCTCATCTTTCCCCTTCCCCAGCCACAGCCTTGCCTGTCTCCAGAAATGCCCTCACCAAATGCTGGTGCAAAGAAAGTCTGGAAGGATGGAAGCTGCCGATCCCACTGATATTGGGCAGCGGGCTTACTCCTCGGAGACTGGCAGCTCAGGGTCACATTGGTGACCCTTCTGTCTGCACCCTTCTGTCGTTTCATTTATCCCTTCTCCAACTCTTGCCCTCAGCCATTTAGGAGAGTGACTCGCCTGACCTCCCAGTGCAGGTGGGGAGGGGTCCGGAAGTCTGTGCTTCTCACTCACCCTGTACACTGAGTTCTAAGGTTTTGATGATGTAGCCCGTAATGATGCCTTGTTTGTCTTGCACATTCACGGAGCAGCTGTAGGGGCCAGAGTCTCTCTCCTGGAGACCCTCCAGCCACAGGGACAGTTCTAGGAGGGCATGGAGTAGACCAAGGATACTCCAGGTTTGCTTGTTGTGACCCCATTGATGGTCAATGATGGCATTCTCCAAATGTCCCTCACATGCACCCATTCTTCCAACCTGAAACCAGCTCCCATTCACCTTTTGTCCCTAGCCCCCTTTCACTGTCCCTGGGTCCTCTTCACCAGAATAGTTCACTTCTTGGTCCCTTACACGTTATCTCTTCATCTCCTACTTGTGTTTAGAAAGGTGGTCACAACTTGCTAAAATTAATTGTACAACCCACTAATGGGCCATAACCTACAGTTAAATAAAAGAGGACTAGAAGATAATACAGTGAGATCAAGATTTTTTCATTCATTGTGTTCTTTTAGACTGAACCTATTGAAACTCCAGAAACATTAATTTGCAACATCTGTCCCAGATATTCTGGTGAAATTATATTACATAGTTTTAGATAGCTTGAGCCTAAGCTTTGAGATAAAGGGTGAAGCAGGGGAGTGGGAAGTAGTAAGAAATGAGACTGGAGACTTAAACAAGAGGTCAGGTGATACGCTAAGGCGTTTGGACTTTATTCTAATCATCAAAGGATTTTAAGCCAGGCAATGACATGGTTAGTCTTAAATTTTAAAACAGTCCCTGGCTGTAATATGGAGAATCAAAAGAGTAAGACTGGAAGCACAAAGATTATTTAGAGGCTTCTTGCAGTAAGCTAGATGGAAAGTGAAATAAAGCAGTGGTAACGAAGATGGAGACACAAGAATAAATTTCATATACATCAAAACCGAGGACCTGTTTCGAAGAATCTGGGAATTTTAATTTCCAGAATTTGTTAGATCCTAACCTGTGAGACAACTCACTATCTACTTCTCTACCAGCTTACACAGAGGGTTCTTGACTGCAGTCAAAGACCATAACAGTATTTCATAGCTGAAGTTTTCAGGCTTGATTTCTAAGAACCCAAGGAAAACCAACTGAAATACCAAATGAAGACAGTCCTGTCTGTATTTCCTCTACCATATACTCTCTGCAGACTCTTCAGTTCTGCTTCCCAGTCTTCAGAAGTGATTATCCTGCTTTCCCCCCCGACTTTTTCACAATATTACCAGAGAGTAAGAACTAAAATTCAGATCCAGTATTTCAAATGTTAAGTGTCATGTAGCTAGATACCTAGATTTGTGCTCCTAGTGTTACGTTAACGTAGAACCAGCAGTTGTTTTCTATGGAAAATTGTATCTGTGTAATGTTAAAACAAACGAAATAAAATAGAAGGAAAAACTTTCTGAGTTTCAAAAACAACAGACTAGTACTCTAAAGAACTCTTTAAAACAATTAACTGTTAGGATTGCAGTTATGATTGGATATTATTTAATTCTGTTTCTGATGTGGGGTTCCTCCACTGTGTTCTGTGTGCTATTAATATTTACCATTGCAGAAGCTTCATTCAGTGTTGAAAATGAATGCTTAGTGGATCTGTGCCTCTTATGCATATGTTACAAATTATCTGGAGTTCCTAATCAATGCAGAGTTCCCCTCCCCTCCGATTGTTCTAAATAATTGAAAGATGTCTGCTGTGGAAAAAGGCATGTATTTAAATCTGTATGATTCTCAACCATCTTTAGTTGGGAAAGGTCCTTGAAAGCCAATGGAAATACTTTTTTTTTTTCTTGGCACTAATCAAGTGAGTGTTACCTTTTCACTTAGTAGGATGTGTTGTTACGCTAGTAAAATAGAAACCTGTGTTTATTCTCAGGTATTTTAGAAACAACAGCCATCATTTTATTTTATGTGTGTGTTCTTGGCTGTATTCATAAATTATATATTTTGGGCTATCAAATATTACTTCATTCAATATAAATAACAATAGTAGAAGTTGTTTACTTAGATATGCTTTCTAGTTGCATTTTCTCAGCCTATGTAAGACTACTTTGTTGTAATAGCCTTTGAAATTTACAGTACTGTCTCTCTACTATCTTCAGATTACTTGATTCAAATAAACCAATTATGTTTGTAATTGATATTAATAAAACCAGAATAAAAGTTCATATCTACCCAAAACTGCTTTTATTATTTTTTTAAGTTGCAAATACTTTTCTCTAAAGGGAAATAGCTGGTTTATAATTTAGAAAGAATAGGATAGGTCAAAAAGCACTTCAACCTAATATTTGGTATCTCCACTACCTATACACCATCTTAAGGAATTTTCCATTCATTCATTCATCAAAGATGTATTGCACCCCATTAACATGTTAGGCATTGATTTGGGCTCTGGGAATACCTCAGTGAACAAAACTGACAAAACCCTGCCTTCAAAGAGCTTACATTTTGGTAGAAAATAATGTGATATTTAAAATATATAATTAAGCAATTAACACAATTAGGGAAAAAGACCCTCAAATATGATATTCATTGATAAATCCTTGAAGTTGAGCTCTTTCATTATGCTTATGAAAGAAATTCATTTGCTATTGTTATATTAAGAATGATTTACATGATTTTATATCATTCCTTTGTCTTGTGTATATCCAGTTGTCATTGAGGTTTGTACTACCAAGCAGCAAAGTGCTACATTCTTACTCATCAACCATCAGTTCATGAGCATCTGCTGTTGTGCCAGGCATTATGTGGAGCCCTAAAGAGTCAGTTTTAAGGAAAACCAGGAGAGATCCCTTCTCTGTTATACAGTTTAGGAAACATGGTTAATAGTTGGTTGGGCCTTGAGCAGTCAGAGTTGTGCCAATTTTACAACAGTACAAATAATTACTTTTTTCCTTATGTAAGTAATATAAGCACACTATAAAATTAAGAGGAAAAATCAGGAAAAAAATTCTAACTTCTTCACTGCAGCATAACCATATATTCATGAAACCTTTTGTTATTTTTCAAGAAACAGTAGTGGTAAGTCTGATTTTAATTCCAGTAAATTTTGATGCACCAAAAAAGGAATGAAAGATCTACATGCTTTTTATTTTGTTTAACTCCAAGAGCATATGTGGGTTATTCATATTTCTTATTTCTATTCATGCTGAGTTTTGCCTGTCTTCTGCTTCTTGTAAACAGGTTGCCCAGCGAGTGAGGCCTATTCCTCACTCTGCATGGGTAGTTAGGATTCCTTTTTCCCCATTGGTTTATATGTCAGTGTGTTAGTCACCATATTCTTGCCAAGGCTATAAATCTTTCAAAATGATTAATTAATTGGCTTTTTTTTTTTTTTTTGAGACAGGGTCTTGCTCTGTTGCCCAAGCTAGAGTGCGGTGGCACGATCACCTCAACCTCCCCAGGCTCAGGTGATCCTTGCACCTCAGCCTCCTGGTAGCTGGGCCTACAGGCATGCAGCACTAAGCCCAGCTAATTGTTGTATTTTTTTGTAGAGATGGGGTTTTGCCATGTTGCCCAGGCTGGTCTCTTAACTCCTGGGCTCAAGCAATCTGCCCACTTTGGCCTCCGAAAGTGCTGGGAGCCACCACCCCCAGCACTAATTGGCTTTTATCTATAAAGGAAGAACTGAGCAAAAAAGTCAAAGAAGCTATGGCAGTATAGCCAGATGTTTGTGAAACTCGAATAATGTATGAGCAAAAAGATGTTTATTTTCATAGGTACTCCTAGGTATAAACTCCTTTTACCTATAGAGTTCACATGTTAACACAAACAGTTGTGTGAAATACTTTGAATAAAATGAAAAATCAAAAAAATCATTGAGACCAGCCTGGCCAGTATGGTGAAACCCCGTATCTACTAAAAATACAAAAATTAGCCGGGTTTGGTGGTGCACACCTATAGTCCCAGCTACTCGGGAGGCTGAGGCAGAACAATCACTTGAACCCAGGAGGTGGAGGTTGCAGTGAGCCAAGATCGTGCCACTGCACTCCATCCAGCCTGGGCAACACAGCAAGACTCCAACTCCAAAAAAAGAAAAGTCAAGTTGGCATTCGTTTAATGATGCTTTAGATGATGTGGTTTAGCTGAAGCTTGCTTTTCTCAACATGACTCTGACACTGATTGCTAGGGTAAGGGTTCTTTTGAGTATGTTACTCCTACATGTTATTCCTACCCGTGTTGCGCCTCGTGATACCACACTTTGCTGCACTACTTTATTTGAACTAACCTTAATTCATAAGGCCCCTTGGTCTCCATATGGTGTGACTGTATCATTTTTGTAATAATTATAATAATAATGCAAACATTTACTGAGTGCAGGCAATTGAGCAGACACTTTTAAATGCTGTTTTCTCATTTAATACAGCAAATCTATGATGGAGGTACTGTTACCAGCCCCACCATATAGATGAAGAAATTAAGGCACAGATAGATTAATTTGTCACAAAGCTTGCAGGTGGTGACACCAAGCAGTGTTTCTCTGGAACCCATGCTCTTCTTAACCACTTGCTTATATCACCTTTTTCTGAATCAGCCCATCTTTATTAAATTTTGACAATTGAAGTCATGTTTTTGGCAACGACGTGATTATCAACATTCATAAATACGATACCAAAATCATATAGTAACACCCAGATGGACAGCATTATGCTGATATTTCTTGTCATTGAAATGAAAAGAATTTTTTAAATTCTTGGAGATAATTTATCGTTTCCTAAGATTAGAAACACAAGGAGATTTGGAAGTCCTGAGGAAGAATTTAAGATAAGTATTGAAACCTAATAAGTAAAGACTTAATTGTATTCATTCAGTCATTCATTCAAGATCTCAGATAAATGATGGCATTTATTGGATCACCAACTCCTCCAAAAAGAAGTAAGTTTGAATTATAGGAGCAGAAACACAATGTAGAATTACTTTTTGACAGTAAAAGCAGGTAAGGATGTGGCTTATCAAAGGAGGCTATGGAATGTTCACTACCTTATGCCTGCCATTGTTTACCTAATGTGTAAATGGTTTGGGTGCTTCTTAGAGATAGATGATGGGGATGAGATGAACTGTTTTTTAATATATGATATACCAAACAAAACATATCAGCATATTGAGAAAGCTAAAAGTAGAATCAGGAAATAAGAAAACAGAGAATGCCAGCTTGGCGTGGTGGTGCACTCCTATAGTCCCAGCTACTCGGGAGGCTCAGGCAGGAGGATCACTTGAGCCCAGGAGTTTGAGGCTGTTGTGCATAATGCTTGCCCCTATGAATAGTCACTGCACTCCAGCCTGGGCAACACAGACCCCATACTAAAAAAAAAAAAAAAAAAAAAAGAAGAAATGATGCAGGGCAAATAGCAGTAACCTAGGTAAATATGTTTACTTAAACTAAATATTAAAATGAGCTATGAGCTTCCTGGCAATGGTAGCAAAAAAGTAAATACAGTGACTTGCCATAATTTTCAGTGTCTTCTGAAGAGAAGTATACCAGGTCTTAGTTTTGAAACCAAAGATGAACTTACATTAAAGACACTGAAAGTGACTTTGGATAAGCTCTTAATGTTTCTCTGCCTTGTTAATAATTTTCTTGTCTGTAAAATAGGGGTGTACCATATATAAATATGATACATATATCTTAATATATATGTAATATATACATAAGATACATATATCTTAATATATATATAACATGCTACCCAGATCCCTCTTCCAGGAATGAGACGCTAGTCCCCCCCCAGCTGTCTGGAATGCTGACTGCTGGTGGCTTCTGGTTGATTTCTTCAGAATTTCACTCTGCCCAAGGCAACTGTCTCACCCAAGGTGAGGGCCCCCCACTCTCTGGTGGCAGCCTGAATCCAATGACTGGTCAGTGCTGAAATACCAAGGTCCAACCTTGCCTCAATTCGGTATAACTCTGAAGGACAACCTGAGTTCCATACCTCATTGTAGGATTAGCAGAGGCTGCTGTTGCAACTCTACTTTAACTTCTTTCTGTGCCCAGCCCTGCTTCTCAGTCTCTCACATGTGTGGTTCCCAAGAGCCTTCCCCAGCATACCTGCACAGTCTCCTCCGACTCTCTTTCCAGGGACACTCTCTTTTAACATTATTATTAAGTAGGAATGATCATGTAAATTGCTTAGCCCAAATCTCAGCACTCAGTTGGCACTCAGGAAATGGTAGCTATGATTTACCTTCATTACATGGCACGTTGAGCCATGTAAGGAAAATGTTTGGTTTTTGTAGAAGGTACAGAAATATTTTTTCATATGGTCATTTCTCTTAGCAGTCTTTATAAAGCTAAGAATAGAATATAAAAATTCTACCAAATGAGCTATAAAAATAGTTATGATTGCCTGAATTTATTTCTAACAACTTCCTAACTAAGTTCAGATCACCCAGGATAGTTGCTTTTAATAAAACATGCTTATTTTCAGGTTTTTCTTAGAAAGGATATGTGTCAGGATATGAAGATGTATTCTTTTCTTGCATTGGTGACCTGTAGTTTACACTGTGTAAATGCAAAAAATATATATTTTTTGAATGTTTACATTTTCACAAGTTAATGAATCTGGATTTAATGTTTGTACCCAGAGGTCTTGAGGGAAGATTTCAGATAACCTTAGTTTTTGTATGATTTTATCTGCCTATCAGGATTCTTTTTCTCATAACCAAATGTGTAAAATCTACTAATGGAAACATCTCTATTATAGGTTATCTTTGCACTATAGATGGTAGTTTTTAGTGAGAAAATAACTACAGAACTGAGAGAATCACATGGTCAACAGACGAAAGGAATAAAGTGGCCTACTGCTTCAGGGGAAGCCTGCTCTGCACAGTCTCCCTTTTAAACATTGGTCTCATGAATGGAAACACCTTCGTATTTGGGAAGCAATACGATGTTGTAATGGTAAAGCTGTGTGCGGATTTTTGAGGTGGCGGGGGGGGGGTTTAATTTTTAGACATGGTTGTCCATGGAATAATTAGTTCGTAGTGGAGGGTGTTTGGGAGTACTTTAACGAAGACTGGTTCTCCCCTGCTATGCCAGAAATATTTTAGATAATTTTCTTGCATGTGTTTTAGATATCACATACTAATAAAAGTATCATTTTTAGTGTATCTGAATACCTCTTTGATGTAGTCCCCCAAGGTGTGAACTGAGAAAAAGATTCAAAGAGGTGCTGACTTAGCAACTTCAGAGGTGATGTAGGAGGTCAAATGAAAATAGCCTCTAATCCCAGTCAGTTCTTTGCCAACAACTGATTTTTTTTTTTTCCCTTTCAGGTGAGGAGGAAGTTCTAGACAAATAGTGTTATCTGCTATCTTTGGTGACTGTAGCTACTACCTATTGCTGCTTATATACTGAAATAGTTCAGTATACCCTACTTTTTTGACCTGTATTCTTGTAAATAGAAAAGCACTTGAGAATTCCTTGTCTTGAAGGATTCTTGTACCCTAAAGAAGCTCTTATACATGAACATGCATGCTAGGTGTGACCTTTACAAGTATTACTGCTCATCTGAGATCATTGTATGAGTGTCCATGAGAAGCACACATAGCATAGGGTCAGAAGCTTTATGGTTACATGAATTGAGTTCCTTGAGCCATGGAAGATGTTTGTTTTTAACAATTAGTATTGTCCTTCTTTAGGGTTTTTTTCTTAGTAATCTGAATGGGCACGACCCTCAGCTGCTAGCATGAAGGAACCTAGAAAACTTAGAACTTGATATTCATTGACAATCAAAATTTCCTGAATTTTATATTTTTTTAAAGTTTTGTTTTTACTTTCTTTTATTTTTTATTTTTATTTTTTGAGACAGAGTCTCACTCTGTCACTCAGGCTGGAGTGCAGTGGCACAGTCTCAGCTCACTGCAACCTCTCCCTCCTGGGTTCAAGCAATTCTCATGCCTCAGCCTCCCAAGTAGCTGGGACTACAGGTGTGCATCACCACACTCGGCTAATTTTTGTATTTTTAGAAGAGACAGGGTATCTCCTGTTGGCCAGGCTGGTCTAGAACTCCTGGCCTCAAGCGATCTGCCTGCCTTGGCCTCCAAAAGTGCTGGGATTATAGGCTTGAGCCACTGGACCTGGCCCTGAATTATTAATATATATTCTAGGCAAGAATCTCTTCTCATGGAGGCAGTATTGACCAGTTATAAACACAAAGTGAGTGAGTCATTGATAGCCAGATTCAGAATGAAGTGCAAGCTGATAGGATTCAGTCCTGGACAGTTCCCCACAAAGACTGAGGCTCCAGAGAGGTAAGATCTCTTCGTTTGTGGTGGTCATTCTGTTTGACCCGATTAAAATCAGAAAGCAATCGAGTCTTTCCCCCTTCCTGTCTTTGACAGAACTACCTTACATTCTTGACTATTTCATTTGCTTGTTTACTTTGTAAGGCATAAGAAATAAAATTTGGACAGGGCTGCAGAGCTCCCTTTGGCACGTGGCCTGCCCGCCCAAAGAAAGGTATAACAACAAGAATGATAGATATTTTTAAAATAGCCTTGCCCAGCTATTTTCAAAAGGTTTCAGGAGCCCCGCCCATCAAGATTCATTGATTTGATAATTTATTTTAGTTAAGCAATGAATTTTCTGATGTTCTTTGCTAAGAAAAATTTTATCCTCTTGCTAGTGATTTACTACTTTAAAATTAGCTTAATTATGTATTGAATAAATATATATTTTGAATAAGCCTCATGTGATTAGCACTGTTCTAGGCTTGGGGAATAGAGACAACCAAGATAGATAAAATCCTTACCTCATGGAGCTTACAATCTAGTGAAATAACTTCTTAGGAAACATTAAAGTTTCTTAAGTGGCATTTGATAATTTTCATATGCCAAACTCCTCTTAAAGGAATACTTATCTTTGGGCCTTGCTTCCTCATTTGTTAAGTGAGGAAGATGAACTAGATGATCTCTGAGGTTCTTTTATGTTCAGAACTTGTATTACGTTTTTCTATTTTTATTTTTTTTAGAGACAGGGGTCTCACTCTGTTGCCCAAGCTGGAGTGCAGTGGCGTGATCATGGCTCAATGCAGCCTCTACCTGCTAAGCCCAAGGGATCTTCCTGCCTCAGCCTCCCCAGTAGCTGAGACTGCAGGTGCACACCACCACACCCAGACTAATTTTTTTTTTTTTTTTAAGTAGAGACAAAGTCTTGCTATATTGACCAGGCTGGTCTTGACTCCTGGCCTTGAAGCGTCCTCCAGCCTTGGCCTCCCAGAGTACTGGAATTATAGGCATGAGCCACTGATTCTGGCTCCATAATGTTTAGAAGATGGAGCCTAGTTTGTAATTAGAACCTTAGGCAATTCCACCCACCTTTAGTGGATCAGTATATTACAAAAAGTGTTATAAAGAGACATTTGCCAAAGACAGTGATATCAGCAGGTGATGAAGAGTATCAAATGCTGCAGGGAAGTTAAATGAGTTAAGGACAAAGTTTGAGCTTCATTCAGTTATTAAGAAGACATTGGCCAGGCGTGGTGGCTCACGCCTGTAATCCCAGCACTTTGGGAGGCCAAGGCAGGCAGATCACCTGAGGTCAGGAGTTTGAGACCAGCCTGGCCAACATAGTGAAACCCCGTCTCTACTAAAAATATAAAAATTAGCCGAGCGTGGTGGTGGGTGCCTGTAGTCCCAGCTACTCGGGAGGCTGAGGCAAGAGAATCACTTGAACCCAGGAGGCAGAGGTTGCAGTGAGCCCAGATTGTGCCACTGCACTCCAGCCTAGGCGACAGAGCGAGAATCTGTCTCAAAAAAAAAAAAAAAAAAGACATTGATGATCACAATAGGAACAGTTTTAATAGAGTCATAAATTAGACTGTGATCCCATTGGGTTGAGGATTGAATTATTGTAGACATTGCCTATTCCTGTGAGACCCTTTAGACATTAGGCAGTGTTAAAGCTGGAAGATGTGAGAGCTTAGCCATAGAGACTACTAAGGAACGTAGTCAAGACTTACTTTACTATACTTGTTTCTGGATGTGTGTTTTTCTGTTTTAAGTTGTTACTTGAGGTAGTTTATCTGGCATCTATATCGATAAGTTAATCAGACAATAAGTGATCAAGTACTGTGTGATGCAGTTGGAACAGATAATCAGCATAACGAATCATTTAATATCACTTAATTATTACTTCAGAAAAAAGATTTCTTGCCCAGCAGGTAGAAAGAAGTGCTATATTTTTTAGAAGAGTAAAGTAATATCGTTGTATGCTTTCACTTTTTTTTTTTTTTTTTTTGAGACAGAGACTCCCTCATGTCGCCCAGGCTGGAGTGCAGTGGCACGATCTTGGCTCACTGCAACCTCCACCTCTCAGGTTCAAGTGATTCTCCTGCCTCAGCTTCCCGAGTAGCTGGGACTACAGGTGCCCACCACCACGCCTGGCTGATTTTTGTCTTTTTAGTAGAGACGGGGTTATGCCATATTGGCCAGGCTGGTCTCAAACTCCTGACCTCAGGTGATCCGCCCACCTTGGCCTCCCAAAGTGCTGGGATTACAGGCATGAGCCACCGCACCCGGCCCTTGTATGCTTTTACTGATAGAAATTATTTCCTTCAAGAAACGGGAATTTGGCTAATTTACCTCTTAAAGGAAATTAATGCTGCTTTATCTAAATGAACAGAATAGTGAGTGAACTGATAATTGTACTTAAAGTAATTGTTCCAATCTTTAGAATCTCCTATAAAATCTAAGATACAAGTTTACCTTATTTTAGGGTTTCAAACTAATGTATGTTATATTTTATGGAGGAAAGAACTACATAATGCAGAGCAGAATTTTTTAACGACGTTCTTGTATGGGTTCTTTAGTGAGTCCAGGTACCCCCTTGAAATCGTATGGGACAGGTTGTGTATGTGTGCATTTTTCTGAGGAGTGGATCCATGACTCAAAAAGGTTAAGAACTTCTGCCCTGGAAAGGAAAAGCAAAAGATTGAAGAATAAAAACATTTTGTATTTGCCAAAACTTGTTCTGTAGCAGTAAGTGTGAAACAAGTTTGCTACATTTTTCTTTTTGGTTTTACTTGGTTGGGGCTTTTTTGTTTGGTTGGTTTTAAAGGATTTAGGGGATTGGCAAGTCAGTTTGTCAGATGTCAATGAACAGAAAACCTAAGAAAAAAGGTAGCAAAAGTTCTGCTGGCCCCAGATGGATTTTGCCTTAAGTAATTTCCTAATCATTAGTTACAGCTCTGTGTCAAAAGATGTACATAGAAATTTATGCTAGATTCTTAACATCTTTCTTACTGTGTGCAGAAATGTTTTTTTATTTATGTATGCTACATAAGATATTGTCTTTCCTACTTTTATGCTCACAGTAACAAAATATAGCTCAAGAAATTAATGTTTTTCTTAAAGATATTAAATGGTGTTTCGTTGCCTCAATTAACTAAGAGCAACTAGTTTTAACAGTTACAATAGTAACTTTAAAGGTATAAGAAAGATCTATTTTGCAAAGATCTTGCTTCAAAATACAAATCTGCTTTAGTCTGAGGTATCATTTTTAACAATTTTATAAGAAAATTAGTCACTGGAAATTTACTCCCAATGTAATTTCTTCATCTCTCGTGGAGCACAATATGTGATTTTTAAGGCCTTGTTTGTGAATAAGTGTGCTCTTTAATCATTTGGGTAAAAGGAATCTCAAATTTATCATGTGTACTTGGCAGTGGATTAAGATAACTATGTAATCCATTTCCAGTGTGGCCAGCTTGACAGCTACATTTGAAAATCTGTTTCACTGCTTGTTTTTTCTTGTAACATTGTTTCCTGCTATTATAACTAAGCTGTCCTCCTTGCAGATTGACTTTATTTTTCATCTGACATCTTAGACTGATCAAGCCAATGTTTTCTAAACAATACATTTATATAGCTGTTATGCCTTATTTCTGTTCCTCCACGTTATAGTGCTCCATTCCATGTATGGTCAGTTAGCTAGAACAGTGTTTTTGTCCTGGTGAATATTTTATGATTGTATGAAATGGGGCAAACTTTGAGAAAATTATTAAGCCAATACTGGAATTGGTTGGCATATGCCTTTATGATTTATTTAGTTTGTTTTCTACTTTGCCCTACCAGGGAAGAATTTAATTCTTCCCATTTCCTGAAAGTCAAAGGATTGGAGGACACTAAAGCAAAATAAACCTTAATTTCACCCCAAAAGTAGCTTAGGTAATGTCAGGAAGGGCTTTGATGAAACCACTGTCCCTGCTTATAGATCTTATTTTCCAAGCCTTTCAATATTTTATTTGCCCTTTTCTGAACTCTACAATTTCCCTCTCTTGTAGCTGGTTCGATGCCCAGAACTGAATGCTGTGCTCCAGCTGTGGCCTCACCGGTGCTGAATAGAGAGGAAGAGCCACCTTCATAGCTTACATGTGATTCCTCTGCTTATACAACCCAATACTGGATTTACTTACTTTGGCAAGATAGCTGCATTGTGCACTGTATTTAATGTTACGTGTACTGTAACCCTGGGTCTTTCTCTACATTGCTGCCGTTAAACCCCCAATCCTGCCAATCTAAAACTCCTGCCTTTGTTTACCTTCCCCCTCCCCCATAGACTCCCCATACATTCATCCACAATGAATGTCATCTTTTTATTCTCTCATTTCCTTTTACTCTAATCTTAAACTTTGGCAAAACTTTCACTCTGTCCTATAAATTGTCAGTTGTCAGCCATCTTATTTTTCTCCCTGCTTTGGTAATGGGACATCTTTGAAGTCTTTTCTCTGGCTCTTTTCCCTTCATAGTCATGAAGCACTTGGCATGGTGGATTTAGTAAGCATTCTCTTGCCATTGCTTCCAAATCAAATACCATGAACTCCTCTGGGTTGACCACCGATCAAGTTGTTACCTATGCTTTAGTTCTTCAGTCCAGGTTTTCCTGACTCCTCCTGACCTCTATCCCTACAGCTTCTTTCAGGATACAGTATTCTCTCACAACTCTTCCTCCAGGGGGAGACAACAGCATCATGTCAATTTACCGGGGAGATTTCCAACAGTCAGGAAAATTACAATCTCTAATTGTGAATAGAATAGTTTTTAATAATTTTAAGCACATTTCTGCCCCTGCCCCAGACCTTAATTTTTAGAAACTATTAAGCTTAAGTTACTACAAATTTCTAGGATGAGTAAAATAAAGGAAGAAGAAAGGGAAGCAAGATTTTTGTGTTGAATAGGACATGGTTCTCCAAGAAAGCCAAATTGAGGTTCTTGTTGGGTTTGAGAGCTGTCTGAAATGGGAATTGAGGCTTCGTTTTTCTGAGCATTATTGTAATCTCAGCTCTAGAGTAGGTTTTTAAGTGGGTTTATTTAGGACTGGGACACGCACAGTCTTAATTCCATGCTTTGGCTAATTTAGAGTGTGGAAAGTGTAACCTCTTTTGCTTTATTGTGGGTGATAATTGGAAGGTCTCCATAGTTCCTTTTTATCCATCTCTAAACTCCCTCAAGTTTAACTCAATCCCAGTGCTTCTTACAGTACCAGTCAAGCCGAAGTTTCAGTTCTTACTCTTTTTTTTTCTTAGTTGATGTGATTTAAATAGCCTCTCCTTGGATCTGTGGTCTTTACTGAACCCAGAAGTTACCTCTTAAGTGCATTTATATCTTGAGAGAGTTAAAATCAGTTGGGAAATCTTTTTTAACATGATTTCAATACATCAAATTCCTATCATGGATTTAAAAGTTACCAAACATCTTTCCTTCAGGCCCCTGATAGATATTTTACATACTAGCATAGTGCAGTATTCAAGTGTATTACAAAAGTACACTACAAAGTAAGAAGTAGCAAGATCTGTTAGTGTCTTTTGATAAATTGTAAAATGTGTCACCTGACTTTTCTTCCATATCTGTAACCATTAGATACTGCTAGTTTCCTTATTCACAATTACATAAGCCAAGTGAAGTATTAAGCTCAATTTGGTGGTTCCAAAGAGAGTAAGAGTCTTTGCTGTGGTTTCCTACCATGTCTATCGCCAGAGATTGGTGGCTTTGCTTATGCTTGTGTCACTTCCTGATATGTGTGGCACCTTTCTTGAAAGGAATGTTAGTTTTATTCCCTGACTTCCGAAATAACCGTCAGCAACAGAGCCAACTGGGCCCTTGTGTGTGCTGAATGCTTTTCTCCAGGGAGTCAGTAAGTAGTGAGCAGTGGCATGGTTTCCTTCTCCATTTATGGCCTTGGAAGGGTGAAAGGGACATGGTTGGGACTCTCCATTTACGGTCCTTGGAGGAGTTGAAAAGAGTGGTTGGGGTGTTCTTGGAGGCAGAAACTAGACATTGTGAGATAAAAATAAATTGGCAAGGGATGTTTGGAATTCAAATTCCAATCCCTGCAAGGAGGGCAGAGGGCGCTGGGAAAGGGGGAGTGTGTAGAAAGTCAAATGAGCTCTGCCGCAGGCATTTGTCTCCTTCCATTGGAAGGTTTGCCCATGACACACATTTGCCAAGTTCATATTTCTGGTTTGTTCTAGAAAGTTTTGTCTTATGTAATTGTGACTATCTTTTACAAAGAGGAAGAAGAAACACTTTTAAAAAGAGTGTATCGTTGGAAACCTCAGTTCTCTAAGGCATCATTTGAGGCTCCAGAAGAGATCTCAAGAAAGGGAGAATGAGGCAGATGCTTGTGCAGGGGGTAGGCCGGCTGGCTTTAGGGTGGGAGACTCTTAATTGTTGCTCTGTTTTTGTGTGAGGAAGATCATCACACATGTCGTGCTTTTATTATTCCTTTTACCCATCTAGATTTCTGGCTTCAAGGGACAAATTTTTAAAGTATCTGATAGAGTGTCTTGTAGATTGTCAACTGTGATTTAAAGATACTGAACTTCCTGGCTGGGTGTGGTGGCTCACGCCTGTAATCCCAGCACTTTGGGAGGCCAAGGCGGGCGGATCACCTGAGGTCGGGAGTTCAAGACCAGCCTGACCAACGTGGAGAAACCCCGTCTCTACTAAAATTACAAAATTAGCCGGGCAGGGTGGCGCATGCCTGTAATCCCAGCTACTTGGGAGGCTGAGGCAGGAGAATCACTTGAACCCAGAAGGCGAGGTTGCAGTGAGCCGAGATGGCGCCATTGCACTCCAGGCTGGGCAACAAGAGCGAAGTGCTGTCTCAAAAAATATATAAATAAAGAGACTGAACTTCCTTGGAGGCTTTGTAGATATTATTAAGAGTTGTTTTAGTTTGGTGAAAATAGTTAACATATTGGCTTATGGAGAGCAATCTCACGTTTAGGATAAATTTAGTCTGGCAGTGCCTACAAATTAAGTCTGAGGTGAACTACTTTTGAACAGTTGAGTTAGAAAGTATTTGGTAGCCACCAGGGAAAAGAGATCTTATTTCAAGAAAATAATTAGTGAAACTCAGTAAAGTAGAAGGGAGATTAGAAGGAACAAAGGGAGGCAGAGATGGGATAGAGACTGGTTGCAACTTAACTAAATTTGGAAGCTGGGATTAAGCCCTTGATTTATCTTTTGAAATGCCATATAAGATAGCATAAGATGTACCATTAAATTCAGGAAACTGGGCTAATAATCAGAAATATGTGTTAGAAATAAAGACCATGGTAAAAATGGAAGGGTTGTACAAGAGAATAAAATTATTCAGGTTTTGTCTGTGGATTTGCATAATGATATTTATTTGCTGTGTGCCACATGGCAGAAAAGGAAGTGAAATAACACCCCTCTGTCCCGTCCTTTTCCCCAGAAAGAAATCACTGGCTTCATTTGTTGGTTTGTTTAGCTGGCAGCTTGAGTTGGTAGAACAGACGAGTAGATTGTCTAGCTTTAGACGTAGGTATTAGTGTACTGTTTCTTGATCATTGATGTTTGAGACCTGGAATTTGTAGCATTATTGATTTGACCTCTGTTTTAAATTTTAGCGGCTTCCACAAAGACTGAGTTAGTAAGGAATACAACTATGTAAGTAATATGTTTTACTAGCTAATTTGTCTAGGCAATTATTTTTACCCTGTATTCATTCCTTCTTAATCAAGAGTAAGGCAGGTATTCTTTGCTTTGGGAAATTCTTCTTTCTGTCCTCCCTTCCCTCACTTTTTCCAAATTCTGGGCACAACAGCAGCTCTCTCTCTTCTGTGGCAGGTGTGCATCCTATTGGCTGGCTGGTATTTCTTGTTTTTTTTCCCCCTTATTCTTTTTAAATGGGGGTGGGGGTATAAAAATATGTGTATGGGGTACATGCAATAATGTTGTAATGTTTCTTGTTGTTTAATGGATAATTAATTGCAAAATAATTGTTTTAATTATAACATGTTTGAGTAAATGCTAAATTAGTATTTTTTTCTAATATAATAATGAATTTGAAATCTAGCATTCCTGTAACAATGTGTCTATGTTTGTCTGTCTGTGTCTGTCTAATAGTAATTAATATCTGTGGTCCGTACCTGGAAGAGGAAGTACAGCTTTAAAGGAATAACAAAAGACTTTGTGTCTTAGACCCTTCGCAGGTGTTACAGTCGGGTGAAAGAACATGGTGTTGGGAAAAGAAAGAGCAGTTACACATTTGAACAGTTGGAACAGGTGTTTGGTCAGGGAGGATGGGATGCTCAGCCCTGCCAGCCTGTACTTATTAACAGTAGTGGCTTGTACCAGGAGCTGGAGTCAGATGGCAGCACTATGGAGGACTATTCACAGGAGGACTGGGGAAACCACAGTCAGGATCTCCATGGCTATCCAACAGATCAGGAATTGGGTAAGAAAGCCAACATATATGATACTTATGTTTGTGTATATTTATATACCTTTATGTATGTGCACCAGTACTTATTACCTGTAAATATCTTTGGTACTGTTCCCTATAGTGGTCAGCATAAGGCATAAAGGGCATCTCTGCCTTGTATGTCTTTCATGAATTTGCATGTCCCAGTCTATTTGGGGCAATGTGGGCATCCTTGGTTTAGCCTTAAACTGCCAACTGGTGCTTGGTGTTGTTCATTTGGCAAGTTGTTTACCAGCAGGATTCCCAAAGACACAGAAGAATTTCTAATTCTGAGCTATACAAGTACACTCAGTGACAGGTAACATCCTATGCAATTCTAAATATCCTGTACCTTCTAGTTCTAAGATGACTGCTAAGATATCTTGGCCCAACTGCTGTAGATGTTGTTCTTAGGAATTCCTTCTTTTATCCCAAATACATTTTTCTTTTCTGTTTATGATTTGGAAAAGGTCTTCTCTCAGACTTGAGCCTGAACACAAAATGAGGGGAAGCCTCCATTTATCTTGAATAGAGCTGTTATTTGAACTGTGTGATCATGTTCCTTCACACTTCTTAAGGGATCGCATCCCAACAGTAGCTGGAATTATTTATACAGTCATAGGCATTAAAAATGGAAAATAAAATTCCTGGTCATCAAATCTAAACTTGTAGGGCCTAACTAAGAGTATATATGTAGTTGTGGGATTGTTCTGTTTCTTTGCGCATTACATGCTCCAATTTTTATTTTCATAATTTGATTTCATAATTTGGAGGTACTGATCAATCAGCCATTGTACATTAACAGGAGGTTATGTAATGAGTGCTCACTTAGAAGGGTATATTCTTGCTCCCAGCCCTTGGTACTCAGGCAGCCCCCAAGGAAGTATAAGTAGGATTGGCAGTATAAACATGCTCCCTGAGCTTTAGATAAAAGTCCATGGGCTCTGTTTTTTACCAAATTCTTGATGATAGAAAAATGTTAATTCCAAAGAAAAAGGACTAAATGCTAATATGTTTCTTAGCAATGTTGTTTTAAAAATACTCTTCAAATATTGGAAGACAGTCAAAGAAGAAAGAGGTTATAAAACTATAAGACTAACAGCGTATAAGAAATGGACTTAACGATTAGAAGAATAAAAGGGGTAGATGGTAAGCGATCACTACCGATTAATTTCAAAGGAGTAATAAGGTCTAAATTACTTTGGCATTCCATAACACTGGTTTTGCTGTAGAGAGTTAAGTCACTCAAACCTTTGGGAAAAAAGCAATATGCAGAATATGTTGATCCTGACATTGGGGGAATAATTGCTTTGTAAAACCTACATAGAAAATCTAAATGGAACAGAATTATTTTTATTCTTGTCCTTTTAAAATCATGTCTGCAGTGAAATTAAGCTTTAAGCTCCTAGCTAGAAATCCACTGGTGACCTTGAAGAATTTTATACTTGTAGAGCTGGTTTCTGATGTTACATATAAATGTATGCATCTCATTATATAAGAGCTATATTTATAAATCTGACATTGGACAGTGTTTGACACTAGAATAAAAGCCTGGTTTTGGAAAGTATGGAATGATCAGTAAACATAGCTACTTATCTACATACATGCATGCCACCACTTAGGAAAGTATAACTTTTTTCAAAATCTTTGCTTTTCAGATGAAATACCTGTCACAAAGAGAACATTAAAAATAAAACAAGAGTCTTCTGAAGAAGCACAGTAAGTAGATGCTTCACCTTTCCAGAAAGTGTGTCTGCCTAAGTTTAATGACCATTGGGAAGATCAGAAAATATTTAGACATATTATGAAAGTTCCGGCCATTCACCAAGGAGGCATGTCTATTCATTCTTTAGATTTAATCAGGGACTCACTTAAAGCTATTAGAAAGCATCACAAACATAGCATCACTGGTAATTCCAGGAACTGTGATGTCTATACGTTCTTTTTTTTTTTTTTTTTTTTTTTTTTTTGAGACGGAATCTCGCTCTCGCTCTGTCACCCAGGCTGGTGTGCAGTGGTGCAATCTCTGCTCACTGCAAGCTCTGCCTCCCAGGTTCACGCCATTCTCCTGCCTCAGCCTCCAGCGTAGCTGGGACTACAGGCGCCCGCCACCACGCCCGGCTAATTTTTTGTACATTTAGTAGAGATGGGGTTTCATCGTGTTAGCCAGGATTATCTCGATCTCCTGACCTGGTGATCCGCCCACCTCAGCCTCCCAAAGTGCTGGGATTACAGGCGCGAGCCACCGCACCCAGCCAGATGTCTATACGTTCTTTCGTATCTTAGCTTAACCCTTCCAGTGATTATCTAAAATGTTGAGAATTTTGTATAGAAGAAATAAATGTGTTACAGGAAAACAGATGTGTTTTTGGTATTTGCCTGTGTGTGGATGTGGACATCTGGATGTTTAATTAAGGCACAAAGATGAGTCACAGGAACCTGAGTTTATCTGAGGTTAGGTGAAATGATAGGCGGACCAGAGGGACACCTGAAGTATTTTGGGAATCAAAAAGAAAGCTCTTAGATGACCTATTATACATTTGGAGAAGAAAGCAGTTGCTAGAGGAAAGACTAAGAAAGTCCAGGGACAGAGTCCTCCCTGGTCCATACAATTTGATCTTCCCCGAGTTTAGCATTATCTTTTGTGCAAGGACATCATAGTTCTTGGAATTACCAGTGACATCATATTTGTGGTTCTTTTTAATAGCTTTAAGTGAGTCCCTGATTAAATACAATTACTGAGGAGAATATACTGACCGAAAATTTATGGGGAAAGTAAGGAACGCCATTCATTTTTTTTACCTGTTAACCTTGGAGCATTGATAGCACCCACTTATTCTTGAGTGCTTCATCCCACACATGTGATCTTGATGTCTGAGAGATGGTAGAGAAGAGGCAAAAAGGGCTGTGATAGGTAACAGGCAGCACAACAAGAAAACATTAGTTGTTTTTTGTTTTGTTTGTTTGTTTGAGACAGAGTCTTACTCCATCACCCAGGCTGGAGCGCAGTGGTGCAATCTTGGCTCACTGTGAGCACCTGTAATTCCAGCCCGAGTAGGTGGGACTACAGGCGCGTCACCATGCCTGGCTAATTTTCGTATTTTTAGTAGAGATGGGGTTTTGCCGTGTTGGCCAGGTTGATCTCGAACTCCTGACCTCAAGTAATCCACCTGTCTAGGCCTCCCAAAGTGTTGGGATTACAGGCGTGAGCCACAGTGTCCGGCCACATTAGTTGTTTTTATTCAGCAAGACACCACTACCACCTCCCCTTTGTAAATGCTCATTTCTTTTTCAGAGTCTCTCTTTGGAATCAAAGAATTCCCATTGTCATCTGATTCCATGTCTGGAAAGAGGGTGAGAGTTCAGGGATGAGGAGTTTTTCCCCCAAATTGTAGCCATTATTTCATTCCTCAAAAAAGAAGCTAATCGCCCACATCAGTAAGTTTAAGGCCATTTCTTATTGGGAAGTAGTTGTCTTTTAGGAGTGTGACATCAAAGTGTACCAAAGGAAGGGAAACTGATTAATGTTGTAAAAAGTAAGTTGGGCGTGGTGACTCATGCTCACGCCTTTAATCCCAGCACTTTGGGAGGCCAAGGTGGGTGGATCGCTTGAGGTCAGGAGTTTGAGAGCAGCCTGTCCAACATGGTGAAACCCTGTCTCTACTAAAAATACAAAAATTAGGCTGGGTGCAGTGGCTCATGCCGGTAATTGCAGCACTTTGGGATGCCAGTGCAGGCAGATCACGAGGTCAGGAGTTCAAGCCCAGCCTGGCCAACATAGTGAAACCCTGTCTCTACTAAAAATACAAAAAATTAGCCAGGGATGGTAGCGGGTGCCTGTAATCCCAGCTACTTGGGAGGCTGAGGCAAGAGAATTGCTTGAACCCAGGACACGCAGGTGCAAGACTCTGTCTCAAAAAAAAAAAAAAAAACCAAAAAATTAGCTGGGCGTGGTGGCACACACCTGTAATCCCAGCTACTCGGGAGGCTGAGGCACAAGAATTGCTTGAACCCAAAAGGCAAAGGTTGCAGTGAGCCGAGATGGTGCCACTGCACTCCAGCCTGGATAACAGAGTAAGACTCTGTCTCGAAAAAAAAATGTGAGTTATTACAAGGCAAAGCGCGGTGGCTCATGTCTGTAATCCCAGCATCCTGGGCGGCCAAGGCGGGAGGATTGCTTGAGCCCAGGAATTAAAAACCAGTCTGGGCAACATAGCTAGACTCTCATCTCCACAAAAATTTTTAAAATTCACTGGGTATAGTGGCATATGCCTGTAGTCCCAGCTACTCAGAAGGCTGAGGTGGGGGGTTACTTGAGTCTGGGAGGTCAAAGCTCCAGTGAGTCATGCATTCCAGCCTGGGTGACAGAGCAAGATCCTGTCTCCAAAAAAAAAAAAACAAACAAACAAAAAAAAAGAGTTATTACAAATGTATACCTTCAAACCTTTATTCTCCAAAAAAGTCACTGGCTTTTTCATTAAAGTGTCCTATCTCTTCCTTATAATCATTCAGGACCTTCAAGGGAGGCCCAGTTGGTATAACTAGGAATGAACTCAAATTTTATGGATTTCATGTCACCAATCTCAAACCACTTAAACTTTTCTGGTGATTGGAACTTCAAAAACCAGGAAATCTAACAGACAGTTCTCAGGAATTGTTTAAATAACTGAGTCTAGTTTTCATTGTGCTCCAGAGCTTTGAAATGCTGGTTTGAATCTTGAGCCCAAATCAGCTTCAGGCTCATATCAGCAGGGCAGGAAACTGACAGACTCTGAGGAAATATCCAGCCTGTGCTGCCTCTCCTCCAGGTTTTAGCTCTCAGGGTGAGAGATTCTGAACAAGATCTGGGTAGGCCATTTATTTTCCAGTGCAAGAGTTTATTTAAAATGGTTCTTTGCAGGGTCTGACTATAGCATTAGTGCCATGACAATGCTGAAAAAAATAACGTGATTTGGGCATGGGATTTCTTTTTCTCTGTAGGTATAGGTGGGATTAGCTGAACCTGGCTAATCCCCTAGTCTGCTCATTTATTCAACACACGTTTCTCAAGTGCCTACTATATGTCAGGCATTGGGATACTTCATTGAGCATAATAGACAAAAATCTCTGCTCTCCATCCCAACTCCTTAGCATAGTCCTCTGTAAGATCAATAAAACATTTCAAAGGAGGGCAGGGAAAGATGGTAGCTATGAAAGATAATTTTCCTTTAAAGCATCGACCTATGCAGAAATATGGTCTATGTCTTAGCCTCATAAGCACCACAATCAGACATCATAAAATTGACCAAGTGCTTTTGTCTCCTCTGAGAAGAGGAATAATTCCCTGAGAAGGTAGTGATTTCATCTAGATAGCCACTCTCATACTTGAAAGCTTTCAAGACAAACTAAAGGATAGAGGGTAAATTCAGGGCAGTCTTAGCTCCAAGAAGCAGCTGATAACAAAATATTAATTCTCTGCCATCTTGCAAAGAAAGTCAAGGAGAGCGAGAGGACAGACTGAGAATGGCCACGTGAAGCCTCGCCAGAATGTTCCCAAAGCTCCTCCCCTAGAAGGTATGAGAACGTAGCAGGAAAAGTCTCAAGGATCAAGCTCCTTCCAGAGCCCGTTTTCAAGAAGCTGTTAGCACGCACACCCCCTTTCTTGCCTGTGTATGATTGTATGTAAGTGTGGTAGTTGAGTGTTTTTATAGGTTAAACCCGTAATTGATGTGGAGGGTAGTAGTTTGTTGCCAAGTTAATATTTAACGAACCAATCTTCCAGTATCAAAGTTTTGCTGTACTTGAGAAGCAAACTTTATATAGCTTCATATATATACAAATTACATGATTTAAGCAGCCCGTGAAATAAAAATTCCAGCATTTTCTGTCTTCTTCTGTTAAGTATATGAGTCAAAATTGAAATAATTCCTATATTTTTGCTTCCCTTTATAAAGGGTTTTCTAGAACAGTCTCAATTTATTATCTTGAATGTTGCTCTCTTGAAATCTAAGCCTAATGTGAGCCTTTTCCATCTGAATTCCCAGATCTTAATTCTGTGCTAACCTGACTTCTATTAATTTTGGGATTAGTAATGAATTTCAGACAAATAGAAAATGTCATTTTAAAAAGGTCATTAGCCATAATCAGTTGTATATTTTCCCACAGCACACACAAAGCCCATTATTGGACTTTCTGAATTTCCAGGTTAGAAATTAAGCTGTTAATTATTTTAAGTGACGCCAGATACTTTTCTAAATACAGCATTTTTCACCTTATTTTGGTAGGTAGGTAGGTCTGAAGGCCATCATAGACATAATAGCCACTTTAAAATATTATGATCCATAGATTTCTGAAATCCTAGAGTCTAAGGTATTGATTCTGATTATACAGTGAGGCTGTAGAAGTCATGGAAAGCAGTTTATCATTAATTCTTAGAAACTTGCTAGGGGTGTGTTTCTTTTCATTTTAATAGGTTGATTGTCTAGACTTACACTGCCCAGTACAGTAGCTGCTAGTCACATGTGGCTATTTAAATGTAATTTTAAACTAAATATAATTAAAAATGTAATACCTCAGCCACATTTCATGTTCTAGTGGCCACCATATTGGGCAGCAGATACAGAACATTTCCATCATCACAGAAAGTTCTATCTGACACCGCTGTTCTAGATACTTAGGGAATTTGACTTTTATTTGTCTTTCCAGGAAGAGAGACATCATGCAGAATATTGTACAGATTTTGGAATCGGTACAGTTGAAATGGGAACTTTTTCAGAGCTGGACAGACTTTTCAAGGCTCCATCTTTCTAATAAACTGGCCATTTTTGGAATTGGTTATAACACCCGTTGGAAAGAGGATATCCGTTACCATTATGCTGAGATCAGCTCCCAGGTGCCCCTTGGCAAGCGACTTCGGGAGTACTTCAACTCTGAGAAGCCTGAAGGACGGATCATTATGACCCGAGTGCAGAAAATGAACTGGAAAAATGTTTACTACAAATTTTTAGAGATCACTATTAGCGAAGCTAGGTGCTTGGAGCTGCACATGGAAATTGACTGGATACCCATTGCCCACTCCAAACCAACTGGTGGGAATGTTGTTCAATATTTATTGCCTGGGGGTATTCCTAAAAGCCCAGGCCTTTATGCCATTGGCTATGAAGAATGTATTGAGAGGCCCCTCTCACCACACATGGAGCAAAGTTCCCTGGACCCAGGAAAAGAGGGCCGGGTTGACCTGGAAACCCTTTCAGCACAAGCCTCATTACAGGTGGAAATAGAACCCACCCGAATTATCTATTGCTACCTCGGGATTGCTGAGGTCAGGACTCTACAGCAGTGCTTATTTTTACATTTCCAAGCGAATACCAAAACCTTCAGCAAAGATTGGGTTGGTATTAACGGGTTTTTGTCTCAGAACTGTATTGTGGATCCCGGAGTTTCCCCCAAATCCATCTACATCAAATTTGTAGAAGTAGAGAGGGATTTTCTTTCCGCAGGCTCTTTAGTTGAGTGCCTGGAAAAAGCCATTGGATACCCCTTAAAATTTAACAACTGAATGTCATCCTTCATAAGGATTTGGGCTCTTAGCTCCTTCTTCTCTACTCACTTCCCATTACCCGGACCACCCCTCATCCAGATGCCGCCGTCAGACTCTTCATGGAAACCCTTTCTTCAATTGGGCCAGTACGACTTCTAAGGAATCATAGTAGACTTGGGCCAGAAAAAACAGACCTCACCTGAAAATGCTCATTTTGAGCAAGCAAGATATATAGCGAACTTGCATGGTGGGTCAGCTATTTCTTTTTTAAAAACAGAAAAACAATTTTTAAATGGATTTTAGAGCCCTAATATAAACAAATGTAGGTACATTCCATATTGGACAAAACTTATACTTTGAGTTTCATATGAAATTGAAAAATTGTATTTTTTTCACAATGTTTCATTTTTACACATCTCTATGTCTCTATATAAGTAATATTTACAACCCTGAATAAATAAGCAATAGATAATGGCAAGTTAAATCTTGATTCACAGTTAAAAAGACTTTTTCAATATCACCCTTAGCTACTATTGTATATAATTTAGATTTTCATTTTTTTCACCAGCCAAGTGTTTTGCTATTTCCAATCAGTATTGCTTGCAAAGACCTTTGTTTCTGTGATGTACCAACTTTACAGTTGTGTTGCCATTTAAACCTTTTTTTAAAAAAAAAAAATTAAAGTAATTCCTGGCCCCTTGGCGTACTAGTTGAGCTTTTTGTAGCAGAGTGTGGCTGCACTGGCAGTGGGGGCTGCGCTCTGACTTGACTGCTAAGAATGAAGAGAACAAACAGAGCAGGGTATCTTCACATCCTTTCATTCTCTATACCTCACTGACCAATGTCATTATTTACTGTCAGAGTACCAAAGGTCACTGAACATCTCATTTTGTAATTCTTTGAAAAATGACTAAAAATGACTAGGATAATCCTTTTGACCCTAAGTACATCAATTTGTAAGAGACTCATTCCTCATCTTTTACACTCAGTACTCAGGGGCAGCTCTCAAGGAGTACAACTGGAAAACTGATGTAATCTTGCTATCTCTCAAAAGGAAGGAAGATCCAGTAGAAATTTTTTTTTTTTTTTTTTTTTTAAGACAGGGTCTTGCTCTGTCACCCAGGCTGGAGTGCAGTAGTACAATCATAGCTCACTGCAGTCTCGAACTCCTGGGCTCAAGTAATCCTCCTGCCTCAAAGCTTCCTGAGCAGCTGAAACTACAGGCTCAAGTGCCACCACGCCAGCAATGTTTTTCACTTTTTTTTTTCTTTTTTTGGTAGAGACATGGATGGTGCTATGTTTCCACCGAGCTGGTCTCAAACTCTTGTCCTCAAGCAATCCTCCCACCTTGGCTTCCCAAAGTGCCGAGATTACAGGTGTGAGCCACTGGGGCCAGCCCAAAAGTATTCTTTTAGGAGAGGGAATTGAGAAGTATGAGTCCAGTAGGAAGGTAACTGTCATGTTTAGATCTTTCAGAGATTTCTAATGGGCCAACCACCACTCCACTTACAGGTTCGTACTCTTGGCTCAGAGTCGCTTACTAATAGAGTAGTCAAGGATCACTTTGGTCTCATGGCAGGAATTTGTTAGATTGGTTATTTATCTTTATGATTTCCCAGCATCTCAGGTGCTCTACTTTAAGTGAGCCGCAAATCCAGGTAAGAACTCTCGTTCTTCTCATTTTTCTGTACTACTGAAGATATAGTTACATATTAACAAAAAGTGTTCTTTTCCTGCAGCCTGAATGTCTCAAATCAGTGATTTTCTCATTCTGATGCCTGTTGGTTGATTGATGCTTATTTATTTTTGTAATAACTAGAGAGCTTATAATCAGTGAGATGGCTTTTATTTCTGTTATTTGAGTCTGGGGTTATGGAGTTGGGTACTAGTTCAGGGAGGATATAAATAAAATGAGAATGTTTTGAGTGTAGCACCTGTTCTCCCCAGGCAGCATCTATAGTCAGAGGCCTGAGGAAATCCTCTTGAGTTTGCTCTTCTTTGGAACTTAGAATTCTGATCCTAATGGCTGAGGCAGTCTTGACCATCTTTTAGCCATAATCCCATAGTATTCATTGCTAAATGCTGTAGGAAGAAGGATTATTACCAGGAATTCTTCATGGCATCTCTAAAACGTTGCCACTGACGAGTCCCAAAACTAACATTATGCTCCATGCATTTTTTTTCTGCATCTTCCCATTGTTATTAGTTGCTCAGCTGGAGCAGAACATTTGGGGAACATTTCGTGAGGATGTTTTAGACCTACCAAACATTACCGAGAATGGGACATTGCTAGACCCACTATGAGCAGCATGGAGAAGATAGCAAAGGCTGGATCCAATAGATGTTTTCATCATTTGCCTTGGGATGGGTGGGGGTAGAGGACAAAGATGAGCATTGGGAAATGGAGGTTTACCAAGAAAGTAGCTTGCTGATACTGGATCTCCAGTCTCTTTGGCCAGAACAGTCTAGAAAAGAAGATAGCAGGATGTCAGATAACTATGAGCACTGCCGAAAATAAGAAATGGAATATTTAGACCTTAATGAAGCCTTATAACTGATTCAAGGGGGACAGAGAAAGTATATTCAAATGTAAAGGTAAATATTAGGAATTACTTTCGGAATCTAACATGAGATGTGATTGGAAGAAACACTAATGACCTGCAAGTCTCTAACATATGAAACTATGAACTAGCTCTTGCACACGTTTATGTAAGCAGTTCCCAGGTCGCACATAGATCATCTGTGTCAGCATTCATGATTTACACCAGGGTGGAGAGCAGTCCACCCTAAAATGCATCTTGGTGAAAACTTTCACAAAGTAATGGAGCTGCTCTGCTAACTTCTACGACTTGACTGCCCTCAGGGTCAGAAGAAAGAAATAGCTGAAATAGGAGACAGGAGACAGTGAGGACAATTCTTTACGGTCAAAGAATCTTGAAGAGACTGCCCCTGTGTCACATGGAGACATTCACTGACTACAAATCATTGGTTGCAGCTTTACTTCCCATGTCACAAGTCATTTGGGATCTGAATTCTGAAGGAAAAGTTAGCTACAGGGAATGAATGTTGAGGCTACACCTTATGTAGCACTTGATCAGGATAAGCACAGCCTGTGTGATTAGATACTTGGTGTTTCTGGGTTAGAACCAAAAGACTTTGTACTTCCTCTCTTGGAAGGAGTTACTTATTTGGGGTGACTTGTCTGGAAACAAAGGAGGGGTGTTTACAAGAGATGGTTTGCAATGCAGACTAAAGCCAAGAAAAATTTGAGTGTGATGGAATAGGAAAACCAAACCAACAGCCCCCAACCCCACCACACAATCTGCTTGGCCAAGTCCAAGTTTGTAGCTCCCTACACAAGAGTGTGAGACTGGCAGGTATCTCTTCCTGTTGTCTGTGCCTCCACTGAGCTGCCAAGTACTAGATTCTAGGGTTTGCATGAGCAGTTTTGTGTTTGCATAGGCATTTCTCAAAGCCACTGCATGGCAGGTATTTGAAGAGGAGCCAGGCAGGTCACACTAGAAAGAAGCAGCTGAGAGGGCATATGGGGCACTGTATAGAAAAAGATCTTGTGTGAAGTGTGGGCCCAGGGACTACACTCTGTTAAAACAGCAAAACTATGTGCAGTAAATGGAATCCCGCAGGCCTGGCTGCTTTTCTTCCCAGACAGCTCTGCCCGCAGAGCGGGCAGCGTCAGGAATTCGTTGTTATGCTTTCTTCCCTCACTGACCTTTGCTGGGTGGTTGAGCTGTGCTGGGATGTTTGAAGCATTTTTTTTTTTTTTTTTTTTTTTTTTTTTTGGCTGTTGGACAGAAAAGCAAGAACAGGTGCGTGCCTTTCTGTAAGGGAGCGGCGGCCGCCAGAGGGCGCAGAGGTGCCTTTTGACCGAATGGCGCGGGAAGGGGGGCGTAAAATTCAATTCACAGCGACCAAGATCTAGTCTCGGGAATTAAAGGATCAGAGCGCGCCTGAGCCTTTCGCTGCGGGGATGGGAGGCACTGAAGATTTGGGGGATAAAGAAGAAACGGAGGGACTGTCCTGTCTTCCTTCCCGCAGCCGCCCCTCCTCCCCAGTCAGCATCAGGCCCGTACGCCGCTCATTTCAGGGGCTAAGCTGGGAGCAGCACGCACGTTGCCTCAGTTTCCTGCTCAGCTCCCGGGACTACCTTGTGCCAACCTTCCCTGCTCGGAGTATGAGGCACAGGCCGGGGTAATCCTCCAGCCTGGGCTGGGGTCTGCTGAACTCGCGGAGCGCTTTTTCCTGCCCGCGGGTGAAGATTCCCCGCTGGCGCGTCCCGGGGCGCCCTGGGCTCCCGCGCGACCTCTGCCGTCGCCCTCGCTGCCGCGCTCCGGTGGCCGCGCAGCCCCCGCCTCCAGGAAAGCCACAGATTCCCGCTGTGCCAGGGAGCCCGCGCGGCCGGCGCTCCGGCCTCTCCCTGCAGCTGGAAAACGCTGCTCCCCTCTTCCTCCTTCAGGAAGACCGCCCTGATTGGGCCGGGGATGCGGCACCCCCAAGTTTGGAGCCAGAGCCCAGGAGCGTTTACATGTCAGGTGTTACGGGTGGTTCTGACTTCGGATAGTCCCCAAATTTCCCACCCTTCCTGGTCACCCTTCCTATCCCACCCCGGCGGAAGGGAAGGTTACGGCTCAGGATAGTTCTGGAGCCTCCTCTTCCCCCTCTACTCGTACCTGGCTGGCTCGTGGGGCATCAGAGCTTACCTCACCCCTCCCTGCGTCCAGACCTGGAGGAGGCCGCAGGGTCCCGCCGTCCGCGCGCTGGGGGCGCCCCCGGGCGGCGGACCCCGCGCGCCCCGCCCGGGAGGACGGCGACCTCTCCGCCCCCTCGAATGCCCCGCCCCGCTGTCGCCGTCGGTCCCCACCCCGCCACCGGCACACAGGCGCGCAGACTTGGGCTGGAGCCGCCCTGGGTGTCAGCGGCTCGGCTCCCGCGCACGCTCCGGCCGTCGCGCAGCCTCGGCACCTGCAGGTCCGTGCGTCCCG
Organism: Homo sapiens; assembly: GCF_000001405.40. Lineage (NCBI taxonomy): Eukaryota > Metazoa > Chordata > Mammalia > Primates > Hominidae > Homo > Homo sapiens. The sequence goes on along the minus strand of NC_000011.10, from coordinate 124,762,193 downwards.
CGGCTGGCGCCCCTGACTCCGTCCCGGCCAGGGAGGGCCATGATTTCCCTCCCGGGGCCCCTGGTGACCAACTTGCTGCGGTTTTTGTTCCTGGGGCTGAGTGCCCTCGGTGAGTGAAACCCGGACCTGGAGGGGACTTGGGATGCGGGATGGGGTGAGTTCGACCCTGAGGGAGAACTTTGGCCACTGCTGCGGAACTGGGTCCCACGACTCGCCCTCCTCCCCTGACCTCCTAATCCCACTCCAGGGCATCACTGGCTGGCGCTGACTTCTCGCTTTGTCGGGGACAGCCCCCAGTTTGGGTGTGGGGGCGGATGGCGGGGGGAGGTAAGGGCATCTCTCGGAAGACCTGGATACCTCTGGGGTGAGTTATCGGAACCATTCCTCACCCTGTCCACTCCCCACCCCCCACCCAGCAGAGCCGGATGAGCTGAGCCGCTAGATGAGACACTGGCTAAAGAGCTTAAGGACTTAACTCTAGCCCCCTCTCATCCCCGACCCCACATACAAGCTGATGAGGAAGATCCCCCGGGGAAATACCCCTGGTCCCCAGGCTTGACACACGCACTTCGTGTCAATTCCCCAGCGCAGATGCTCTCTCTTGCCCCCTCCTGCTTCCTGCCCTGGGAATCAAGGGAGGTGCCCCAAAAGGACGACCGTGAGGTCATTTGGGACACAGGAAATGGGGGAGGGGTTCAAACGCACAGAGAAACAGAATTGTGACCACCCCACCCCCCCAAGGCCCACCACCCTTATTGGTTTCCAGAGCCAAAGGGAAGAGGGGAAATTGGGAGGAGGGTGGCCAAGGGTCAGAGAGGAAGGGAACCTCCTTGGAGCAAGTGTTTGGGAAGTGTTGTAGGCCTCCAGGGGCGCTGGCTTCAGCTGAAGCTGGGGTGGCTCAGAACTCCATCTGGGAGAGGACCCGGCAGGACTAGGCCCTTTTAAACTATTTCACTTGCTGTCCCTCAGCTTTCTTGCCATCTCCCTTCAAGGATCTCGAATGGGAGTGAAGGGTGGGTTTAGCTATATTGACTTTAACTCATTTCTCAGGTTGGAGGATGTCAGGACAAGTAAGGCCTGGGAAGCTGTAGAGTGAAATTCTACAATGATGGGGACAGAGATGAGGATCACCAGTGTCCCCTTTAGCATGTTCTGTGCCCCACAGGTGTCGGGGCATGCAATATTATAGTCCTTGGACAAAATGAGTCTCAAGTACAGCCCCCCAGGCCACACCAAGGCCACAAGTAGCCTTCTGTCCCTCTGGGCTTGGTGGGCCTGCTCCAGGATCCCTCAGACTTCTCATCCCGCCTTTCCCAACTTCAACTTCAGCTCTGTTCCTTCTGCATTCCACCCCAACTCTATCCCCCTTCCTTGTGGGGGGTGGGGGCTGGGGGAATCTCTGAAGCCAGGGAGGACAGTTCAAGTTGACTGCCTGAGTGTCCCAGGCTTCACCTGCTGCTCATCTGCAACCCTTTGTCCTACCCCAGCTTTGAGCCTCAGTTTGTCAGACTGAAGACCTGGACTCAAAAGTTCCAATCGGTCCCCCTGGGGGGTTGCCCAGTTCCCGCCAGCCACTCGAGGGTTAAATGGCACTGGTGACCCCGGTGCAACGTGCAGGCGCCCGGCTCCGCTCTTCTGGGCTCTGGAGGAGGCTCTCCGGCTCAGTAGGCTCCTCGGCGGCTCAGTGCTGCTGCCCCTGGGGCGTGAGAAGCCCGCGGGGGGAGTTTCTCAGAGAAAGAGGGAGACTAAAAATAGCCCCGGGGAGCGGGCCCATTTCGCTCTCCTTCGGCCCCTGCCGGCTCCCTCACTCTGGCCTCGGAGAGGGCTGTGGGCCGGAAGGGTCCCTTTCTTGGGCTGTCCCAGTGTCCTTCGATCAGACCCAACCAGACTCCTTTTCTCTCCCAGTGGCTCCGTGGACCCTGGGACCGAAAAAAACGGACCAGTTGGTGACTTCCGAGCCAGCAGACACCCAGGAGGGAGAGCAGAAAAGCCTCAGGCCCTCTTCTGTTCCTAGTTTCTGACAGGGCGAAGGGCAAGGAGCATGTGCCCAGACCCCAGTGTGTCCGTTACTATCTCTTTTAACTCTCCTCTACCTTCTGGAAAGTGGAATTATAAATGTGGGACCTGGGGAGGTCGCTGGTGGTCCACAAGGTGAAGGAAGGGCGCGCCCCTTCTGGGCCCCAGGCAGTTTCCCGGCGGAAACCCTTTCTGGCCGCCGGGTGTGTGTCGTAGAAAGGCTGGGGGAGAGCCGGCAGCACCTGCAGGCTCCAGGCGTGCCCGGCCTCAGCGGAATGGCCAGCGGGCCGGGTCCCCAGGGGGCGTCCAGCTCCTTGAGGCGGGGATTGTTTCCTCCCGTAGAGCCTCCGGTCTAGTGGCCCCCCCTTCATTGTCTTCTGCCTTATCACTGGGTACAAATTTCCTGCCCAGACCACAGAGATCCTCCAGGAAATGGGAAGGGGGATGCTGCGAAGGCCAAGTAACAGAGGTGGGGGTTCTGTACGGCGCAGCCGGGAAGCGGTGGGGGAGGCTTGCATCCTGGCCGGATCGGCTCCCAGCCCTTAGAGGCCTTCAGCCTGGCTCTCCTAGGGCGAGGGTGGAGAGCGGGGCCTGGCTGCGGCCTCTTCCCGCGGCGTTGGCCGCCTGCTCGCCACGCGGAGGTGGCGTCTTCCGCTCCGAGGCAGAGGGCCGAGGCCTGGAGGGAGTAGGGCCCGGGACTGGAGCGGCGATCATCCTCAGGCCTGGCCGTGTGCAAGCCCAAGGTTATTCCCCAAAGGGCTTACCAGTTGGCTGCTCTGTTGCCTCCCCGAAGGGCAAAGGATGAGTATTTCTGGACGCCGTGGTGCAAACGATGGCCCCCTCCTTGAAACCAACACCCCGGTCCACCCCCTGAGCGCCGGACACACTCAGGGGAGGCTTCATACTTGTCTAGAGACCGTCGTTCGCGCTGCCCTTAATTCCTTGCCACCCGAGAGTTCTCTGCCCAGATCGCCCGAACCCCAGAAGGGCTCCGAGGAGCTTTCTGGGTTTCAACCCTCCGTTTTCCGAGGGAAGCCCGCCTCTGAGATTGCGCGGGAGGGCGGGGAGCATCGCATTCACTGGGTCAGGCTTGGGCGCTGGGCTGCTCTGCTCTCTCCAGCTCCTGGCAAGCTCAGAAGGAGCCGCAGGGTTAATAGGTAACCAGACGGCCTCCCAAACCCCTCCGCCCTTTGAGAACTCGGGAGTGAGGGACCCTGGCGGCCCGGAGCAGCATCCCTACTCTCCCTCAGGAAAACTAGGGAAGCAAGTGGGCTACGTGGCGCGTACGACAGAAACAGTCGGTCCACCCTTTCTTCTCATATCTTCCCCTCCTCGCTGGAAATCTGCCCCCTCTCTTTGATGCTCAGAAATCTGCGCCTCTGGATACGAATAAATGCATATAAATGTGTCCCCATCCCCGCTACAACTGCAGAGGCTGGCGGTGGAGAGAAGTCGTGATGAAATGGGAAGCAGGACACTGAGCCAGTGGTCCCTGGGCACCCCTTGAGGCCTCCAGGGGCCGGACCCCGCAAGGTTCCTCTTTCCAGTTAAAGCGACTTTCCTCGCTCTCTGGTGAAGCCGCGTAGGGCAGGGTCCGCGGGCGGAGCTGGGAGCCGGTCCTGGGCACTCACGCCTCGCTCTTGTCTCCAGCGCCCCCCTCGCGGGCCCAGCTGCAACTGCACTTGCCCGCCAACCGGTTGCAGGCGGTGGAGGGAGGGGAAGTGGTGCTTCCAGCGTGGTACACCTTGCACGGGGAGGTGTCTTCATCCCAGCCATGGGAGGTGCCCTTTGTGATGTGGTTCTTCAAACAGAAAGAAAAGGAGGATCAGGTGAGGGAAGAACGCCTGTCAGCCAGCGGCAAGTTGCGCCCAGAGGGGGTTGTAAGCAAAGAGCTGGTAGCGGTGGGAGGGGTGGAGAGGGAATGGGGGCCGGGGAAGGAGTTTCAGGGAAAAGCAGAAGTCTTCACCAGTTCAGTTTTTGTTCTGATATTGGAGACTTCCCAAACAATTATCTTTTGCCGGCTTTCCCTAAAAATCCAGCACACAAAATACTGTAAAAGTGTGAGAGGCATTTTACTTGGTTATGAGGGAGGAGAGGAGGAGGGGAAGAATGGAAGTTGAGGACTGGGAAACGCTTAGGGGAAGTAACACACACGACTTATAAAAGTTAGCATATTTCTGGCCTGACTCAGTGACTCATACCTGTAATCCCAGCACTTTGGGAGGCCGAGGTGGGCACATCACTTGAGGCCAAGAGTTCGAGAGCAGCCTGGCCAATATGGTGAAACCCCCGTCTCTGCTAAAAACACAAAAATTAGTCGGACATGGTGGCACCCGCCTGTAATCCCAGCTACTTGGGAGGCTGAGGCAAGAGAATTGCTTGAATCCACAAGGTGGAGGTTGCAGTGAGCCAAAATCCAGCCACTGCACTTCAGCCTGGGCGACGGAGTAAGACTCTGTCTCAAAAAAAAAAAAAAAAAAAAAAGTTAGCATATTTCTGTTTTCACATTCTCTGCTTTGAATACTGTCAAGTCACAGGCCACTTCTCTTCCCAAATGATTCTCATCTGTCACCTTGCCCCCCTGTATACCACCTTGAGAGCCAAGGGGCCATCTCCTCCCACAATCTCCCACCCATCTGTTTTGACACCGGGCTTACATCCAAATACAGATTTACCCCAGAAGAGAATGAAACAATGTTCAGAACCCCTGAAAACTGTGTTCAAGGAAGTCAGCTGGATTTTTTTGAGACAGGGGTCTTACTCTTGTTGCCCAGGCTGGAATGCAATGGTGCAGTCTTCGCTCACTACAGCCTCTACCGCTCCTGCTCAAGTAATCCTTCCACCTCAGCCCCCTGAGTAGCTGGGACTACAAGCACACGCCACCATGCCAGGCTAATTTTTGTATTTTTTGTAGAGACTGTGTTTCACCGTATTGCCCAGGCTGGTCTTGAACTCTTGGACTCAAGCAATCCACCTGCCTCAGCCTCCCAAAGTGCTCACAGGCATGAGGCAACGTGCCCAGCCTCATTTGATACTTTTAAAATACATTTTTAATATTTTTTTCCTCCAAGATGCCTTCCCCATTGTGTAAGTTTCAGGTCTTACAAACCTGGATCCACCCCAGCAGTCTGAGTTGCATATATACATACCTCCTATTTACATGTCCCTCCTCCCACTATTATGTCACCTTTCTAAACACCGCAATTGGGAGATGAGACAATGCGCAGGAACGAAGAACTGTTCTGGTGAAGAGGACCCAGGGGCAGTGAGAGGGGGCTAGGGACAAAAGGTGAATGGGGAGCTGGTTCAGGTTAGAAGAATGGGTGCATGTGAGGGGCATTTGGAGAATGCGAGCTGGGGGAGGGAGAGTGGCTGAGCCTGTAGGCACAGTAGACACATGTAGTAATGACGGGGATGTGTTATGCCCCACACCAGGTGTTGTCCTACATCAATGGGGTCACAACAAGCAAACCTGGAGTATCCTTGGTCTACTCCATGCCCTCCCGGAACCTGTCCCTGCGGCTGGAGGGTCTCCAGGAGAAAGACTCTGGCCCCTACAGCTGCTCCGTGAATGTGCAAGACAAACAAGGCAAATCTAGGGGCCACAGCATCAAAACCTTAGAACTCAATGTACTGGGTGAGTGAGAAGCAGATTTCCGGACCCCTCCCCACCTGCACTGGGAGGTCTGGTGAGTCTCTCTCCTAAATGACAAAAGTTGGAGGAGGAACAAATGAAGCGACAGAAGGGTGCAGGGCAGAGGGAGAGGATCTGTGGGTCTCCTGGGTGTGGTTTTAATCTGTCTCCCCCTGCCCAGTTCCTCCAGCTCCTCCATCCTGCCGTCTCCAGGGTGTGCCCCATGTGGGGGCAAACGTGACCCTGAGCTGCCAGTCTCCAAGGAGTAAGCCCGCTGTCCAATACCAGTGGGATCGGCAGCTTCCATCCTTCCAGACTTTCTTTGCACCAGCATTAGGTGAGGACACTACTGGAAACAGTGGACACTGTGGCTGGGGAAGGGGAAAGATGAGAGGTACCACAGGGACTGGGGTGAAAAGGGGAGCCAAGGCTGACAAGCACTGGGGAGGAGGAGGAGGATGTGGGGAGGATGTGGGGCAGAGAAAGATGCCCTGCCAGGGGCAGGTATTGTGTTAGGTGCATTCACATGTGTATACTGTTATGAAACAGGCTCTACAGCTGGAGTGTCTGTGTTCAAATTCCAGCTCTTCTAGTGACTAGCTGTGTGACTCGGTGCCTTCTTTCCTGAATTTGTAAAATGCGGATTTTACACATATCAGCTTGAACTCATTAGTGTGACTTGAACACACCAGTTATAAAAAAAAATTTTAGGGATAACTGAAACATTTTTAATATGAAGTATTCGATGATTTTAGATAGTTACGTTATTAATTTCCTAGGCGTGGCAATGCTATTGTGGTCATATGGAACGACGTACTGCTTTTTTGGAGATTTATGCTGATGTATTTACTTTAAAATATCTAAGTAAAAGAAAGAAATCAAATAAATATGGCAAAAAGTTAGCAACTGTTGGATCTAGGTTGTGGGAATATGGATTTTCATTTTGCCTCTTTCTACTTTTCACATGACCATTTTTATAATAGTAGCTTTTTCTTTTTAAAAATACTACTTATTACCTCACAGGTTTGTTGGGAAATTGTGGTAAGTTCATACACATCAAGAATCTAGAGCAGTCTTTGGCACAGAGTTAGCAGCCAATAAACATTCACTGTTTTATTTATTTATTTATTTATTTTTATTTTATTATTATTATACTTTAAGTTTTAGGGTACATGTGCACAATGTGCAGGTTAGTTACATATGTATACATGTGCCATGCTGGTGTGCTGTACCCATTAACTCTTCATTTAGCATTAGCTATATCTCCTAATGCTATCCCTCCCCCCTAAACATTCACTGTTATAATGATTAGTCCATATAGTCCTTTCAACACCCTCAGGGAGGTCATATTGTCCCCATTTTACAGATGAAGAAATGGAGACCCTCAGATATCAACTAACTTGCTTAAAGTCAGTCACATGGCCTGTTCTGGAACCCACGTTTACCAGTTCCTACCCCAGTGTTCTTTCTCTCTCATCACACTGTCTTGCCGAAATAAAAGTAAAATGGTGTTTTGGTTTCTCTGTGCTTCACTTTCTCTGTGGCCTCCTGTCGGATATCCACTGGGGGCACTGACTGAGGAGTGACAATGGAGGTTATTGCACTAGTCAGTCTGCAGCTGGGAGCCAAGCCCAGCTGTCACACCTCTCCCCCCATCAGGGAATAGACAAGCCGTGACTCCCAGAGGGTCAAAGGGGACATTCCAGAGGAGGGACAAGATTTTTTTTTTTTTTTAATGGGAAAGAGGGTCCCTGGACTGATGGCTAAATTGTGTCCACAGATGTCATCCGTGGGTCTTTAAGCCTCACCAACCTTTCGTCTTCCATGGCTGGAGTCTATGTCTGCAAGGCCCACAATGAGGTGGGCACTGCCCAATGTAATGTGACGCTGGAAGTGAGCACAGGTCAGTGAGGGGTAAGTGTGGTTAAGAAGAGTGGTCAATGGTGGGGGAGGGGTTGCAAGTGGGGAGGAGGCCTGTCTGCTGAGGCCTGTCTCTGTAGCAGGGCACGGAGCTTCCCCTGATCAAATGTTTGTACAAATGGTTGGTCAGTGACTGGTCATTTCCTGCTCAACAGCCACCCCTCTTCTTGACAGGGAAAAAGAGGGAATGTGTATGGTGGCAGATGGGGTGGGGAGAGTGGGATTGGAGAGGGGTGAGAACCCCTCAGCTGGGTGTCCTCCTCTGACACGACGCCTTTTCCAGGGCCTGGAGCTGCAGTGGTTGCTGGAGCTGTTGTGGGTACCCTGGTTGGACTGGGGTTGCTGGCTGGGCTGGTCCTCTTGTACCACCGCCGGGGCAAGGCCCTGGAGGAGCCAGCCAATGATATCAAGTAAGTGTCCCTGGTGTCTGCTGCAGCGGGGGCTCTCCCAGCTCTCCTCACAGAGGCTGGGAATTCAGGCAGCTCTCATCTATTGGGATGGGGTCAGTGGCTGAAACATCATTCCTATGGGCAGGTTTTAAGGGAGAGGGAAAGGAGTACTGAAGTGTGCAGGCAGAGGTGGTATATAAGACCAAGCAGGTAGAAACTCTCTCCTCCTTCCCCCACCCACTTCTGACCTCTTGTTATTTCTTTGATGACTAGGGAGGATGCCATTGCTCCCCGGACCCTGCCCTGGCCCAAGAGCTCAGACACAATCTCCAAGAATGGGACCCTTTCCTCTGTCACCTCCGCACGAGCCCTCCGGCCACCCCATGGCCCTCCCAGGCCTGGTGCATTGACCCCCACGCCCAGTCTCTCCAGCCAGGCCCTGCCCTCACCAAGACTGCCCACGACAGATGGGGCCCACCCTCAACCAATATCCCCCATCCCTGGTGGGGTTTCTTCCTCTGGCTTGAGCCGCATGGGTGCTGTGCCTGTGATGGTGCCTGCCCAGAGTCAAGCTGGCTCTCTGGTATGATGACCCCACCACTCATTGGCTAAAGGATTTGGGGTCTCTCCTTCCTATAAGGGTCACCTCTAGCACAGAGGCCTGAGTCATGGGAAAGAGTCACACTCCTGACCCTTAGTACTCTGCCCCCACCTCTCTTTACTGTGGGAAAACCATCTCAGTAAGACCTAAGTGTCCAGGAGACAGAAGGAGAAGAGGAAGTGGATCTGGAATTGGGAGGAGCCTCCACCCACCCCTGACTCCTCCTTATGAAGCCAGCTGCTGAAATTAGCTACTCACCAAGAGTGAGGGGCAGAGACTTCCAGTCACTGAGTCTCCCAGGCCCCCTTGATCTGTACCCCACCCCTATCTAACACCACCCTTGGCTCCCACTCCAGCTCCCTGTATTGATATAACCTGTCAGGCTGGCTTGGTTAGGTTTTACTGGGGCAGAGGATAGGGAATCTCTTATTAAAACTAACATGAAATATGTGTTGTTTTCATTTGCAAATTTAAATAAAGATACATAATGTTTGTATGAGATAAGAAACAAGTTGCCTTTTCAAACTAAGAATTCTTGAAATTGAGCTTCAGGAGGATGCAAAGTGGACCCCTTCCCAAGCTGTGTACCCAGGAGGGCTTCCCCCCACAGGCTTAGAGCAGCTCTTCTAGTGTTTAGAAGGGTCCTTGTTTGTCACGTGGAGAAGGGGAGGAGACTCTAAGCTACTCTGAACAGCAGAGGGATGGAGTTGATACGCTTTCTGCTGGAGCTTGAGTGCTCCCGGCTAGGGGGTACGTGTACCTCATCTGCTTCCTCTTCAGGGACAGGGGAGAGGAAGCTCACGTGGGCTCCTCTCCCACACCACGGAATCCTTAACAAAACACTCCTTGCCCATCTGGAAGAGATCTCTGTTGTTACTGAGGGAGAGCTGGGCATAGTATGAGGTGCAGGTCTGTGTCCAAGTTCTGCCATGTTCTTTCCTACCAAGGGTGAGGTCTCCTTTAGGTCTCAGTTTCTCTGCCCCTAAAATGGAGTGGCTCTGGAAATGGAGAGATGCTCATTTCTACAGAGACTCCTACCTCAGTAAGTGGTGAAATGAAAAGCGCTGTGGACAGGAAGGGTCTGCGGCCTGGGGCTCACACTCACAGTGAGGCTCCGAGGTGGGGACTCCCCTTGCCAGCTCTGGGGTATCAGGACGCCTTCCAAAGTCAGCTTTCCTTCCGTCTCTGCAGAAGGCCCACCCCAAGCCCAGCGCTTTTCCCAAGGCCGGACAGCTTCAGACCTTGGGGAGAAGAGGAAGGAAGGAGGAAGAAGGGACAGAGGGATTGCAGAATCGGGGCTGGAGGAGAGGAGGGAGGAGCACTTTTTTTTTTTTTTAACCTGCGGCGCCGGCCTCTCCCCTGTTTGCTCTGAGATACCAGTCTCGCTCCTGCCCAGCCCGGGCGGCTGCCCTTGGGTGCTCCCTTCCCTGCCCGACACCCAGACCGACCTTGACCGCCCACCTGGCAGGAGCAGGACAGGACGGCCGGACGCGGCCATGGCCGAGCTCCCGGGGCCCTTTCTCTGCGGGGCCCTGCTAGGCTTCCTGTGCCTGAGTGGTGAGGAGGGGCCGGGCGGGACCACGGCGAGGGCTGGGGGGCATAGGCCTGGCTTCCCCGGCTCCTCGGACCCACTCTGTCCCCGCCAGGCCAGATGAGGCTGCCGTGGGCGCCAGGGGCCCTAAGGCGCCTGAGGTGAGGCCGGAGAGGGGGTGTCCAAGGCCCGGAGGGCGTAGGAGAGAGACCCCCAAGCCGGCGAGCGAGTTGGGCCTCTCCGCGGCACAGGCCTGAACCACCCCACCGCAGGGCTAGTGTTTTCCTTTCTCTGCTAAACACACACACCCTCTTACCTGGCCCGGTTCCGGCTCTTTTACCCACAAAGACCCGGCCCCTCCCGGAAACCTCAGGTTTTGGGAAGGGAGGGGTTGGATTGAGGGGAGAGGGTTGTGCTCTGGGGAGGGAGCCCCCAGCTTCCAATATAGATGCCCGGGGGTGGGCCCGACCCTCCAGATCACTGGAATTTGGGTTCCCACCTCCCTCTGGTCCCCGGCCCCAGGGCTGGCCGTGGAGGTGAAGGTACCCACAGAGCCGCTGAGCACGCCCCTGGGGAAGACAGCCGAGCTGACCTGCACCTACAGCACGTCGGTGGGAGACAGCTTCGCCCTGGAGTGGAGCTTTGTGCAGCCTGGGAAACCCATCTCTGAGTCCCATCCAGTGAGCTGAGAGCGACTGCATGAAGCTGGGTTGGCCTGGAGGGACAGGAGCCCAGGATGAGGGCATGGGGTCGGGAGGGGGAGTTTGGGGATCAGTATGCTTGGATGAAAAGGTAAGTGGGCTCTCCCTAGATCTTTTCAGAGCTGCAGTCTGCCTGACCGTGTATCTTCCTTTCCTCTTCCATAGCTCCTATTTCCAACTCCCCTGCCTTAGTGTATCCATTGACACTAAGGTGTTGTGACTGATACCAAGATAATATGCTGCCTCTTCTGCCTCTCTCTTTGAGAGAGAGAGAGAGAGACCAATGGATCAGGTTCATTTAGCACCTGAAAGGGGGTGGTGTTTGGGGACAGAGAGACCTTTGGAGTTCCAGCTTAAGGGTATCAGCCTCCCTGGCTGATGTAAGTCAGAGGCCTCTTATACCCACTTTGATGAGGAAGGACTGTAGAGTTGATGCCAGGCAGAAACAGGCACATATGTGTGTCTTCTGCCTCTCCCCAGATCCTGTACTTCACCAATGGCCATCTGTATCCAACTGGTTCTAAGTCAAAGCGGGTCAGCCTGCTTCAGAACCCCCCCACAGTGGGGGTGGCCACACTGAAACTGACTGACGTCCACCCCTCAGATACTGGAACCTACCTCTGCCAAGTCAACAACCCACCAGATTTCTACACCAATGGGTTGGGGCTAATCAACCTTACTGTGCTGGGTAAGGCAGACTGGGGATCCACGAGCCACATACTCTTTCACATACTTGGGGCGTTTGCACTGGTCTTGCTAAATCTCTGGTTTCTGACTTTTAGCCCAAGCACACAACTGCACTGGGGGCCCCAAGTGAAAATACTCCCTTTCCAAGTCTTCTAATTCAGATGGTCATACTCCAACTCCACCCTCCACCGAGAGCATCTCCTCCATCAGAGCCTAATAACAGAGTGTGTGAGAGAAAGTCCTTCCCATACATGGGGATCTGAGCCTGCTCCCAGCAGCTCCATCATGGGGGAGGCTCTCATCGGTAGTTGGATTCTGTCCCTCCCAAGGTCAATGGCAGAGAAGGGGAGTGGCCACCAAAGGAACAAGGGCCCCTATTACTGAGCACCAACTTCGTGCTCAGAGCTTCTGTCTCACCCCAAACTAGAGCCTTTTCAGAGATGAGCAACCAGAAAAACTATCACAGAGACTGGCAGTGTTTAGATGGAAAAGAGAAGGCCTCGGATGGGTGTATTACTGCTGGATTCAACTATCCAAAGGGCTGTCATGTGGAGGAGAGATTTTAATTTCTCTTTGTGGGCCCAAAGGGCAGGAACTGAAACCAATGGGTGGAGGTTATGTTAACACACATTTTGGCTCAACATGAAGAAGAATTTTCTCTAACAATCAGAATTTCCAATAGTGGAAATCCCTCAGTTCCTGGGGATGCAGTGGTGTGTGGACCCAAGAGGACCACTGTTTGATAGGGGTATTGAAGTAGAGAATGTAGCACCTAATGGAGTTGGGAGTGGGGCTGGAAGATTGCTGAGGAACTTTCTGTTTTTTTTTTTTTTTTTTTTTTTTTGCAGTTCCCCCCAGTAATCCCTTATGCAGTCAGAGTGGACAAACCTCTGTGGGAGGCTCTACTGCACTGAGATGCAGCTCTTCCGAGGGGGCTCCTAAGCCAGTGTACAACTGGGTGCGTCTTGGAACTTTTCCTACACCTTCTCCTGGCAGCATGGTTCAAGGTAAGGGCCCAGGGCATCAGGAAGAGGGTACTGGAGACCTGGGCAAATCTGGTCTCTAAATCCCACACACCCGTATTATCCGTTCCATGACTAGGGGTATGACACAAACCACTATACCTTTCCCTGTCTCTTCCTTGGCTTCCTGTATTGTTCCCTCCTGCCTGTCTTTCTGCAGTCTGTGGCTGCATGATCCTGGGGGTATTTCTCAAGCTGAATATACTGCTGATATCCTGGAAGAGAGTAGAGGGCAGGGAGCAATCTGATGATGACCACCCATCTGCCTTGGGGAGATTTCTTTTAGGTTTCCTAAGGGTCGTGGACCACTTCCAAACTTCCTAGAGAGGAAACTGAGGCAGAGTAGCATGGACTGGCTGGAATCTTTTAACCAGTTTCTTTGGAGGAGCCTTAGTTTCTTGGCTTCCTCTTCCTGGATCCAGTTCTCTCTCCAGCCCCAGCAAACTCCTTTATCAATCCAGAAATGAATGACCCACCCCCAGATCACCTTCCTGGTATGTGCTCTGCCTTCTAAGGCAAAGGTAAACAGTTTAGAAAAGCATTTGTGTCAGCTTAGAGCCACCCTACAGGATGCAGTTTCTAGCAATCAAGCCTTTTACCCCAAACCAGGAACCTGACATCAGCCAGTAAGCACCCCACCCCGACTCCATTGCCAGTTTCTGAATCCTTCATGAGTGTGCAGTCCTCCTCCTCCCAAAAAGGCAGCTATGTAGGGTGGAAAGAACAGGTAAGTTGTAGCAGCTTTGGAATTCCTCTCTGGGTCACCTCAGACACACTACTTCCTTCTTCTGAACCGGTTTCCTCCCCAGTGAAAAAAAATTAGTTGCTCCCTGACAGGATTGTTATAAGGATGACATGAAATGTGCTGTCCTCGTAGAGCTGCTCACTGAGTTGAATGAGTCGTGGAACACTTCCTCTTCATCCTCTAGATGAGGTGTCTGGCCAGCTCATTCTCACCAACCTCTCCCTGACCTCCTCGGGCACCTACCGCTGTGTGGCCACCAACCAGATGGGCAGTGCATCCTGTGAGCTGACCCTCTCTGTGACCGGTAGGGATGCTGGGTGGAGGCCAGGCCAGCAGCCTTGTGTTGGGGAAGCTGTCGGCTGGTGGGCCGAGGAAAGCCTGCAATTCTGAGTGAGGGTCCTGTATCTCCTTAGAACCCTCCCAAGGCCGAGTGGCCGGAGCTCTGATTGGGGTGCTCCTGGGCGTGCTGTTGCTGTCAGTTGCTGCGTTCTGCCTGGTCAGGTTCCAGAAAGAGAGGGGGAAGAAGCCCAAGGAGACATATGGGGGTAGTGACCTTCGGTGAGCAGGAGGGCTGGGGGGTGGCGCAAGGAGGGAGGAAAGGGCTTGAGTTAAAAGCGGGTGCCTGCAACCCTCAAACTCCGACATCATTCAGTGTGTTTAGGGGCAGGAGGTGTTGTTCAGCCGTGGAATTTGCTGGTGGCAGCAGTGTAACCTGTGTATTTGAGGGTACAGGCAAGCGGTACAGGGTGGAGTGGCTGGTCCACA